>NC_000002.12:231125981-231429011 GCF_000001405.40 Homo sapiens | reverse complement strand
CGCTCAGGCTGGAGTGCAGTGGCACGATCTCGACTCACTGCAACCTCTGCCTCCCTGGCTCAAGCGATTCTCCTGCCTCAGCCTCCCGAGTAGCTGGGATTATAGGCATGCGCCACCACACCCAGCTAATTTTTGTATTTTTAGTAGAGACGGAGTTTCACCATCTTGGCCAGGCTGGTCTGGAACTCCTGACCTCGTGATCCACCTGCCTCAAAGTGCTGGGATTACAGGCGTGGGCCACCATGCCCGGCTGAGCCTGCCTTCTTGTTTCAGCTCTCACACTGTAAACATGTGTCCTTTTGGTGGTCTATTTAGTGCCACTTTTTTTTTTTTTTTTGAGACAGAGTCTCGCTCTGTCGCCCAGAGCTAGAGTGCAATGGCGCGATCTCGGCTCACTGCAACCTCTGCCTCCCAGGTTCAAGCAATTCTCCTGCCTCAGCCTCCCGAGTAGCTGAGACTACAGGTGCGTGTCACCACACTCGGCTAATTTTTGTATTTTTAGTAGAGATGGGGTTTCACCATGTTGGCCAGGCTGGTCTTGAACTCCTAACCTTGTGATCTGCCTGCCTCAGCCTCCCAAAGTGCAGGGATTACAGGCGTGAGCCACCACGCCCAGCCAGTGCCACTTTTTTTGTATTTTGTGCTTTTTGTTGCTGGTTTTCTTGCTTCATGTGGCCCCCAAGTGAACTGCTGATGAGCTTTCTGGTGCTCCTAAGAGCAAGAAGGATGTGATGTGCTATAGGGAGAAAATCTGTGCGTTGGAGAAGCTTCATTCAGGTGTGAGTTATGGTGCCGTGAGTCCAATATTAATGAATCAGGCTGGGCGTGGTGGCTCATGTCTGTAATTCTGGCACTTTAGGAGGCCGAGGCAGGAGGATCACCTGAGGTCAGGAGTTAGACCAGCCTGGCCAACATGGTGAAACCCCATCTCTACTAAAAACTACAAAAAATTAGCTGGGCATGGTGGCACATGCCTGTAATCCCAGCTATTCAGCAGGCTGAGGCAGGAGAATGGCTTGAACCTGGGAGGCGGAGGTTGCAGTGAGCCAAGATCATGTCATTGTACTCCAACCTGGGCAACAAGAGTAAAACTGCATCTAAAAAAAAAAAATTAATGAATCAACTGTATATTAACTTCAGTGTCTTTAAACAGAAACAAACATAAAAAAAGGTTATGCGTTGGTCGACTGAGGAAAATATTGTGACTAGGCCGGGCATGGTGGCTCAAGCCTGTAATTCCAGCACTTTGGGAGGCCGAGGTGAGCGGATCACTTGAGGCCAGGAGTTTGAGACCAGCCTGGTCAACATGGTGAAACCCCATCTCTACTAAAAATAAAAAAAATTAGCCAGGCGTGGTGGCACACACCTGTAATCACAGCTACTTGGGAGGCTGAGGCACGAGAATCACTTGAATCCAGGCAGTGGAGGTTGCAGTTTGCTGAGAATGCACCACACACCACTGCACTCCAGCCTGGGCAATAGAGTGAGACTCGGTCCAAAAAAAAAAAAAGAAAGAAAGAAAATACTGTGACCAGACCCTCACAGGTACCTAAGGAGGAACCTAATTTCTCCCAGGAGCAAAGCTTCAACATTCACTAATCCAGTGTTTGTGGTGATTTTATAGAACATAACCACCACGAATCAGGAGCATGGGCTGTACCTCCTGCTGGTTGTGTTTCTCTGGTTGCGATCTGACTGATATAGTGACAAAGTCACAGAACTGCTAATACTATTGTGGTTTTTTGCCACTACCTTAACAAATTTTGAAGAAAAGTTAAGGGTTGGTGAAAACAAAGATGTCTATTTATTCCCATCCATGCATATGAGTCCCCTGAATGCTCTCTGTGGACCCTGTGGGCATTCGTGGACCCCAGGTTAAGACCACCTGCAGGTTAACAGAGGATAATGCAAAGGCCCACACCAATCATGGTGAAGGGTGGAGGTAGCAATGTTCCCACAGGCTCTGAGGAAGCAGTGAAGCTGGAAGGCCCCACCGGGGAACTGGAGGCTGAGGGCTCAGCAGGCCTGTGGGCTCTGCTCCCCAGCTGAAGACACGGTACCCCTAGTTCTTCCTTAAGCTGTGGTTGCCCCAAGCTAGATCCATCCGAAAAAACCATGGCTGCCTACGGGTGTTGAGGAAGCGTTGTTTGCAAGGGCTGGGGTTTGCCCCAGTGGCTCTGAGGCCTCTCCCTCTCCTTGCACTAAACTCAGACAATTCTGTTCTTCTCCTATTATTCTACCTGTGATTTTAAGTGCTCCTCGTATCTGCACAAACTTACCCCCATCTCTTTTTATTGAAAAAGCAAACAGATCCCCTGATTCTTTGGGTCTGGGATGATACTTTGGCTGACTATCTGTGCCCTCCACCCACTACACCCTCCCAGAAAATGAAATTAATCTACTTAGGTTCATCACAAAGGTGGGCTGGTCGACCCAGTGGCAGACCGTCCCGCCCATGTCACCATACCAAGCGCCCTTCTGCTTCAGGTCCTGGGAGGTCAGGACTTCCTGGTGTCATCCTCAGACGGCGGGACAAGGCTGGGGCTGGATTCTTCCTGTCTGGGTTCACCTCCAATTGCTGGTGCTTCCTTAAGCACAGCACTATTGCCCCCATGTTTATGAACGGGAAAGGATACTAATTAGAACCAGCCAAAGGAAGAGACACAGGGTAGAGTCCAGGGAGGGTCCTGATGAGGAGCTGGCAGCCACCGGTGTGGCATCACCTCCTTCTTGCTGTGATGTGTGACAATTCGCAGAGTACCGCCAACGGGTGTGGCATCACCTCCTCCTTGCTGTGATGTATGACAATTCGCAGAGTACCGCCAACCACGGAAGCTTCCCCGGGCTTTGATGTCAGAATTTGTGTTGCAGTTTCCCTCTGTGGGCAGGGTGATGGAATCATTGCCTGTGAGGTTGAACTGGGTCTCTAGCTTGTTTCTTCGCCCCGGGGGTTGCTCTGACAGCTCTCGCCCTCAGGGGCCCATCATGAGTCACCTCATTAGGGTAACGGTAAACCATCAGGTGTGGTCTTCCAGGAGCCAGGACAAAGGCACAAAGGCCAGATCTCTCTGGGGAGAGGGAGCGTGTGAATTGCTTAGTACACAGCTCCTGACTTTAGCCTCCTGCCCCTCAGGCTGGTGCTTCCCCAGCTCTGACTACACATTCTGCTTTGTGAGTGATTTTACGAGTCTCACCTGGCCTGGAACTGGCAATGGGGAAATTGCTGAGGCAGGTGGCTGGCTCCAGGGCCTGGCTTGAAGATGGGCAGGAAGGCACTTACACTGCCCTCTCATGAGCCCCCCGGTACCCCCTTACAGCCCCAGACCCCAGTGATGTTCAGGCTTTTGGAGCAAGCCCTGTTGCTTTCTGCAACCTCTGTGGGTGGACTCGGACTCCTGACTGGTCACTTGCGGAAGAGAAGACCAGCGGCTCCTCTCCCTCTCGCAGGAGACTGAAGGCTGCCACCTCTGAGACCTCCTACCCTTTGGCTCCCCTTCTGGGAACCATGTGAAAGTGGCTGTCATGAGCCACATCCTGTCCAGCTGAAGTCCTGCTTGATGTTGGCAGAGGATGTGGTCGTTCAGAGCTGGGAGGACAGACCAGACACCAAGCAAGACCAAGAACTCTCCACTATTTCTGACTCTGGATGAGCGGGGTGCAGGGTCTTGAGGAGTAACTGGGGAACGGGACTGCAGAGACTACAATTCCCTCAGGGAATGTGGCTGTGGGATGAGAGTAGGGACACAGCTGAAGAGGTTCATGGGGTTGAAGGAGTTTCTTGTTTTTGTTTGTTTTCAACACGTAAAAGTCTTGAGCCCATTTAAAAGGCCATGGAGCTAGGCGCGGTGGCTCAGGCCTGCAATCCCAGCACTTTGGGGGGCTGAGGTGGGCGGGTCACATAAGGTCAGGAGTTCGAGGCCAGCATGGTGAAACCCTGTCTCTACTAAAAATACAAAAATTAGCTGGGCGTGTTGGCAGGTGCCTGTAATCTCAGCTACTTGGGAGGCTGAGGTGTGAGAATCGCTTGAACCTGGGAGGCAAAGGTTGCAGTGAGCCGAGATGGCACCACTGCACTCCAGCCTGGGCAACAGAATGAGACCCCGTCTCAAAAAAAAAAAAAAAAAAGAAAAGAAAAGAAAAGAAAAGGCTATGGAGAAGGATTAGTGGAGCAATGGATGTTGACCACAGAAGAGAGACAGTGGTCCTAAGCGCTTGGGAAGGGTGGGCTCTGAGACTCAGGTGGAGGCAAGCAGGGGATGGGTCTTTTGTTTTTAAACTGGAGGTGCTCTTCCCACGAGTCCTTCCACGTGCTCTTTGAATTAAAAGGCAAGGTCATCTGATGAAAAGAGGGGAGATGTCAGAGTCAGAGGTTTGAGAAGTGCAGAGGTCTCAAATGTGCCCAGGAAACATGGAATTAGACCCAAGTCCACACGATAATTCAGTACGTAATAAATCTGCCACTTCCACTGGTGTTGGCGTAACTGGAATACCATCTGCCTAGAGGAAAAATTATATTAATATCTTTTTTTTTTGAGACAGGGTCTCACTCTGTCACCCAGGCTGGAGTGCAGTGGTGTGATCATGGCTCACTGCTCCCAGGTTCAGGTGATACTCCTGTCAGTCTCCTGAGTAGCTAGGACCACAGGCACACACCACCACTCCTGGCTAATATTTTTAGACTATTATTTGTAGAAATGGGGTGTCACTATGTTGCTCAGGCTGATCTTGTGCTCCTGGAATCAAGTGATCATCCTGCCTTGGCCTCCAAAAGTGCTGAGATTACAGGCATGAGCCACCACGCCCAGCAATACCTCATGTCTTATATTAAAATACATTTCAGGTGGATCAAATATGTTAATGTAAAAAGTGAAATATGACAGTACTAGAAGAAAATATGGAAAATTTATTTTATAACTTAAAGTTGGAAAGAGCTTTTTAAATTTAATTTTTATTTATTTATTTTTTCCAAGACAGAGTCTTGCTCTGTTGCCCAGAGCTGGAGTGCAATGGCGCGATCTCGGCTCACTGCAACCTCCGCCCCCCAGGATCAAGCAATTCTCCTGCCTCAGCCTCCCTAGTAGCTGGGATTACAGGCATGCGCCACCAGGCCCGGCTGATTTTTGTATTTTTAGTAGAGACGGGGTTTCATCATGCTGGCCAGGCTGGTCTCAAACTCCTGACCTCGTGACCCACCCGCCTCGGCCTCCCAAATTGCTGGGATTACGGGTGTGAGCCACCACGTCCAGTCTTGTTTTTAATTTTTAAATTTTCAGTGCTTTTTGGGTAGGAGAGGACTTTCTAAGAATAACGACATAGTACCTAGAAGCCATTAAGGAAAAGATGGAAAATTTACATTAAAATATCACTGTATCACAGAAAAATTATGAACAAAGTCAAAAGATAGATGACAAATGGAAAAATATTTTCAGTGCATATCAGATAAATGTCTTTAATGAACCCCTTCAACAAATAAGTAAAAGTCAATCCCATTTTAGTAGGTGTCGCAATGGAAAAAAAGACAAAGACAAAGACAAATAAGCCAATAGAAAAATAGGCAAAGGATATGAACCAACCGCGAAGCAGGCTCACCGTGCGCGGCTTACCAACTTGTCGGCATCTGGTGAGACGGAACACACTCACATGTACCCAGTTACACGATGAGGATTTATTACAGATTGGCAGCAAGGGGCAACAGAGGCCTAGGATTCATTCAGAGCCAGTTCCCCAGGCTCAGGCCAGCTGCCCAGGGCTGATGGAATCTTGACTTCATGCGTCCCACCTGCACCATGGCTGAAGAACCCTGAAAAGCAGCCTGCCCTGAGCTTTATGCTCTGTGAGTGGCTGAGCTACAGTGTTGAAGGACACCCTGTTTCTTTTCTTTTTTTTTTTTTTGAGACAGAGTCTCGCTCTTGTTGCCCAGGCTGGAGTACAGTGGTGCGATCTTGGCTCACCGCAACCTCCACCTCCCGGGTTTAAGCAATTCTTCTGCCTCAGCCTCCCGAGTAGCTGGGATTACAGGTGCCTGCCACCATGCCTGGCTAATTTTTTGTATTTTTGGTAGAGACGGGGTTTCACCATGTTGGCCAGGCTAGTCTTGAACTCCTGACCTCAGGTGATCTGCCTGCCTTGGCCTCCCAAAGTGCTGGGATTACAGGCATGAGCCACCCTGTTTCTAAGGCGGAACTGGAACAGAGCCTGAGCAGTTCTGGCCAGCTCCCCCTTATCTCAAGATGTTGCATTTCTAGCACATTCTACAGTTAATTTTCAGAACTACAAGCAAGAAAGATGGGAGAACCGGGCTGGTTTAAGGTCACCTAGAAAATTGTCCTGTACAAATCTTTCTCAGGAAAGGAAATATGAATGATTCAAACACATGAAAAGATGTTAATGTCACTCAGAGTAGGAGAAATGCAAATTAAAACAACACTATGTGCATTTTCTTACCTGTTAGATTGGTGATGATCACCAGGTTTGCTGACACATTTCATGTACCTGCTGTTTGGGACAATTGCCAGGGAGGGTGAGTTGGGAATAGCTAGTTATCTGTTATGGACTGAGTTGCATCCCCTCAAAATTCACACGCTGAAGTCCTAACCTCCAGTACCTCAGAATGTGACTGTATTTGGAGACAGGGTCTTTAAAGAGGGAATTAAGTTAAAATGAGATTGTTAGGGTGGGGCCCTAATCCAATATGACAGATGTCTTTATAAGAAGAGGAAATTTGGACACATACACCCATAGAGTGAAACTAACTCTGCCAACATCTTAATCTCAGACTTCAGCCTCAGACTGTGAGGAAATAAATTTTCCGTTGTTTAAGCCACCCAGTCTGTGGTTCTCTGTTATGGCAGCCCTAGCAAACTAATACACCAGCAACCTTGAAACTGACCTGAAAATTTGACTTCTAGTAACTTATACTACAGATAGACTGGCATGTGTTCCTGGCATGTGCAGGATATGCGAGGGTATTGTTTGTAGCAGTCAGGGTTCAATCAAGAAAACAGAAGCCACTCTAGGTATTTTGAGCAGAAAGAGAAGCATTGGAAGGGCTGGGAGAGGAAAGGCCAGGAAAGTTCTAGAAGTTAGGAGATGGCAGGGAAGTCATCA
This sequence comes from Homo sapiens, assembly GCF_000001405.40. Lineage (NCBI taxonomy): Eukaryota > Metazoa > Chordata > Mammalia > Primates > Hominidae > Homo > Homo sapiens. The sequence continues at coordinate 231,421,904 of NC_000002.12, read as the reverse complement.
CCAGTGATCCTCGGTGCTGGCAGGGCCAAAGCACATGATGCCCAGGGGGACACCTGGAGCTGCCGGAAGCTGTCACCAAGGATCTCAGGCTGGTCTCGAACTCCTGACCTCAAGTGATCCGCCAGCCTTGGCCTCCCAAAGTGCTGGGATTACAGGTGTGAGCCACTGTGTCTGGCTGGATCTCAGCTGCTTATAGCACTGCAGTGGGGGTCATGCAGGGTGATGCCCAGAAGCCGAGGAAAGGAGTCTGCCATGAGTTTTGCTGCCTAACCATAGTAGCTGCTGGAGACCAATGGCTTCTGCTTCCTTCATGGGCAGAATTCAGCCTAGGACATACTGGAAAGGGGCTCTGGAAATGCAGGGAGATGTAGAAGGGGATGGGAGTGATGTTACATTAACAAGGACTGATCTAGCACCGTCCATCCACAGAGGCTGGTTAAATACACCATGGTTTGTTCAGACGGAACACCAAGCAGCTTCAAATGGAATGCAGAAACTCCGCATTTTCTGCCCGGTGACCCTCAGCAGTGTGGGTGGCCAAATGGGTGGCCCACAGACTCTGAGAAGGCCCGGAAAGGTTGTGAGGACAGAGCCCTGACCGAGGGACAAAGCAGTCCCTGTCAACCTGGATAACAGCCTCAGCCCTCCTAGTCCCCAGAGTGAGAGGAGCGGGGCCAAGAAACAAGCACTTTTAGCAACACCAAGGGCTTCAAAAGTTCTGTCTGGAGCAAGAACAGGAGCCAGCCTGGGACTGGGGTCTCCGTAGGCCACTGCTTTTCCTCCAGCGCCAGTGAGGTGAGGCTGGCACTCAGGCTGGTCAAGGAATGCAGAGGAAGACAAGTCCCCCATTCATCCCCTGAAAAGGGGGCTGCACCTGGCGCAGGAGTGTGTCCAGGCTGCTGGGGTGCTGGGGCCCTGCCCTCTCCTTCACCCCCAGATTTCAGTCCAGATGACCCTTTATGAGCTCATGCTCTTTGTCTGCTACTTTTTTTTTTTTTTTTTTTTTTTGAGACAAGGTCTTGCTCTATTGCTCAGGCTGGAGTGTAGTGGCACGATCATAGCTCACTGTAACCTTGAACTCCTGGGCTCAAGCGATCCTTCTGCCTCAACCTGCTGAGTAGCTAGGGCTACAAGGGTGCACCACCGCGTTGGCTGATTTTTGAATTTTTTGTAGAGATGGAGTCTCACGATGTTGCCCAGGCTTGTCTGGAACTCCTGGGCTCAAGGGAGCTTCCCAAAGTGCTGGGATTACAGGGTGAGCCACTGCACCCAACTGCCTGCTACTTCTTGTTTTATGGAGGTCCTTTTGGTTTCTCTTTTTTCCTTTTTGAGACAGGGTCTTGCTCTGTCATCCAGGCTGGAGTGTAGTGGTGCAAACATGGCTCACTACAGCCTCGACTTCCTGGGCTCAAGCGATCCTCCTGCCTCAGCTTCCCTGATAGCTGGAACCACAGGTGTGCACCACCACGCAGGGCTCATCTTTTAAATTTTTTGTAGAGATGGGTCTCCCAGGCTGGTCTTGAACTCCCAGGTTCAAACAATCCTCCCACCTGGGCCTCCCAAAGTGTTGGGATTACAGGTGTGAGCCATTGTGCCCAGCTACTTCTTGTTTTTTAATTTTAAAACACATAGGTCGAAATTGTTTTGTTTGTGTGTGACTTTAGACACACATTGTTCAATCTAGCACACCTACCATTCTGAGTTACCTGGCTCCTCCTAGCTTTTCTGTTTAAGTTGGCTTATCTTTTCCTGGCTATCTCATTCCTTTACCTTTATTATTTCACTTCTGTATCTTTTTTTTTTTTTTTTTTTTTGAGACAGAGTCTCTCTCTGTCGCCCAGGCTGGAGTGCACTGGCGCGATCTCGGCTCACTGCAAGCTCCGCATCCCGGGTTCACGCCATTCTCCTGCCTCAGTCTCCCGAGTAGCTGGGACTACAGGCGCCCGGACCGCGCCCAGCTAATTTTTTTTTGTATTTTTTTTAGTAGAGACGTGGTTTCACCATGTTAGCCAGGATGGTCTCGATCTCCTGACCTCGTGATCCACCCGCCTCGGCCTCCCAAAGTGCTGGGATTACAGGTGTGAGCCACCGCGCCCGGCCCACTTTCGTATCTTTTTTTCCTTGAATTTTGCACGTCCTTTGGCAATTTCAACCCTTGGGTATTTTAGCTGAATTACGGTTTATCCTTTTAATTTTTGTGCATCTGGTTTCCTCTGTGTCAAATTACTTACTTCGGTGGAGGATCCTGGGGTGGAGGGAACACGAAGCTTCTCCCTCTGACTCCGCTGCAAGGTCCCCAACCCCAACATCAGAGGGAAGGGCCTGACCCCACAGGTCTTGGGGGACAGCCACAGTTAGCCCTACCATGCAGCACGTGCCCTAAGGGAGCCTTCTGGTCCACAGCTGGTCAGCAATGCCCCTGAGTTACTCAGGGGGAACCTAGATGGTCCTAGAAGGGTCAGAGGCACCAGTGGTGGGTGAGCAACAGTAACCTGTGTGCAGAGTCAATGACACTGACGAGAAGGTAGTGGGTGAGGTTCAGCCGTGGAGGGAATCACCCAGGAGACAAACCCAATGGGTATTATCACCCAGGATAATTTGAGAAGAGAAGGCCGGATCTGCCCCTGACAGGGAGACCACTGATCAATAGTGAAGCAGGATAGTTCCTTGAGCCCTTCTCAGGACTTTGGACAGGGGTGCCTAGTTTACTTAGCCCACTGCTCTCAACTGCTGGTGGGAGGGAGCACACAGCAAACGAGGCGGGAACTGGAGCGCAGGAGTGCTGGAACCAGCCAGCTGTTTCAGTGCGGGCGGGATCAGACTCCACTCTCTCAGATCCACCGCATTCCGACCCTCGTGAAAGGGAGCACACAGTTGAGCAGGTGCAGGAGCTGGAGCGAGCGCTTTTGGGCGCCGGCAGCAGTGAACTTCGTTCAGGCCCCACAACAGCGTCCAGGCAGGGTGCCTGCGACTCCCGGGGCCCCGGAGGCCATGTTAGAGTGCTCTTTTAGCTCTGCTGTCCACGGACGGCTTAAGTGTTAACAGCTCTCAGTGGGCCCATGGCTGCCCTCTGCTAGCGAGGGCGAAGGGCCAGTGTGACAGCCTTTCGTATCCACACTTGTGGCTCCTAAGCTCTTGTCCGGCATCCAGGAAAAATGAGGTCACACGAACGAATTGAAGGATAGTAAATGTGGGAGATTTTATTGCCAATGAAAATGGCTCGGTTTGGGCACCGTGGCTCACACCTGTAATCCCAGCACGTTGGGAGGCTGAGGCGGGCGGATCACGAGGTCAAGAGATGGAGACCATCCTGGCCAACATGGTGAAACCCCATCTCCACTAAAAATACAAAAATTAGCTGGGTGTGGTGGCGCGTGCCTGTAGTCCCCGCTACTCGGGAGGCTGAGGCAGGAGAATTGCTTGAACCTGGGAGGCAGAGGTTGCAGTGAGCCGAAAATACAAAAATTAGCTGGGCCTGGAGGGCATGTGTCACTGCACTCCAGCCTGGGCGACAGAGTGAAACTCCTTCTCAAAAAAAAAAAAAAAAAAAAAAAAAAGGCTTTCAGTGGGAAGGGGAGCTGTTAAGGGGGATGTGGGGTAGGTAATCTTCCCCTGAAGTCCGGCCATCTTTGGCAGATTCTTTTTTTTTTTTTTTTTCCCGCCTCATGTCCCTGTCAGTAGGATTTAGGAACAAATGAGGAGCCAAATACCTGAAAGCTATGAGACCAGGATAGCAAGGCGGCTTCTGGCTACAATGCAGTTTGTGGGATTCAGGGGTAATTTAACTGTGCTCTATTTGCTGGCTTTGGGATCAGTGTTATATTAATTTCATACAATGAATTGGAGAGCTTGTCATTTTTTGCCATGGCAAAAATGGGCTCATAGGCTAGAACTAGTTGTTTCTTGGGAGTTTGAAAGACCTTACTGCCTGAAAGAACTTACTGCCCAAATGGTCTCCAGAGACTCTGGGAAGGTGACTGATAACTCTTTCCAATTGTTCCTGGATTATGAGAGCATATGGGTTTTCTTTATTTTTAGAGACAGGGTCTGGCTCTGTCGCACAGGCTGGAGTGCAGTGCGATGGTCACAGCTCACTGCAGCTTTGAATTCCTGGGCTCAAGTGAGCCTCCTACCTTAGCCTCCCTAATAGATGGGAGTACAGGTGTGTGCCACACCTGGCTTCCTTTCTTTTTGACTCTATTCCTTTTGTTTATTTGAACCATACTTTTCTTTTTTTTTTGAGACAGAATCTCACTATGTCACCAAGGCTGGAGTACAGTGGCACAATCTCGGCTCACTGCAACCTCTGCCTCCCGGGTTTAAGCAATTCTCCTGCCTCAGCCTCCCAGGTAGCTGAGACTACAGGTGCATGCTACAATGCCTGGCCAATATTTGTATTTTTAGTAGAGATGGGGTTTTTCCATGTTGCTCAGGCCACATACTTTTCAACAAGATTTAAAATCTACTCATGGCAGGGTGTGGTACCACATGCCTGTAGTCCTAGCTACCCAGGAGGCTGAGGCAAGAGGATCGCTTGAGCCCAGGAGGTCAAGGCTACAGTGTGCTATGATCGCTCCACTGCCCTCCAGCCTGGTTCGACAGAGCAGGACTCTGTAAAAAAAAAAAATTAATTTTAAGAATAAAAAATTAAAAATCTATTCATATATGAATTATAATTCTTATACTTTTACACTTTAAACTGCATTTAATTAACTTGCTAATTACACTTGTCTTTCATTAAATTTGGCATAGGTTTAGCTATTTTAATGCTTTTTTAAAAAAATAACCGACAATTTATCTACTCCTTTCAAATTCATTAAATTTGACTCATCTCTCTTATGTCTTTATTATTTCTTTTTTCTGGTTTTGTTTTACTCTGCTTTAAAGTTCTTTTCTGGGCTGGTCGTGGTGGCTCACACCTGTAATCCCAGCACTTTGGGAGTCCGAGGCGGGCAGATCACCTGAGGTCAGGAGTTCAAGACCAGCCCGGCCAACATGGCGAAACCCTGTCTCTACTAAAAATACAAAAATTAGCTGGGTGTGGTGGCAGGTGCCTGTAATCCCAGCTACTCAGGAGGCTGAGACAGGGGAATCACTTGAACCCAGGAGGCGGAGGACGTTGCAGTGAGCCAAGATCACACCACTGCACTCCAGCTTGGGTGACAGAGCAAGACTCCGTCTCAAAAAAAAATAAATAAATAAAGTTCTTTTCTGGCCCAGCGTGCTGGCTCGTGCCTGTAGTCTCAGCACTTTGGGAGGCTGAGGTGGACAGATGAATTGAGCTCAGGAGACTGAGACCAGCCTGGGCAACATCGCAAAACCCTATCTCTACCGAAAATATAAAAATTAGCTAGGCCTGGAGGGCGTGCCTATAGTCCCAGCCACTGGGGAGGCTGAGGTGGGAGGAGCTCTTCAGCCTGGAAGGCAGAGGTTGCAGTGAGCCAAGATGGTGCCACTGCACTCCAGCCTGGGCAATGGAGTGAGACCCTGTTTCAAAAAAATAAATAAATAAAAATAAAATTCTTCTCGTGCAATGTTGAGTTGAAACATTAGTTCACTTGTTTTTATTTTTATTTTTACAATAATGAATGCATTTATAGTTGTTAAATTGGGCAATGTTCAGCAGCTACAGCCTTAAGCCCAAGGCCTGACACGTAACACCCCTTGAAGTCAAAATGAGGTAAACTGACATTATTCCCTTAAATATAATTATGTGGTCTTCCCGATTTCAAAACAATGAACCATTATAGTTTTTACTTTCTCTTTGACTCAACAGTTATTTAAGAAACAGGCTAGGATTTTTGTCATTGTTCTTGTTTGGTTTAATTTTGTGGGTAATTTCTGATTTACCGTATATTGTGGACATAGAGTTTGGCCTGTTTAATTTCTGCCTTGGGGGATAGTTGATGTTGTCTTTCCTTCTAATACACATACATGGTAAAGGTTTCATATGCAAAAAGAAGATACAAGCTGTGTGTGGTACAGAATTTGATACAGATCTTTGATTCAAACTACTCATGGTATTGTTTGGGTCTTTGATGTCTTTGGTTTATTTTCATTTTTATTTTTTTTGAGAGAGTCTTGCTCTGTTGTCCAGGCCAGGCTGGAGTGCAGTGGTGGAATCTAGGCTCACTGCAACCTCTGCCTCCCGGGTTCAAGAGATTCTTCTGCCTTAGCCTCCCAAGGAGCTGGGATTACAGGTGCATGCCACCACACCCGGATAACTTTTGTATTTTCAGTAGAGATGGGGTTTCACCACGTTGGTCAGGTTTGTCTTGAACTCCTGGCCTTAAGTGATCCACCCACTTGGCTTCCCAAAGTGCTGGGATTACAGGCGTGAGCCACCCTGTCTGGCCTGATGTCTCTGATTTTGGTAAGTTAAATCTCTTCTAGGTTGTTAAATAGTATGTTAAAGACTCACTATATTTGTGTTTCTGGCAATATCTCTTTGTACTGCCAACATTTTTCTTTTTTTCTGAGTGTTTAGGTTTTTTCTTTTTAACACAACATCCATTTATTTTGCCACAGTCCCACAGGTCAGGAGACCAGTACAGCATGGCTAGGTTCTCTGTCCAGCTGCATCCCTCCCCTGGAATTTAGGGTCCTCTTCCAAGCTCATTTCTATTACTGGCAGAATTCAGTATGAAGTTCCCATTTCCTTGCTGGCTGCCAGCCAGGGGCTGCTGTTAGCTTCTAGAATTTGCTATCATTCCTTGCCACCTTGTCCCTCAGTCTTCAGGTCAACAATGGCATGTGAATTCTGCTTCTAGTCTGACTTCTCCTTCTGCCACCAGTGGGAGAAAGCTCTCTGCTTTTAAGGTCTCATGGGATTAGATGAGGCTCACCCAGAATATTTCCCTATTTTAAGGCTAATTGTGCCATGTAACCTAAGCTAATTACAGAGGTGACATCTCATCATGTGCACAGACGGGTTCCAGGGAGCCAGGCAGGACATCTCTGGGGTGCTGGATTTACTGTGCTGCACACTAGAGAAGGTACATTTTTATCAGACACCCTCTATTTTCTTTTTCTTTTTTTTTTTTTTTTTTTGTTTTTGAGATGGAGTCTCACTCTGTGGCCCAGGCTGGAGTGCAGTGGCGTGATGCCGGCTCACTGCAACCTCTACCTCCCGGATTCAAGCAATTCTCATGCCTCAGCCTCCCGAGTAACTGGGATTACAGGGATGTGCCACCATGCTGGGCTCATTTTTTCTATTTTTAGTAGAGACAGGGTTTCACCAAGTTGGCCAGGTTGGTCTTGAATTCCTGACCTCAAGTGGTCCACCCACCTCGGCCTCCCAAAATGCTGCGATTATAGGCATGAGCCACCGCGCCCAGACCCACCTCTATTTTCTAAGTGCTAAACAACATGGCTCCAAAGCATAACTGAAAAGCAGGTTAGTTGCTCATCGCATGCAGAGTCCAATGAACAAGCGCGAGGTCTGGTGTAAGAAAAGTGAATGTATTCCAAAGGTAGCTTGGGGAAGGGACACAACGCGTCCTGCCTTTACATGTGCTGCTTCACCTTTGGAGCAGTAACATGGACACTTTTATAAGGTCGGGGGTGAGCAAGTATGCAAGGCAGGCGTTCCCCTGTTGCCCCGTATCTTATCTACTGGATAATTGAGTTGGTGCCTTCCCAGGCAGAAATAACTTGTAAAAGTGGCCAAGCGGGAATGCTTTCGACATACCCTCCTGGAGGATGAAGGTCACTTCCAGTTTGCAGAGCAGAAGTTCTAAGGTCACCCCATGGAGGTAAAAGTTCCGTGGCAGGTACGCTTCAGTCTGGAAATCAACTGTCAGCAAATCGACTGTCAGCTCTCAAGGAAAAGATCTGTCTTGGAGCCGTTGAAGAAATTGCCCTGAAGGGAATTACCCTGAAGGGAATGTCTAGGGGGAGGTGAACGGTTACATTTGCATTTCTGAAGGGCTGAGTAGGAAACGGGAAGGAGGGAAAGGGGAGAGAATAGAAAATAATAATTAAAAAAAAAGTAATTCATTCCGTTTTTCTTAGAAAAAATGGGAGCATTTGGTTACAAAAATACATAAAATCTAGCAAGAAACATTCGACTAGGTCTGCGGGAGCTGAGCTATCTGAGCTGAGCCTGGCCTCCCCATCAGCGCTTAGCAAATTGCAGGTGGTCTTAACAAATTGCAGGCAGTCATGGTGGACAGGCAGCTGTTTCCAGACTTGCCTCCATCCTCCAGACCCTAGCACGTGTCTGAGTGGTGGCTAACATGCAGCTTTTGCAGTCAGGCCACCTGAGAGCAATCTCAACCTGCCCCTTTCCAGCTAGGCAGCTCCAGTATGGGGAGTGGCTGTTTTATATTTCTGTCCTGCATCAGCCCCTGAGGCAGGCATCCCTGTACTTTCACTTCTGTGAGCCCACACATCTCCTTGCTGGTCGCAACCAGTTCGAGCAGACTTTCTTTTTTCCTTTTCTTTCCTTCTTTTTATTATTATTATTTTTTTTGAGACAGGGTCTCATTCTGTCACCCAGGCTGGAGTGCATGGGCACTGTAACCTCAACCTCCCAGGATCCTCCCATCTCAGCTCCCCTCCGCAACCCTCAGTGGCTGGGACTACAGGTGCTCATGCCACCATGCCTGGCTGATTTTTGTACTTTTTTGTAGAGGTGGTGTTTCACCATGTTGCCAGGCTGGTCTCAAACTCCTGAGCTCAAGCGATCTGCCCATCTAGGCCTCTTAAAGTGCTGGGGTTACAGGTGCGAGCCACCAAGCCCAACTGAGCAGAATCTCATGTCACTTGAAACCAAACATATCCTTACCATCGTTGGCTTTATATATTAAGATTTTATGAAAAAATGATTATTGTGTCATTTGTCTATGAGATCAGATACTAAACAATTAGAACAGCAAACTGTATCCTGCTATCCAAGGCCTTAGTTCTGACCTCACCAGGCCTCTGAGGGTGGGCCCCCAGTAGGGATTTTTGAGGTCCTGAAGGGGCTGCACTCACCTCCCTGGCCGGTGAAACAAGATCATTTCTCCTTCCCTGGTAGAGGCCCCTAAGGTGGCCCTGAGGGTCTCGAAGCCCCCTCACTCCCTCCGAGGCTGTCGGGATCTCGCACATTTCTCCTAAGCCTCAGGCCTGAGCTTGGTGGAAAGGCTCACGGAGGAAAGTCTTCCTTACACAGATGAGCCAGAGAAAGGAACGAGCAGCCCCTGGAATCTCAGTGCCAGGAAGCAGTTCCTGTTAACAGCTTGGTGTGGCGCTTTCCAGCTTAAATCCGCATAAAAAAGATGCCTTGGGGTACAAGTAATGGAGTTCCAGATTTCACACAACCTGCTCAAATCGTGCAGTCTCCCATCCACCTCAGCGTCACGATGCCCCCGGCGGTCAGTTGGGGGCGCTCCCTGCCCTCTTCTGGGATTGCCAGGGCGGGGACTCACCCAGCCCTCCAGCCCGGCCAGCCCCTTGCTCCTCGCGGGGCCCCGCCCCGACCCGCGGCCCTGCAGCCGGCACTGGGAGGTCTACGCCGCCTTACCCCACGCCTCGCGCAGCTCCGCGGGCTGGTCTCGAGGGGAGATGCCCTCGCTCGGGGCGCGCACCGGGTGGCGCCGAGATGCCCACCTCCTCCGCAGGCCCCCGGGATCCATCGGATGCCACCCCCACCACACACACAGGGCTCCCCCACCCTCGACAGCCGAACGCGTTGTCCCCTGCACAGCCCAGGCGGGTTCCGCGAGGGGCTCTGGGTCGCACCGCGCCCCGGGACGCCCGCGCCCACCCAGCAGCTCCTGGCTGCCCGGCGACGAGGAGCCGCGGGGGGCAGGCGGAGCCCGAGGGGGGCAGCTTCGCCATGGGTGAGGGCAGGGATTCCACGCATTCCTGTGGGATTCGGCCGCACCGAGGAAAAACAAAGCCAAGGTGATTTGTGATAGGTCACAGGCTGCACGGCAGGGTCAGTCAATCCCAGCCCAGGCCGGTAGTTCCCAACTTGAGTCACCTGGGAGCGATAAAAAATGCCTGGGCTCGCGCCCCACCCACTCACTCATTCGGATTCATTCTGTCTGGTTGCGATCTGGACTAGATATTTTCTCAAATTCCCGGGGGGCAAAACCCTCTAAAAGGATTGAGCTCTAAGCTTTGGCTCACTTTGGAAGGGTCTTCAGTGAGTATACAATGTATTCCAAGATTCAAGTTTTGTTTTAGAAATATAAGCAAAAATTGCATTCTGTTCGATAATGTATCTGTGTTCATTTTCACATAAAGGCAATTGGTAAAAGACAATTTTCAGAAAAAGGTAGATTCATGACCCTTGTTCAGAAATAAAAAATGAGCATGTATTAAAGATTTATTTTACTCATAAAAAGGACAAGGTAGATGTTATATCTGGTTCAAAGGAGACATCAAAAAGCACAAATTTATATGGAGTGAAGGAATTGAATTGCAAACAGCGGCAAACTGGTTTTTCCACCGTGGGGGTGTTGGTGGGGGGTGGAAGAGAAGTCAATGGAAGCTTCACCTGACAAGACAGTTTGCAAAGCCCTCAGTACTTGCAACTTAAAAAGAGGTGCAAAATAGCTCAAAGACCGTGAATGGGGCTGGAAGCAGACAGGTCTGGCTGTGCTTTAGATAATGTATAGTGTTTCACTGGAACAGAAAAGTTTTTCTTCACAATAGCTTAAATAACTCTCTGGAAACATTTATTTCTTACAGCCCTAATAACGCTGGGCTCCCCCAACCATCACAGTTTCAATCGCTCATTGGACATAACATTTTCCTCCTTTTAGACAGAAACAACAAACACAGATATTTGTGACTAAGTTACTGCTAAGGAAAAAGGATGGGAGGCTGGAGGCTCTTGGGAGACAGTAGAGTATGGGGGTTAGGTGTGCAGGGCACAGAGTTCAAATCGTGCCTGTCACACAATAGCCGTGGGATCCTTCTCTTAGAGCCCTCCATTTCTTACTTTGAACATGGTGTATAACAGGATTCCAGAAGCTTCCCCCTGCTCCTTCTCAGTTTAGGTGCACAGAATAAGTCACCTAGGAACAGCTTTCTTTGTTAAGAGTAGGATTCTTTGAGTGGTCTCCTTTAGTTATGTAAATGTGGCTGAGTAGGCACCCATTACCCTGGGGGAAGAGTGGAACTGGACTTTTTGAGGACTGACAAAGGCTACCCCTTTTCAAGGCCCCTTGGAATGCACAGCCAGTTGCCGGGGAGGAGGGAACCATTTTGCAAAGCCAGGGCCTTTGAGGAGGAAAGAGTTAAGACCCTGGGACCAACTAAAATCTACTGTCTAAAAAGTTGCTTCACCAGGCCAGAGAGAACCTGAGTCTGTGGGATTCCCCCACAGACTGTGTAGCTGACTGGGGGGCCACAGGACCCAGCACCCCTGGCATGCTGCTGCTCTCTGGGGAAAGGTCGTTGAGCTTGTGAGGGTGACTGAGAGAAGGGTAACTTTGTTTTGGAAGCATAGGCCCCACCGCAGCCTGTGCAGTGAAGGTAGCCAAGCCTCAGAAGCCACAGGACTGTGCAGGCCCGCTGTTCCACAGCGCCCCTGTGTGGAGAGAGAGGGAACAACTGGAGATGACTGCTCAGACTTTCCAGAGAACCCTCTCTTTGGAGGAGGGAAATCCCTGAGGTTCTTGGACAATTTGAGAGTGGGTTCCAAGAGGCTGATATTGGATTTTTCTGCCAATAATGGTACATGAGGGATTTGAGCAATCAATGAGAAAAATTAAAAAGTAACCATATTTGTACCCTGAGTTAAAGTCATATTGACTACACGTTAAATGTTTACCAGGGTGCCTGGCATATGAAATGTGCTCCATAAAATGTCAGTTGTTATCATTACCAGGAAGCAAAACTAAATGCCTGATTTTCCAGAGTGGGGCCCCACTGGAGCTGGCCAGAATGGGCCAAAGTGCGCCAGAGGGAGGGGTGGAGGTGCCTCAAAACTGCCCTCTGCTCCCTCAGGCTGCCGTGAACCCCTGCTCTTTGTCCCTTTGTGCTCAGGATAAAGTTAAAGTACTCCTGAACCTAGAAGACCTGAGAAACTGCCCTGCCTGCCTCCCAGCCTCCCACCCCTTCTCTCACCCCAGGTCCAGCCCCGAGAGGAGCTCCTTTCCGCTTCAGAATGCATCCACCCTGCTCCCAGCAGCCCTTGGTATATGTGGTTCCCTCTGCCTCATCCTTCAGGGGCAGCTGAACCCATAACCGTCTCTGGGCCTCCACCTGGGCCTGGGTCCTGTGGCCTGTACACCTCCATTTTCTGGGTGTCCCTGGGCTGCCCTCTCCCATGCTGAACTGTGAGCCCCAATCCCCTCTCTGCAGCCCAGAGCAGGACCTGGCTTCTGAGGATGAGGAGGGGCAAATAGGGCTGGCATCACAGTCGCAGGCCTCCCTCAGAAGCTCCCAGCACTTGGTTTAATGCTCAATGCTCTGCTGTGGCAATCTTAAATTCTTTTTTTTTTTTTTTTTTTTTTTGAGACAGTGTCTCGCTCTGTCACCCAGGCTGGAGTGCAGTGATGCGATCACAGCTCACTGCAGCCTCGACCTCCTGGGCTCAAGGGATCCTCCCACCTCAGCATCCCGAGGCAATCTCTGGCAACCTTGGCCCCAGACAGGTGCGTGCCACCACTCTGAGGTAATTTTAAAATTTTTTAAGAAAAAAATTAGCCAGGCGTGGTGGTGGGTGCCTGTAGTCCCAGCTACTCGGGAGGCTGAGGCAGCAGAATGGCGCGAACCTGGGAAGCAGAGCTTGCAGTGAGCTGAGATCGCACCACTGCACTCCAGCCTGGGCGACAGAATGAGACCTCTGTCTCAAAAAAAAAAAATTTTTTTTTTTGTAGAGACAGGGGTCTCTCTATGTTGCCCAGGCTGGTCCCAAATTCCTGGGCTCAAGCCATCCTCCCACCTCAGCCTCCCAAAGTGTTGGGATTACAGGCGTGAGCCTGACCTTTAAAATTCTTAATACCTTTTTAAAACCAGGGTCCTGTAATTTCATTTTGCACTGGGCTCTGCAAATTATGCAGCCGGCTGGCCAAGAGAGAACTGTGGGAAGACCTGTGCTGAGGAGGGAGAAATAGCAGTGTAGCAGGATGAGTCGCAGACAAAACTCCTCAGACACCAGATTAAAGAAGGAAGAGGTTTTTATTCGGCCGGGAGCGTCAGCAGACTCGCGTCTTAAGAGCCGAGCTCCCCGAGAAAGAAACTCCTAGCCCTTTTAAGAGCTTACAACTCTAAGGGGTCCACGTGAAAGGGTCATAATAGATCAAGTAAGCGTGAGGAACGTGACTGGGGGCTACACACATCAGCTAACAGGACAAAAAGTTTTACGGTGCTTTCTCACACAATGTCTGGAATTTACGGATAACACCAGTCGTTTTGGTCAGGGGTTAATATTATTATTATCATTCTAACCACCAGGGCCAGGTGGTGGCGCCAAGGTCGTCTAGCTATTTATCTTACTTCTGTTTCTTTCCAGCTTTTTGCTTTCTCCCTTTTCTCCCGTCTTATAAACTAGGGAAAAGGGGAGGTTGGGGAGAAGCTGGGAAGGACAACAGGAGAAGTGGTGGTCTCATTCCCTATTTCCCCCCTTTGAGAATTTTCACTTTTTAGTGGGAGTTCTCACTCTCATCCTCACTTTTTGAGTCTCTTTGCGAGATAGAGCGATAGTGATTCATATAATTCACGTGTGCTGAAGTTTTCTGATGAACCAAAGTAGCAACAATACCTTTTATCATTTGAAAAAGCAAGGGTAATACACAGGGGAGCAGCAAGCAAGTTCTTATTACTAGCAATACACCTACAATGAGGGTTTTAAATCCTCCTATAGCTGGAAACCATTTTCCAAATAAAGACTCAGGATCAAACTTGTGCCAAACCTGTATAGGCGTGTGTGCCAACTTTGTCATGTCCCTGACTATGTTTTCAATCACCTGTCCTTGATCATCTATTTGTAGGCAGCAATTGGTTAAGTTAAATTTTCCACAAACTCCTCCTTCAGCTGCCAGCAAGTAGTCCAAGGCCAGTCTATTCTGATAGATAGCATTCCTCATTTGGGTTTCCTGCCGAGCTAAAACAGTCAAAGCTCTGCCAGTTTCATTAGTAATTATTTCTAAGACGGTCTGCAACCGTATGATCTGATTGAGCATGTAGATGGGGGTTTGGTATCCCCATGAGCCGTCTTGTACCCATGTGGCAGGCCCATAATATTGTATGATCCTTTCAGGGGGCCACTCATTATCTTTCCAGTTTCCTATAACTATGCCTCTCTTTTCTCGGGAGGTATAGACACGGAAACCTAGGAGCTCACCCGTTTTTATGGGTAATAAGAAAAAGGACAGCTTAATAGTGCCAATAACACAACTGCCTGCCCATTTATTAGGTAACTGAATGTAGGCTGTGTGCCCACATATCCGGTATAGTCCGGTGGGAGCCGTCCAGTCCTGATGAGATTCTGGATGAGCCCAGGCAGTTTTTAATTTAGAAAATTTACTAAATGGGTTCTTTTCAGTGTGGTTTAGGCCCCACCAAGTAATTGTCTTTGTTGTGCTGTTGTACAACTTCTGTCCTATACAATTAAGCTTTTCTACAGGGACGATAAAGTCTTTCCCTTCTCTAGCTATACAGTATTGTCCAATAATTAGGATTTTAGGACCCAGAAGTTGCTAGCTTGGGCCTTCTGAACTGGAATTATATCAGGAGCTGGATCAGTAGGCACCAACTCTCGGGCTTCCCAAGGCCATCGGTCTCCGATAGTGGTTCCCCTGCATACATAACAGGAAGTAACATTAAGGGAAAGAGCTACATTTTCTGCTAATTGGAGAAACAAATTTTTTGTCTTTTTCGGAAGTTCTGGTGCTGGCAGATTCAGCTCCTCATAAAAGGTTTGAAACACTGGTTTGGGAGAGTGCTTGTGGACCTCCCCTCTAACTAAAATGGCAACTTGGGGGTTTATCCCTGTCCCATCGATCCCCAGGGTTACACGTTCTCCCTTTTTCCAACGGGGATCTAGGGGATTGGTAATTATTAGTTCTAGTGGGTTACAGTGACCGGCAGCACAGGAGGGGTTGGCGTCCCCCTTCTGAAGATGAACCAGGTCCTTTTTGTTCTTTTTCCAAGTAGCCCAAATAACACATGGCCAAAAGGCACAATTTTCACAAACCCCTGACTCATGACAAACATATTTATTTTCTACTCTGTAGCTCCTTTCCCAGTTAAGAGAACCACATCCTGTTCCTAGCTTGTTACTATTAATGGCTGCATAAGCATCAAATCTTAAAGTTACTTGTTTGGGGATTCCTTTTTCTTCTGTTCTAGTTATTATTTTACTTGTATCACCTGGGAAAAGGCCAGTTCTTAATCTTCTGTCAAAAACAGTGGTTACAGGGGGCTCAGATGGGTTATAACACACATCAGGTTGGTCATTTCCCGGGCTACATACCTTGTACTGAGTTGCATTATACAATCAAGTTTCTTTTAACGTGCCCATACATTCATAATAACTATAGAACAGAAAGATTGTTTTAATTTGCTGTCCTACGTCAGTGACCTGGTGAATACACTGGGAACAGTCCCCACTTTGAGTAAGGTCAGTTGAAGCCCTTACTGTGTAAGTCCAAAATGTAAGAAAAATGAATCCCACGATGAGCTTCCTCATGCTTTGGCCGTGCGTGGACCAGTCAGCTTCCGGGCGTGACTGGAGCAGGGCTTGTCGTTTTCTTCAGGGTCACTCTGCAAGGGTCCTCTGGGCTTGGTCTTACCTCTGAGGTTTCAGGCACTGCAGGTTTTACACGGCTGTGGTGGATCCAGGCTGGGACTCCTTCTACCTTCACAGCGGTGGGAGTGGTCAGGATGACAGTCTGGGGTCCTTTCCACCGTGGGCACAAAGAGGCTACGTTCCAGTCCTTGGGGAGAAAGGGTGAACTGGGGAGAATAAGCTAACAGGGCATCTCTCATTTACCCAGGCTGAGATTGTTTGTGTAATTTTTCCTAAAGCCTGTAGCTGTCGCTGTAACTCAATTTCACCTAACTCTCGGGGAGTGCCTGGAAGTCCCCGCAATATGGGAGGGGGCCTATAATATTTCATAAGGGGAATATCCTGTTCTTTTAGAAGGGGTACATCTAATTTTAAATAATACCATAGGGAGAGCCTGTATCCATTTTAATCCTGTTTCCTGACATACTTTCCCTTAACTATTTTTGATAGTCCAATTCATCTGCTCTACCTTTCCGGAACTCTGAGTCAGCACGGGAATTCCCCAAGCCCACCAAGGTGGAAGCTCGCTGGTGTCCTCTGCAATGCATAACTGCCACCTTGTGGGGTTTCCATACGGCTTCTAATAATTGCAAGATTTCTTGTTGATATTTTATGTCCTTTCCCCCAGAGTTCAATAGGCCCTTTTCTTTATATGATGCTTCATGCACTTGAAGGGTTAAAAAGGGATACCGAGAGTCAGTGTAAATGTTTACAGTCTCACCTTCACTGAGTTCTAAGGCCCGAATGAAAGCAATGAGTTCAGCTTTCTGGGTGAAGTGGCCTGGGGCAACGACCTGGCTTCAACAACAGTGTCCAGGGTTACCACTGCATACCCTGCACCTCTCTCTCCTTGTGGGTTGATGAAGCTGCCCCCATCCATGTATAGTTCCCAGTCTACTGGTGCCCAAGGCTGGTCCTGGAGGTCAGGTCTGCTAGAGTAGACTGAGTCCAACACTTCTACACAGTCATGCTCGACAGGGCCCTCTGATACCAGAAGCAAGGTAGTGGGGTTCAGGGTGTTACAAATTTCAATGGTTATACGGGGATTTTCACAGAGCAAACTTTGGTACTTGGTGAGTCTAGCATTTGTTAGCCAATGATGTCCTTTAGTATTTATTAAAGTCACCATAGCATGGGGGGCCTTTATGTTCAGGTTTTGCCCAAGAGTCAGCTTAACTGCTTCTTGTACTAGCAGGGCAGTTGCTGCCAAGGCCCTCAAACATGGGGGCCATCCTTTAGAAACCCCATCTAGTTGTTTAGAGAGGTAGGCCACTGGCCTCGGCCAGGGCCCCACAGTTTGGGTTAAAACTCTAACTGCCATCTTTTCTCTCTCTGACACATACAATGTAAAAGGCTTTGTCAGATTGGGTAGCCCCAGGGCTGGGGCTGACATAAGTTTTTCCTTTAACTCACGAAAGGCTTGCTGTTGTTGGGATCCCCATTCGAAAGGTTCCCGGTCCCCCTACTTTGTGACCTCATACAAAGGCTTGGCTAATACTGCAAAGTTTGGGATCCACAGTCTGCAAAACCCCGCAGCTCCTAAGAATTTTCTCACCTGCTTTCTGCTCTTAGGCTCCGGTAGAGTGCAAATGACCTGCTTTCTTTCTGATCCCAGGCTGCGCTCCCCCTGTCGGATAGTAAATCCCAAGTAACGTACCTGCGGTCGGCAGATCTGAGCTTTTTTCTTGGACACCTTATACCCACAGTCCTCCAGATGCCGGAGTAGAGCATCCGTTCCCTTGGCGCACCCGACTGCCGTGGGGTGTCCCAGCAAAAGGTCATCAACGTACTGGAGCAACACGCAGCCTAGGTTTCTGGTGGGACACTTCTGGAGGTCTCGAGCCAACTCCTCCCCGAAGATGGTGGGGGAGTTCTTGAACCCTTGAGGAAGCCAGGTCCAAGTGTACTGAGTAGTGACACCTGACTCCGGATCTTCCCACTGAAAGGCAAACAGCTTCTGGCTCTCAGGGGCGAATCTGATGCTAAAGAAAGCATCTTTCAGGTCCAAGCAGGTGAAGCAGCTGTCCTCAGCTGGCAGCAACCCCAGCAATGTGTACGGGTTAGGTACTGCTGGATGTAAAGTCACTGTAGCCTGCTTAACCAAGCGCAAATCCTGTCCCGGCCAGTAGTCCTTGGTCTTAGGCTCGGGAACAGGCAGGAGGGGAGTGTTCCATGGAGACTGACAAGGAACTATCATTCCAAAGGTTCTTAGGCACTTGAGAGGGACCTGAATACCTTCAAGAGCTTCTCTGGGGACCGGGTACTGTTTTTGCCTAACTGGCTGGGCCCCAGGCTTAACTTCTATAAGTATGGGGGCTTGGTTGACTGCCAACCCTGGAGGGTTGTCTTCCGCCCACACTCTTGGCCACCGCTTAGCCAGAGCTGGTCTTATCTCTTGGCCTGACTCAGTTAAGAAAAGTCTCCATTCCTCCTCTCAGGGGACCGTAAGGGTCATAATGACTCCCGTTCCAGGTAACTTTAGCAGCAAAGAGCCATGCTCTGTAAAAGAGATAGTGGCTCTCAGCTTGCAAAGCAAGTCCCTTCCCAACAAGGGCAAGGGACAGTCAGGCATATATAAAAACTGATGAATCACTTTACGTCCTCCTACAGTACAAGTCCGGGGCAAGCAGAAAGCTTGTTTTGCTGAAATTCCCATGGCTCTGATTATGTCAATAGTCTTTTTGGAGAAGGGGGCGACCGGGGCGGTTACTACTGAATGTTCAGCACCAGTATCTACAAGAAAATCAATGTCTTTACCCCCGACTGTCATCCTGGCCATAGGCTCTTTGGGGGCCCTTGAGCCCGGTCCCCCTCAGTCCAATAACTCTTCTGCCAGGTTGAGCAGGGCCCCTTCCTCCTTGTCTGGAACCTCCTGCTCCAAGTCACCTTGTTTTCCTTTTAGCTGGGGGCATTTGTTCTTCCAATATCCTATTTCTTTACAATAAGCACACTGGTTACACTGCAAGCTCTGACAGCCAGGCTGAGTCTCTTTCCCGGGTCCCCCCTTCCCTTGCCTCTTTGAGGAGACCCCTCCGACTGCTGCAGCTAACAGCTCGGCGTTTCGCCGGGCCTGACGTTCATTCTCTCTGCGGTTTTCCTTAGGGCTTACTGCATCCCTGTTTACAAACACCTGGTTAGCTACTTCTAATAACTGTGATGTGTTCGTCCCTGCAAACCCATCCTGTTTCTGCAGTTTTCTTCTAATGTCTTCTGCGCTTTGACTAACTAAAGCCATGTTAACCATTCGCTGATTTTCAGGGCTAACGGGATCAAAGGGAGTATACATACGATAGCCCTCACACAGTCTCTGGTAGAATTGTGCTGGACTTTCTTCTTTTTCCCCGAATGACCTCAGAGACCTTGTTAACGTTTGTGGCCTTCTGGGCTCCCCTCTTTAATCCTTCCAAGACAGCTTCCCTGTCTCGGTTTAGCCTTTGCATATCCTCTCTTTCATTTGGATCCCACTGGGGGTCAGTTCCTGGTAACTGGGTCCTTACACACTCTTGGGGGTTTTGGTAATCAGCCGGTGCATGTTCCTGTACCCACTTAGTTGCTGCTTGGAGCACTCTCTGCCTTTCATCTGTGTTAAAGAGGAACATGAGCAACTGGTGGCAATCAGCTCAAGTGGAGTTATGGGTCTGGATAATAGTTTGGAGCAAATCAATTAGAGCTTGTGGTTTTTCAGTATAGGACAGGGTATTGTTTTTCCAATTGAGAAGGTTGGCAGAGGTGAAGGGCTGGTACACAAAAACACGCTTCTCCACCATGTGACCATCCTCCTCTATCCCAGTATACCGCTGCTCTCTCAGGGGCATTTGTATCCCAGTTTTGGGTCTTAAACAAGCTGCCAAGGGAGGGGTTTCTCCTGAGGCTTCACCTCCTCTCTTGTCTACTCTGGGTGGCCTAGGGATATGTTTGTCTTACGGAGGCACAAGCACTGTGGGCTCAAAAGTAGGGAGCCTCTCTGCCTGGTAAGGGGAGGGCAGCACTGGGATCACTGGTGCCATCTCCTGCAATGGATCTTCTGATGTTGGGTCGAACAGAACTTCAGGAGTTGATTTCCCCCAGTGGGTAGAGCGGGATCCTTCCTTGGCTATCTGTCCCTTTGCTACTAGCACTGCTGCTGCCTGCCCTCTTAGCCACTGTGGGGGGTCTTGCACCAGCTGTAGTAACCAAGTGTCTATGTATGGGAACTGGTCTGAGTGTCCTGACTTACCAGTTACCTTGTGCCATACCTTAGAAATAAGGGACCTGTCCAGGCTTCCTTCTGATGGCCAACCCACTTCTAATGTTGGCCGATCTATTTCACACAAAATTCTGTTTCCCTGGTGTCATAGTAACCCCATAGTCTCCGTTAAATCCCTTCTTAAAATTTTTCAACATAGTTCCTAGCGGAGTAGGCTTACCTTGTGTCTGACCCGTGTTTCCTTGAGACAAAACACCAAGCTCACACCGCACGCACACCACAGAACAAAGAATGGGTAAAAAGGGCACACACACACTTTTTCAGTTTACACCAAACCAGAATCAAAACCAAACCCAGAGTATCCAGAAATCCAAGCCAGGTCAAAACCAAAACCAAAGTATCAAGCAATTCAAGTCAAGTCAAAAACAAAAACCAAAGTGCCGGTACAGGCACACCGTGGGTGATCAGGACATGCTTCCACTCAAATGGAGTGGGCAAGTTCCAAAGACCAGTCTTACCAAGTTTCAGATGTCCGGGCTCCAAGTGCCCGTTCCTTCAGCCACTGTGCTGATCCTCCACGGGGGCCTGCCACACACTGCTCTGACGAGGTGTTCCACCCGTCAAGAGCATTGCCTACCCGGGAGTGCTCTCAGGATCTGCGTAGCTCAAGCTGGCCACAGTCCCCCGCAGGGATGCTCCACAGGGCAGGCCTAAGCCGCCTAAGGGGCCGCCTCGACCGTCCGTCAATTACCTCGCTTCCCGGTCAGGGAACCAAGAAATGTAGCAGGATGAGTCCCAGACAAAACTCCTCAGACACCGGATTAAAGAAGGAAGAGGTTTTTATTCGGCCGGGAGCGTCGGCAGACTCGCGTCTTAAGAGCCGAGCTCCCCGAAAAAGAAATTCCTAGCCCTTTTAAGAGCTTACAACTCTAAGGGGTCCACGTGAAAGGGTCATAATAGATCAAGTAAGCGTGAGGAACGTGACTGGGGGCTACACACATCAGCTAATAGGACAAAAAGTTTTACGGTGCTTTCTCACACAATGTCTGGGATTTACAGATAACACCAGTCGTTTTGGTCAGGGGTTAATATTATTATCATTTTAACCACCAGGGCCAGGTGGTGGCGCCAAGGTCGTCTAGCTATTTATCTTACTTCTGTTTCTTTCCAGCTTTTTGCTTTCTCCCTTTTCTCCTGTCTTATAAACTAGGGAAAAGGGGAGGTTGGGGAGAAGCTGGGAAGGACAACAGGAGAAGTGGTGGTCTCATTCCATAGCAGTAGCGCTGTCCCCTTTTCCTTCCTGGGCATCTGAACCCCCTGGGATTCCCCTGAGCTGGGTGCAGGCACGGAGCTGCTGGCTGGCTTGCTCATACTGCTGTCTGAGTGACTCTTCTCCTGGGGGTAGCTCCCTCCCCACCCTGGAGGTCAGCAGCTTGGGCCAAGGTCCCTGGCACAGGGCCATAAGCTATTTCAGTGCTTTCAGGTTGCCTGGAAGGGATGTCAGGGAGCCCACCGGCCTCTGTACGGCCGACCTAATCTCACCCACTGAAACATTAGCCTCGGGGCCAACTCTGGCCTCACCCTTGGCAGGGACAGGAAGGCACTGGCTCACGCTAGAGCCACAGCTCGGCTGTCCACCAGGGCACAGTCAAGGGCTGGGTGCATTGCTAGCTCCCAGGTTTTTCTGTTGCCGTACTCCCATCCCCACTTTAATCCTAGCACTCAGCCCCGTCTAAATCCCTTCCAGAAGTCCTTGTGCACCCACCAGCCAAGAACAAGGAACAAGCTGTGTCTTCAGAAATCTCTGGCAACCTTGGCCCCAGACAGGCTCTCTGATGCAGCTGGGAACAGGAAGTTTCACACCAAAAAAAAAAAAAAAAAAAAAAAAAAGTCCCATTTTATTGAGAAAATAGTGTCAATCCCTCCATCTTTCCTAGGTGACTCCCGCTGAGGTAGGAGGTGGCAACCTTCTGCACCCACCCCCACAGCTGATCCATCCCTTCACCGGGGCAGATGCTGGTCTGCTAGGCCCTGGAGAAGCAGGGTGCGGTGGGGCAGGGCTCTGGAGGGGGCTGGGCTGTGAGGGGCCTGGGGGTGCTGAGGGCAGGCAGCTGGAATGAGGGGAGGGAAGGGAGGAGGGCCAGGGAGGACACCACCCCCTCCTGAAGCCTGGAGCCTTCTCCCTCCAAATTCTTCATAAATAAAACTTCACAGTAATAGAGGAATGTCCACTTCCAGGGCCAAACCGGCTGCTTTCCAGCCAGGGAGCCAGGCCTGGGGGTGTGGGGGCTGCGGGAGAGACTTGCCTGGGGTGGGGGTCAGCAGCTCTGGGACTTCGGGGGGCCAGGAGCGCTGCTCTTCTGCCCTGTGTCGGGGTGGGGTAGGGCTGCAGCCCCAGGGAGATTCTGAGGGGCGCTGAGGTAGTCAGAGCGGTCGCCCTTCCAGACCTTACAGGACACAGCCAGGAGTGGAGGCCCTGTGGCAGAGGCGGCCCGTCTCCAGGCAGGCCTGGGGCTGCGGAGAGCCGGCTGGGCCCTCTCTCCCAGGAGACCAGGGTGTGGACTGGGGGGTGCCTGTGAGCCCGCACAGGGTTGAGTTTCTCCTGCCAGGGCCGCCCGGCCTCTGGGGAGACTGAGGCATTTCACAGAAGACTCTTCCCTGTGAAGACGAGGGGCGGCCACAGACCCATCAGGCCAGGCCTAGCCCAGGTACCTGAGCACAGCGTTCCTCCAGAGGTCACCAGGACCTCCCACCACATCTGAGGGGGCCAGCAACGGACCCAGGTCAGGAGGGCTGCCAGGGCCTGGCGCCTCGCTCCTCAGAGAGGGCCTCCAGACTGGGCAGCTCCAACCGTTCCTGGGCCTCAGTTTCCTAGAATTATCCACACAGGGAGGTCCCTTTCTGGCTACCTGCACCCCACCACACCCAGTGGCACGTAGGCCTCAACCCTCCACCTCCCCTTGGGGACCAAAGGCTAGGCCTGGGCACTGTGGCTCCAGCCCCAATACCATGGGGGCTCAGGAGCAAGTGCCCTGGCCTGTCCTAGTAGCCCGGCTGGGGTCAGAGCACCTGGAGCTTGCGGGAGCAGGTGAGATTGCTGTGCACCAGCCCCCACATGGCGAGCAGCTCAGGGGGCAGCAGCTTGTGCACCACGAGCATGGCGCGGAAAAAGCACGGCTCCTTGTTCATGCGGCTGTTGCGGTTCCGGGAGATGCCGAAAGTCTTGAAGCCCTCGTGGGCCGTGGGCTGCACGCCCAGCACCTCCAGGCACATGCCCAGAAAGACGTCGTCGATCGGGTAGAGCTCCAGGGTGTCGCAGGCATGGTGCAGGCGCCGGGCCAGGCTGCCGGCCATGAGGAAGCCACCGCCGCCTGCATACGGCGGATAGCTGGCCTTGCCGTACAGGGCCCCCGGGATGTAGTATTTGTTGTCTTTCCTGCGAATGGGCCGAGCGTGCTGCAGGACATCGCCCACGAACAGGTTTTCCTGTGGCTGCCGGTCAGCCAGAAATTCTAGCAGGTTGGTGGGGTTGACGAAGACGTCATCGTCGCCTTTGAAAATGAAGGGGACGTGGGGGCAGTAGATGTCCAGCCACTTGAGGAAGTGGATCTCCTTGAGGGTCAGGTTGAAGAAGGTGTCGAGAAAGCCCCACTGCAGGATGTCGCCGTAGAGGCGGTCTTCGTAGGCCAGCAGCTGCTGGTAGTGCGTGCGCTCCTCCTGCTTGGAGGCCGTGCCCAGCAGGAAGAGGGTGCGCACGGCGCCTCGGCCCCCACCCGCGGACTGCCGCTCGCGGCCCCAGGTCTGGCGGATGGCCTCGCGGCGGTCGTGCTGCGTGATGACCGACTTGACAACCACCAGCAGGTAGACATCGCCCCTGCACTTCTCCGGGTGGTTCAGCAGCATGGGGAAGTAGCGGCAGTGGCGGTAGAAGAGAAACTGCCGGAACTGCGGCTCCAGGACCTGGAACCAGGGCTGGTGGGTCAAGTTGATATTGGCTGAGCAGTTAGTGGTGGTCACGTCCCAGGCCTGGGGCCCCTGAGAGGCCATGGGCGTGGGCGCAGCCACATCTTTCGGGTTCTTCCAGAAGTTGTTGGGGTTCACCAGCTGTCCATTTGGCTTCTGGGCCTTCTGTGGCTCCAGGGTGGGTGGCGGAGGCTCCTGCAGAAACTGACCAGGGGTGAGACTGCGTTGGAACACCGTCACGGCCACGAGCAGGGCCAGGGCCAGGCACAGACTCCGGTAGACGGTTTTCTTCCTGTGGGGGAGAGCGGACAGTACAGAGGAGAGAGAAAAGATGAGCCCAGGGCTCTCCTGGCGCCCCCCTTGGGAGGCTGGGTGGTCCCAGACGGGCAAGTGGACCTGGGCACAGGCTCAGTCCCGGAGTCCCTAAGCTGTCAGGGTAGGGTCCCGCTTCCTCTCCCACCCTGCCCTTTCTTTCTCCCACCCTGCCCTCTCCTCAAGGAGCACTGTGGAATCAGGCCCTGACGCTTACAAGCTGAATGAGTGGTTTACAACCACTCTGAGCCACGATTTCTTCTTCCCCCAAATGGGGCTAAAACACAGGATTGGAGTGCTATATAAAGTACCAGGCAGCGGGTGCACAGTTAGGGGAATGCTGTCACCTTAACAGGAGGGCCTCAGGTGGAAACCTCTGCCCTGTTCCCCACGCCTGGAACCCCAATGCCTTTCATTTCCCTGCGGTGTACCTACCCACAGCAGTAGGTATCGGTATCATTAGGTGACTCAGAGCCAGAGTCATTGAGAGGGCACCCTCTGATCCTCTGTGCCGCCCGGGAGCTCCATCACATGTGGGGCACATTGGAGAGTGGCTCGAGCTTGGGACCTGAGGAAGACTGGCCCTCCTCCCCCTTCTCCAGTCTGTCTCACCCAACAAAGAGCAGCCCTCATGGTTGATGGAGGCCCAAGGATGCAGTGAGCACCTCTAGCATGGCACTGCCCCTCACCCCTACCTTAACATCCCCAGCTCATAACACCCCATTAGAAGACATGAGGCTACAGCTCTACTCCCTGGGAGGGGGCACATTTGCAGCTCCAGCCCTTGAGGGACCCTTCTTGCCCAGAGACCCCCCCACCCCAACCCCGGTCCACACCCATTTCGGAAGCAGAAATTAGAGCTCTCTGCCAGGAGTGCTGGTCGTCCCAAGCCCTGGGGCCTGAGCCCCTGTCCTGAAGGACCTCCTCTCTTCATCTCACCCTCCGGGGGCTGCCAGGACACCTGCCCCACCCTCCCCAGTGGAGACCTGGGGGCTGAGAGCTCTGGGGACAGCAGAGTGGCCTTCCAGGGCCAGCCTAGCAGAGAGATGGCGCTGACCTCCAAGGGGGAGGAGCAGGGTGCCAGGAGAGACAGGCAGCCCGTGGAGACGCCTGGGTTGCCCTGAGGGCTGGTCCGGTTGCAGGTCCAGGCCCCAGGGTGAATGCAGGCTGAGCCCCATAGAGCGACATTTTCCCCATAGGGTCCCCAGGTTGCTGGGGCATGTGGTTGGAGGAAGACAGGGGCACCTTAGGTGCAGGCTGGGGGGTGTGACCCAAGGTCCAGCTCTCCGGGGAGGAAACGGAGGGCTCCGGATCCGGCCCTGCCAGCCCTAGGGGTTCCAGGGAAGCCGCCCACCGAGGCCGGGACGGGGGAGGTCGGGGGGTGCACCGGGAAGGCGGCGAGGCCCTGGGCTGCGGGCGCTCCACCTGCCGGGTCCGCTCCATTCGTAGGGAAAGCCCGGGAGGGGCGGAGAGGGGCCGGGCGGGCGGCGGTCCGAGGTCCCGCGGAAGGAAGCCCCGAGAGGAGGAGAGTGGCCCGGACGCAGGGGGCCCTCAGGGGTCTGGAAGGGAGAGGGGACCCAGCTGCCGGCAAGACCTGGGGTCCCAGCCGCCAGGGTCCTGGAGCGGTGTCCAGGGCCGCGGGGCCGGGGAGCTGAGCGCGGCGCCCCGAGACCCCTCGACGTCCCCCACGGGTCCGGGGCCGCGTACCGCGAACATCTCCCGCCGCCGCCGCCGCGCCCGCCCGCCCATCCGCCCCCGGGAAACTGAGGCCGGCGCGGCGCGCGCGGGGGCATCTCCTATCCCGGGAGTCCCGGCGCCCGTCTGTGGCCACGGAGGAGGGGGAGCCCCGGGCCCACGCCCCCGCCCAGGCCCCCGACGGCCCCCAGCCCCACTCACCACAGCGACATGGCGGCCCGGGCCGGAGCGGCGGAGGGGCGAGCGGCTCGCAGCTCTGGGCGCCACGGCTCGGGCCGGCGGGACGGCGGGCGGGTGGGGACGGAGACCGGGCCGCGCCCCCGCCGCGACTTTCCTCTTCCCGGCCGCGGGAGGAGGGGCCGGCAGGGGCGGTGGCCCAGGTGCCTTAACCCCTTCGGCGCCCAGGGCCCGCCCCGCCGCCGCCTGGCGGGGACCACCCCATTTCTCCGAGACGGCCCCTAGGCTCCCCAAGCGCGCCTAGTAGACAGTGCATGGCCGAGGCGGGGCTTCGGAACCCACGGGGGTCACCTCCAATCCCGGGGACGCCTGTCCCTGGCGGAGCCTCCCGGGGCGGGGGGAGGGCGGTCGCCGGTCCCTCCTGTACTTGTGCGAAACCTGAACACCCGGTCCCCTCCAAGACCCTGGGGCACCCCAAGGCCCAGCCATTTCCCTCTGGCCCCATTCGGACTTGTCTTTGGGGCCAGAGGCAGACAGGGTGTCCTTTTCTCCCTCTGCTACCTTCTGCCCCTGCACCTTTCCCCTGACCAGACGGACCCCTTGCCCAGCTGTTGGGCTACCTAGGGCCAGGAGCAAAGCCAGCCACTAGGGAAAGAGGCCGTATGAGACTGGGCTCCATGTCAGGACTCGCCCAGGCCTGTGGCTCTGGAAGCTTTTTTTGTGCCCCCACCATGTCCCTCTCTTCACCTCTGGGGTTCCTCCCACCTCTGAGGGCTCCCCACCACCAAGGGAAGGCCTGTTGGCCCAGCCCTATCTCCTTTCTTTTTTCACTTATCACTCAAAACCCTTTTTGTCCTCAAGCCTTTATTAGTCTGCTTGTGCACATCAGGCCTAGCGGCTCTGGGGAGTGGGCTGACAGAGAACACGGAGAGGGCTTGGTCCAGCCAGGTGACTTCCAGAATCCTCCAGCAGGGAGAGCCATCGCTGGTCCTGTTGTTGCTCAGGTTGTTCTGGTCTTGTTCCGGGTTGAGGTTTCGGTGCTTAGCATCCAGCAGGACCTCCAAAAGGCCCACAGAATTGAAACGGAAGCACGTTGTGGTCCAATCATAACAGCTAACGTCCACTGAGCAGCTACAATATGCCAAACCTGGTTCTCGGCCCATGCATGACTGGCTCACTTAATCCTAGAGACATACGCTATTATTCCCACCTTACAGGGGAGGAAACGGGGGTGCAGAGGGGAACTCCCAGCCAGCTCAGAGAACAGCGAGCCCAGAGTTAGTAAGCACATCCAGGAGGCCTGCATGGCCTGAAGGCTGGCTCTGAACCCTTCCTGCCTGGTCTGAAGGCTGGCTCTGAGCCCTTCCTCAACCTTTTTTCCTTTCCCAGGGACAGCAGTGACATGGAGCTACTTTCCTGCCCAGCACACAGGGAGGCTAGGAGTCCTCAGCTGGATCTTAAGCCCTCGAGGCCAGGGTGAGGAGCCCCTTCTGCCCTATCCTTAAGGTTCAAGGGCCCTTTGGAGGGGGAGGAGAAACTTAAGGTACCATAGAATGTTCTGGAATGTTGTAAGTGCCAATTAGGGAATGTGAAGGGCCTTTCAGGCAGAATTTCAGAGGAGTATCTTGGGGCTGATGTCCTTTGTAATGGCCCTCCAAAAGTTCCAGAGCAGGGGAGGGGCTGACCTGCAGCCCAAAGCCCCTGTTGGCCTGGCTGCCTGCCACTGAGGGCCACCCGCAGATTCTGCAGCTCCACGGCTCCCTTCATCCCAGTGTAGCCTTGGCCACCGGTTCCCGCAGGGCACCAAGCATTTTGCTCCACTGCCCAGCCTTCCGAGTTCCCCACTTCACCCTGCAAGTGTGGCCCTGGCTTCCCTGGCTCCACACAGGTGCCCTGCTGAGAGCTGCCTCCCTGGCTTCAGCACTGACCTCTCACCCGGTGCTGTGGGGTCTCCTCCTCCTGCTGAGGGGTGGACACAGCCGTCCCTGGGAAGGGGGTTTTGAGCCCATGTTTGGGGATGGCAGGCATGGGCGTTGGGTCAGAGTCTTGCACTTCCTGGTTGTCACTGGGGGCAGGTGGCTTTTCCCCTTGAGACCTCAATTTCCTGCCAGCTCAGGGCCTTGTGAGATGACGCCAATGAAGCACAGACATAGGCATCCCCTATGTAAAGAACTTGGTGGCAGGCCGGCTACTGTTAGTGTTATCATTGATGTCCAGCTACTCCACAAAGCCCCAGAAGCACAAGGGCCAGAGGAGGTGGGAGCAGAGGGAGCTGCCCAAGGTCAGCGGAGTGTTTGCCAGTGGAATCTGGTCAGTTGAGACAGGCAGTTTGTCATCATGGAATCATTTGATCTGTGCCTAGTTTGAATTCAGAGAGGGGAAATGAATGACAATTAAATGCGAGTCCCTGATGGTGGGGTGGGGGTGGGGAGTGTGGAGCCGGGCCAGGCTCGGGTCAGCCTCCCCTGTTACTCCAATGTGCTCCCCTGTGGGGCAGCTGGGCCAGTCCCTATGGCAAGCACAGTGGTCCCCCCACCGCCAATCTGGCCAGTTCCACCTGCCCCAGCCAGAGGGCAGAGCCCCAGCAGATTCCTGTGGATTTAAGCGAGGCCCTGAGGAAGGCAGGCCTGTCTGCGATGGGATCTGCCTACCTGCTGTCCCCAACCCTGGCTGAAGGCAGAGCCCAGAGGTAGAGGGAAGTTCCAGAGTGGCAGATACCAGGAGAAGAGGGTGGGTGACGGATGAGCTGGCTGCATAGGCTGCAGGAGTCCCAAGCCAAGGTGGAGGTGGGTTCTGTGTCCTTGTCACAAGGCCACTCTGTGCACCTCAGGTTGCTCCCTTGGAGGGGGAAGCTCGTGAGCCAGGACGTTGGAGGACCCCAAGAAATGCCCCCTTCCCCAGTACATCTTTTGGCCCCTCAGCCCATCCCTACCTCCACCTCCACTTTCTTTTATATCCCACCCCTTCAACCTTCCAGAATAGGTTGGAATCCGACCCTGCTGGTAACCCCAGCACAGGCCTTTGCCCAGAGGCGAGGGCTGCAGAGACCCAAGGGTGGGAGTATCTGACTGGCCAGAAAACACACTGGGTCAGTGGCTTGACTGGACAAGGTGGGGGCCAACTTGGGTCAGAGGGACCCCCAAAGCAGAAGGTGAGGAGTCTTGCGTGCCTTGCAGAGAGGTGGCCATCGTGGGGCGAGAGCGCGGAGCCCAGCAGGGGCCACGGGCAGGCAGCTATGCTGGCTGTAATCGCCTCAGTGCTGCTGTGATTTTGTGAGCGTGTGAGTTAAACTTAGTTGGTGTTTTTGAAAGACCCTGAGCAGCAGTCTACACTCCAGGGGCAGCCACAGCCAGCACTTCAAATGTGGTTGTCTACTGTCACAGCAGAGGGTCTGTACATTAACACGGGAGGGTCGGAAATCATTGTTCTGTAGTAAAAAGAGTGTTGCTGAAGATGTGTGCCTGGGAAGAGGCACCGCAAGTCCCCTCTGCCTGTGCCTGGGCAAGTCCAGCCACCAGCAGGGCAGTGCCCCGGGTCTAGAACTTTCTCTGAGTGGTTCTGGGCCCCCGCAGGTGGTGCTCTGACTGGAGGTTAGCTAGTCATGGTGAGCATGTCCTTGAATTCACCCTGACAAAAGCTGTTGTGACAGGACAGAGTGAGACTTCCCTGAGCTTGTGGGCAGGGGCAGGGTGTCTGTTTCTGTGCTTCGTGCTAACAGATGTTTCCAGTAGGGTAGCCGTTGGGTCTGAGAGTTGATTTCATTATAATATGCCACCCGATGGGGAAGGGTGGGGTGAGACCTACGCTTTCTCAACTACCTCTGGTCCTTGAAGGCCACCAATATCCTCTGCAGAGAACCTGACCCATCCTGCAGGGCAGTGCAGGAGGGACCTCAAGGCTGCTGAGTCAAGGGGCTCACTACCCAGACAAGCACTGGGGGAGTGCCCCCAGGTAAACTGATGTCTCCCAGAAATGGCTCCTGTGTGAAGCCAAGGCAGTGTGTGGATCTAGGGCAGGAAGGGAAGTAGGGATGGAAAATGAAAAGGGAGAACACATTTCCCTGGGGGACAGGTCTTCCTTTGAAGGGGTGGGAGGAGGAGAAGGCCAGGATGGAGCAAGCAGCGAGGTAGGAGGAGATGACCGTGTCTTCAAGGTGTGGGTGGTCTGGAGTCTGGGAACTCCCCTTGCCCAAGGGAAGACTGGGCCAGAAAGAAGCCCAGATCACAAGGCGTTGAACTGAAACAGGAAGAAGTTTAAAGAGGCTGCATGTGGCCGGGCATGGTGGCTCAGGCCTGTAATCCCAGCACTTTGGGAGGCTGAGGCGGGCAGATCACTTGAGGTCAGGAGTTCAAGACCAGCCTGATCAACATGGTGAAACTCCGTTTCTACTAAAATATAAAAATTAGCTGGGCGTGGTGGCGGGTGCCTGTAATCCCAACTACTTGGGAGGCTGAGGCAGGAGAATCACTTGAACCCAGGAGGCGGAGCTTGCAGTGAGCCGAGATTGTGCCACTGCACTCCAGCCTGGGCGACAGAGTGAGAGACTCCATCTTAAAAAAAAAAAAAAAAAAAAAAGGCTGCAAGCAGGGCTCTCATAGAAGCAGCATGCCAGGCAGCATCCTGCTGCGGGGAACCCTGAGGTGCCCTTCCATGGCCCAGTCCTGCCCAATAAAGCCAAGCCCAACAACCAGGAAGACACCTTGCCCTCCCAGAGGAGGTGCTTCTTACCAATTCCAGAGCCTGCATGCAAGGATGCTGCCTAGGAGACTGTAATTTCCCAGAGATTCCCAGTGATTCTCAAAGTGTAGGCAGGTTTGGGAACCACCGGTTTTCAGCCCTCCAATCCCTGCTCTCTTGGTGGGCCTTGAGCCAGGGCCAGAGGAGGGCCACTGCGTCATTGAACCTGGGCAGGAGGAGGACAGAATGGGGAAGCGGCAATGGAAGCAATTGGGGCCAGAAAGGAACGAGTTAAGGAAGTTAAAATTTCCCACTGAAATAGGTGGCAGTTGAGGAAGCAGAAGTGGGTTTAGAGCTTGAGGAATGGAAGAGGGTGTCCACAGCCTCTGTGCAGGATCTGAGAAGGCCAGGGAGGAACGATGAGGCATGTCGAGGGCCAGGCAAAGGTGCTCCCTGGAAACCCAGCTGTGTGGTTCCAGGCACGGATCGCTCAGGGCTCCTCTGGTTGTGAGAGACAGCAGCCCGACCCAAGGTGGCTCCAGCCAGAGGGATTTGTTGGCTCATATAACAGGATCCCCTCTCCCTCCACAGCCTCTCTCTCTGGACAGTTGCCCAGCCCCTAGCTCTTCCCTAAGGTCTGCGGACTTCTTCATGAAGAGCAGGAGAAACACAGGCTCGCAAATGGGCTGAGGCATTTGTCACCTCATCTCAGGGACCTCAGAGAAAAGAGAGGTTTTTCCCTGTCTCGGCCTCCATATACAGATGTCTAGGGAAGGACTCTCACTAGTCTCACTTCAGTCATGTCCCCAACCTAGGCCAATGATCACGTTGCGGGGGGGCGGGGGTACCACAGTGGGCCAGGCCTGGGTTATGCATTCCCTTCTGTGGTTGGGACAAGTCCTGAGATTTGCAGCCCCATGAGAACAGCCTGGAGTGGGCAGATCCGTCAAAGGAAGCTGCTGTTATCAAGAAAACCTGGTTCCAGAGGCTCACTCAGCAGCTGCAGAGATGCCTGGGCCTGGTCTCCCACTCATGCCAAGCCCCTGGGACTCTCAGATCATCCAAAACAGAGCCCTAGATGAGAGTCCCAGAAGGCTGGAGAATCAGGTGAGAGGTGCTGGGAAATGCCTCCACATGTGCTCCTGATCAGCCCTTCTTTCTGGGGTGGGGAGGAGCCGCAGGCTGGCCAGTGGAGGGAGGACGCAGCTCCTTCTGGGGCTGGGCAGCTCTCTGGACCCTTTCCTGTGCCCAGGCACCCATTGGCTGCTCTGAGCTTTTTGGGTTTGGGACCCAGGAAAGTCAGGGTGGAGCTGGGCAGCCAGAGAGAGAAGCTGGAGTTCAAAGATGCCCAGGAACTGGAAGCCCAGCAAAGAGGGCTCAGAAGGCAAAGAAGAAGTGGAGCAGCGCGCCCCGGACACAGGGCGGCGGGGCTGCACCTAGGCTGCTGTCGGCAGGGGCGTTGGTGGGCACACATAGACACACACTCTCACAAACACACGCACAGAAACACGCAGGCATACGTGTGAACCCAGACGCATGAACACACACACTCAGGGACATGCATACACATACAGACACACACGCATATTTGGAGAGACACAAACCATGCCTATACACATAGAGGTCAGATACACAGACATGCATGTAACCCTCACACACCTGAGATACATGCACACTTGGTAAAAAACACACACACACACACACACCCATCCACACACAGCCAGAGACGTACACACACACACACCATGTCCATGGCCTTTCCCAGGTGGAAGGGGCCTCCCTGAGCCAGCTCATCTGTTACCAGTGAAACTCTGCCTGGTAGGCCCTTGGGAAGGGGCTGAGGACCAGGCAGGGCCCTGTTACATCCGTGAGCAGCCCTTGTGATCTTTGCCCAAGTTCTCAAGTCTGTGCCTCCCATCACCTTCAGGGCCCTCTGGGCACTGTCCACAAACCCTTAACACCACCCGCATCTGCCCCCAACCTCAATCCAGCAACCCTGGTCTCCGTTCACTCAGATCCCAGCCTTCCTTCTGCTCAAATGTGCTCTCTCCACCCGCCTTTTAGAATCCAGTGAGTTCCTGCTCATCTTTCAAAACCCACCTCAAATGCCCCCTCCCTTGGAGCAGGCGCTCCCTCCTTGGCTGGCGTTCCCCTGCACGAGCCTCCTCTGTCTGTCCCTCCTCCACCTGTCCCACCACACGGGGCACCACTAAGAGCAGGGACCGGCCTTTCCGTTTTCCTGGTGGGCAGCACGCAGAAGGGCGGGGCTGATGCCCACTGGCTGAGCAACTACGGGACCACATCGCCAGCATGGCAGCCTGGAGACCTGGGCAGGGAGGAGGGGCAGCCATATTCAGAGGGCAATGGGGTGTGCCCACCCCAGGGAGCCTGGGGCGGCTTGGCCAGATGTGCAGAGCCTCAGCCCCACCCCCAGCACATACTGCCACATATTCACCCGCGGTGGGCATTGTGCCCCTCGCCCTGGACAGCTGGGCCCAGGCAGCACCCTCCCCCAGGCCACCATGACTCACATCCCGCCCACCGGGCGGCCAGCCTGGGTACACACAGCCTCCTTTCAGCCCCTCAGCCCCAAACACTAGCTTAGTCTTCCCTCTCGGGCGCCTCCCCTCCTGAGCTGGCAGCTCAGCCCCACGCTGAGGCCACACGGAGGCCTGCTTCCTCTCCGGAGCACAGGGCTCCCTGTCTCTCGTCACCCGGCTGCCGTCCAAGCTGGCCCTGAATGGCTGCCTTTTCATGGAGCAGAGCCTGACCAGGTGCAGGCTGGGCAGCCCTGCTCCCACTAGGCCCGCCAGATCTCTCTGCCCGTGGCTCTGCTGCCCTGGGAGAGAGGTGGGCTGGAGAGCTGGAGGGCTCCAGAAGTCCTTCCCAGGCTCTGGCCAAAGGCCTCCTCACACACGCGAAGCCTCCTCTTCACACACACCCTCCTCTCTGCTTCCCCAGCAGCCCTACAGCCTGGCCAGGCACAGATTCTTGTTAGTCCCATTTTACAGAGAAGGAAACTGAGGCAGGTGGGTGGTGGGGCTGGGACTTGGTGCCATTAGAGTAGCGTTAATAATGCAACCCGGCCAGGCGTGGCGGCTCACGCCTGTAATCCCAGCACTTTGGGAGACGGAGGCAGGAGGATCACTTGAGCTCAGGAGCTCAAGACCAGCCTGGGCAACACAGTGAGACCCCCGTCTCTACAAAAATTTAAAAATTAGCAGGGTGTGGTGGTGCGTGCCTGTGGTTTTGGAGGCTGAGGCTGAGGTGAGAGGAGGCTGAGGCTGAGGCGAGCCTGGGAAATTGAGGCTGCAGTGAGCCATGACTGCACCACTGCTTCCCAGCATAAATGATAATAAATAATATTATTATTATATATTTTCTAAAAAAAATAATAATAATAGTGTGACCTCCCAGGGTTGCAGTGAAGCACTAAGGCAGCAGCCTCCCTGAGCCCCACTAGCAGGGTCCACAGGTGGCCCCCTATGATGATAATCACAACATCATTTCTGGCTTTGTAGCTAGCACCTGTCTCCATCTTTTAGTAGAGACCTCACTCCTCTAGTCTCAGGGGTGGCCTCTTGGCCAGGTTGGACCAGTCATGGTACCTTATACCCCTTGCACCCCAACAATGTGCTTGGTCCAAGGGATGGGCCTGTGACCCGAGCTGGGTCAATCAAGGCCCTTCCCTGGGGATTTTCAAAGGGCACTGGTCTCTGATCATCAGGGTTTTTAAGGTGTGACTCTGAATATATTGGGGAAATATTGTGCTGTGCACCCCAGGCCCCTTCACTGCAGGGAAAAGACTAAAACAACACGCAAAGCAAAACAGAGAAACCAGAGTCTGAACAGGGCTGGAATCCTGGTTTCGAGGCCCTGCAGTGGGCAAATGAATGCTCTTTCCCCAAAGATATCCATACCCTTGTCCCTGGAACCTGGGACTATGTTAGGTCACAGGGAAAAAAGGGCCTTTGCAGATGTAATTAAGGTCATGGACCTTAAAACAGAAAAATTATCTTGGATTATCTGGGGTGGTCCAATCTAATCACACGAGTCCATAAAAGCAAGGAACTGTCGCTGGCTGCAAGCAGAGGTGATGCAGCAGAAGAGAAAGTTAGAGATTCTGCGCATGAGATGGCTTTGGCCTCCTTTACTGGACCCATATTTGGTCCAGAGACTCCAGAGGGGTCCTTGAGGAGCCAAGGACAGCCCTGGCTGACACCAGCCAGGAAACAGGAACCTCAGTCCCACACCCTTGAGGAACTGGATTCTGCCCATGCTCTGATGAGCCTAGACCCAAGAGCTTCCTGAGCCTCCCAGTAAAGCCCCGGTGGCTGACAGACACCTTGATTCCAACCTTATAAAATTCTGAGCTGAGAACTAACTGAGCCGGCCTGGACTTCTGACCTGCAGAAACTGTGAGATGGTCAGTGTGAGCTGTTTTAAGCCACTATGTTTGTGTGGCAATTTAGGTGCTACCCTGCCTCCCCTGGTTTGGTTACAGGAGCCAATAATTTTTCATTTGTGGTTTTGGTCACTCATGACTAAAGATTCCAGACTGATGCTGTTATTGTGATCTGTCTCCCACAAACGGCTTGCCCTAGCAGATGGGGAGGAGACAGGGGCACCAGAACATGGGGAAACTTTTGGTGGGGGGCAGCAAAGACTGTGAGAATGACAAGTCTTCTTGAGCATCAGAGCTTGCTTTCTTTTTTTTCTTTTTGAGACATGGTCTCACTCTGTTGCCCAGGCTGGAGTGCAGTGGCACAATCTTGGCTCACTGCAGCCTTGACCTCCTGGGCTCAAGTGATCCTCCCACCTCAGCCTCCCAAGTAGCTGGTACTACAGGCATGCGCCACCACCCCCGGCTACAGAGCTTTCAAAGGTTCTTCTAGAAGACCCAGATCTACCCCTTCCTCACCTAAATAGATGGACCCCTTCCTCCACCCCAGCAGGTCTGGGGTCACTGGGGAGAGAGAGCACACTTGGGAGCCTGAGAGAAGTGACTTGTCTGAGAATGTTCTATGGTGGTTTGGTCAAAGCCTGCAAAGGTTGGCAGGGTCAAAAGACAGAAAATCATGATTCCGAGGAAGATTGGGAGCAATAGGAAAGAAAAGGTTGGTGCCTTTACTACATGCAGAGGTCCCCTACATGGATAGACAAGAAGACCCCAGGAGAGAAATAGGGCAAAGAGTTCACAAAAGAGATGTAAAGCCAGCTTACAAACAAGCAAGCAAGAAATAAAAAGAAGGTAGAAATAAAGAAGGAAGGATGGACAGGAGGAGAGGAGGGAGAGGAAGGAAAGGAGAGAGATGCCACTTGCCACCAATGGCAGGAGAACACAGCATCCAAGCTCCCAAGTTGCACCTCCCTGCCCCAGGCCTGCCTTCGCAGCTGCAGCCTGTCCTGCTCACCTCCTGGGACATCTCAAGGTACTACCAGTGTTTCTTCAGCCCTCTGGAGCCATGTCTCCTCGCACCTCTAGTCTTCCTTCATCTATTGCCAAAGTCCCGTGGCCAGCCTGCCTCAACCTTTGCTCTGCCGGACACAAGCACTGATTGAGCAACAGGGGCATACATGCCTAGGGCCAGGCACTGAAATGGAAACAAACATTTCTTAGATACAACACCAAAAACGTGATTCCTAAAATAAAAAAATTGATAAATTGGACTTCATCAAAATTAAGAACTTCTGCTCTTTGAAAGACATTTGGAAAAGCATGAAAAGACAAACCACAGACTGGGAGAAACTGTTTGCAAAGTACATGTCTGATAAAGGGCTTGTATCAAGAATATGTAAAGAACTCTCAAATGTGATAAATAAGAAATAAACAACCCAATCGAAACATTAGCAAAAGATTTGAACAGACACCTCACCAAAGAAGTCATTTGGATGACAAATACTCCCATGAAAAGTTGCTCAACATCATTAGTCATTAGGGAGACATGAATTAAAACCATAGCGAGAAAGCACTACACACCCATTAGAATGTTTGAATTAGAAAGACTGACCATACCAAGTGTTGGTGAGGATGTGGAGCAACTGGAAGGAATTCTCATACACTTCTGGTGGGAATATAAATTGGTATAACTTTGGAAAACAGTTAGATGGTTTCTTTCTTTCTCTTTTCTTTTCTTTTTTGTAGAGACAGGGTGTCAGTATGTTGCCCAGGCTGGTCTCAAACTTCTGGCCTCAAACGATCCTCCCATCTTGGCCTCTCAAAGTGTTGGAATTACAGGCATGAGCAACTGCACCCTGCCAGGATGGCTTCTTAATAAGTTAAACGTATACTTTTATACGTTTTGAAGAGAAACAAAATGTGTGTCCATACCGAGATGTGTACATGAACGTTCACAGCAGCTTTATTTGTAGTAGGCACATATACCAATTGTGACATATCTGTACAATGGAATACTACTACTAATAAAAAGGTCTAGGCCAGGTGCGATGGTTCACACCTGTAATTCCAGCACTTTGGGAGGCCGAGACAGGTGGGTCACAAGGTCAGGAGATCGAGACTATCCTGGCTAACATGGTGAAACCCCGTCTCTACTAAAAATACAAAAAAATTAGCTGGGCGTGGTAGTGGGCGCCTGTAGTCCCAGCTACTCAGGAGGCTGAGGCAGTCAGAATGGCGTGAACCCAGAAGGCGGAGCTTGTAGTGAGCTGAGATCATGGCACTGCACTCCAGCCTGGGCGACAGAGTGAGACTCCATCTCAAAAAAATAAATAAATAAAAATAAAAATAAATAAATAAATAAAAAGGACTAAATTATTGGTACACACCACAACAGGGATGAATCTCAAAATAATTATTCTGAATGAAAGAAGCCAGTCAAAAAAAGAATATATCTTGTGTGATGAGGTGTCTTCACTGTGGGTGAGGGCAGAGGGGCAGGGGCAGGGGCAGGGCCAGGGCAGCGTGCTGCAGGGTCTTGGGTGTGGAGACAGGGCTGCCAGGCCAGAGCCCCCTGGGTGGGGTATGAACCTCAGCCAAGGCATTGCAGCGCCTGCCTGTCCCCACCCACCTATCTTGCCTTACCTTGTATGTATAAAATTCTAGAAAGTGCAAACTAATCTATCATGACAAGAAATGTCAATTGCCTAAACATGGGGTGAGGTGGGAGGAATTACAAGGGGCCCAGAGGAAACTGTTGGGAGTGACGTTGACTGTGTCGATCTTGATTATGGCGATGATTTTATGGTTGTTTACACACGTCAAAATTCACCACATTGTATACTTTAAACACATAGAGTTGACTGTTGTCAATTATACCTCAATAAAGCTGTTAAAAAGACGTCTGTGACACATGTGCTGCCCTGGGGAGTTTGTGGTTTTTGCAGAAGGCAGAAGCGAGGCCCAGTGGTAGCCACAGCCCGGAGTGACCCCAGCGTGTGGTGAGCTCAGGAAGGGACCCTTGCATTGCGACCAGAAGCTGAGCAACATCGACAGCACCTGGGCTCCTTAGAGTGCAAGCTCTCAGGCCCGCGAGCCCTGCCCAGTGACCCATATGCACATTTAAGTTTGAGCTTGTGCCTGGCCCCGACAGGACACCGTGGGAACAGTCCCAGGCCCTCCCTGCCCTCTCAAAGCAAGGGCCTCACAGTGTGTTCAGTGACAGGGAGGGGAAAGGTCTGAGAGCTGGAGGTGGAGAGGGGCAGGAAGCTGAGGAGTTGAGGTCCCACAAGAGCCTAAAGGTGGCATGCGGTGGCATTGGGAGGAGCAGGCAGGGACCAAGGCATGCAGGGGCTGTAGGCCAGGGGGACGGAGGCAGGAGCCAGGGCTAGGAAAACCCAACTCCGCATCCCATGGGGTCAAGACCTCCCAGAGGGTCCCTCACACACCTCAGCTTAGCACCTACCTTCAGGGCCCTCCCTGGCCCTAGTCCAATCCCCGTCTTGGCTCCCACACCCCCGACTCCCAGCCCGCTGCCTGGCCCTGGTCTTCCTTCCCTCCCCTCCATGCTGAGTTAGGGGAGAGTCTTGGCTTTGCTGCCACTGCGGCTGGAGCCCTTGGCCCCGGCCTAGGACAGGGACTCAGAAATGAGGATCCTCTGCCCAGGAAAGTGATAATGCCATTTTGGCCCAATCGCAGACTAAAATTCGGAACAGCAGTTTGGTCTTGCCCCTGAAATCATATTGGTTTAATGCCAGCTTTAGGCCCATGGCGCCATCTTGCTTCTGGGAATTTATGGAGCCAAAGGCACCAGGACAAGAGGAGGAGCAGAGGCTGGGCCCCTCCTCTCATCTCTGCTTAGACCCTCTCGTCGCTGGGTGGAACCCCTGTGCCCTCTTCTTCTTGGGCTGTCATCCCGCAGGAGTCAGGGCTGGAAGGTTAACGGGAGCCCTGGGTATACGAGCGGGTGGCTGGCAGGAAGAGGGTCACTGATGGGCTGAGATGAGGGTGGGAGAGATTCAGGGCATTTTCAGAGCCAGAGGACCCAGGATTCTGGAGAGTGGAACTGGGATCTATCCTTAACATGGGAGGGTGACATCAGGAGCGGGGGTGGCTACTGATGGTAGATGTTGGAGAACCAACAGAGCAGAAGAGAAAAGCTCAGTGCTGGGTTTGCTGCTGTAAGAGCAGAAGGCCGCTGTAACGGGGACTCAGGGCGTTTGGTGACAGGCCTCGGTGAGAGAACTGGAGCCTGATTCACAGGTGACAGGCGTCAGCTTTTGCTGTGTCTCCATCGCTTTGGAAGGCTATGAGGTTTGATGCCACGTCTGTCTGGCTTGGGGACCTGCTTTGCTCTCTGACCCCTGAGACCAGCCAGAGAGTGGGTGAGGGCAGAGGGGCAGGGCCAGTGCAGCGTGCTGCAGGGTCCTGGGCCTGGAGACAGTGCTGCGAGGCCAGAGCCCCTAGGTGGGGCACGAAGCCCAGTCAAAGCATTGCAGTGCCTGCCTGTCCCCACCCACGGCCACTGGTCATGGAGCCTCATAGTCCAGCAGTAAACTTTCCATTAGCCAAACCACTGTGTGGGAAAAAACTGTGGTGTATTTCACCCCTGGGCCAGATCGAGTTTCTGAGTTTTATTTAACTACAATTATGACCGTGAACTTTTCAGTCCAGTTTGCTGGGCCCACTGCTGCCTGTGCCTGATGGAGACCTTAAAATCCTCAGCACGAACCTTGGGCCTCATGGCCGAGGCTGTGGCCCAGGTATCATCCACCAAAAGAGCCCAGAGCTGAGTCTGGACCTCGAGCCGGGCACTGCCACTGTCACCATCTGTCCCACCTTTAATCTCTGTGCTGAATTCCTTAATCACAGGCCACATCATCCCCTCTTTTGTTCCTTCATCATCTTACATTTATACACGACACCAAGAGAACCCTCACGATTTTGAAATAAAAGTGAAGGTGGAAACTTGTTTTCCTGAGTGGAGCAGAGAGTGGAAGATGGAGTGGAGAAGAGTGGAGGAGACAGTGAAGGAGGGAGTGGAGGATGGAGTGGAGGAGAGAGTGGAGGATGGAGTGGAGGAGAGTGGAGGATGGAGTAAAGGAGGGAGTGGAGGATGGAATGGAAGATGGAGTGGAGGAGAGAGTGAAGGAGGGAGTAGAGGAGACAGTGGAGAATGGAGTGGAGGAGGAAGTGAAGGATGGAGTGGAAGATGGAATGGAGGATGGAGTGGAGGAGGGAGTGGAGGATGGAGGAGGGAGTGCAGCAGGGAGTAGAGACAGTGGAGTATGGAGTGGAGGAGAGAGTGGAGGAGGGAGTGGAGGATGGAGTGGAGGAGGGAGTGGAGGAGACAGTGGAGGAGGGAGTGGAGGAGGGAGTGGAGGAGACAGTGGAGGAGGGAGTGGAGGATGGGGTGGAGGATGGAATGGAGGATGGAGTGGAGGAGGGAGTGGAGGAGGGAGTGGAGGATGGAGTGGAGGAGGGAGTGGAGGATGGAGTGGAGGAGAGAGTGGAGGATGGAGTGGAGGAGACAGTGGAGGATGGAGTGGAGGATGGAGTGGAGGAGGGAGTGGAGGATGGGGTTCAGGATGGAGGATGGAGTGGAGGAGGGAGTGGAGGATTGAGTGGAGGAGACAGTAGAGGATGGAGTGGAGCAGGAGTGGAGGAGGGAGTGGAGGATGGAGTGGAGGAGGGAGTGGAGAGGACGACGGAGTGGAGGAAACAGTGGAGGATGTAGTGGAGGATGGAGTGGAGGAAGGAGTGGAGGAGGACGTGGAGGATGGAGTGGAGGAGAGATGGAGGATGGAGTGGAGAAGAGAGTGGTGGACGGAGTAGAGAGTGGAGGATGGAGTGGAGCCTGGAGTGGTTTTGAACTCAACGAAAGAGGAGTTTGCTCCTAAGCAAACCGAAGGGGCCCAGCCAAATGCTGATTTCCCTGGAAGCACCCGAGCCCTGGGCATCCATCGGCACCTCCCGATGGAAGGGTAAAGGGCCTGTGGAGCGTTGGAGGTGGTTTCATAGTTAAAAATTTAAGGACCGGAGTTACACTGGGCTTGAAGGTGGGTTTTGAAGGAAGATGGGAGCAATGTGGCACACAAAACTCAAGCAGCAATCCCAAGTCTGAGTGACCAGGGTCAGTGTTTAGGTTATAAACCTTTGGATTGCTAGCGACACCCAACCTGAAGCATCTTTTTTATTTTAAAGGCAGGGATTTATTGGCTCAGATAAGCTGAGCGGGGCCGGGTATTGCTGGAAACAACCAGATTCCACCGGGCG
Organism: Homo sapiens; assembly: GCF_000001405.40. Taxonomy (NCBI): domain Eukaryota; kingdom Metazoa; phylum Chordata; class Mammalia; order Primates; family Hominidae; genus Homo; species Homo sapiens. The sequence continues at coordinate 231,380,489 of NC_000002.12, read as the reverse complement.
ATCGGCCCCTCTGCCTCTTCCTGAATAGCGGCTCTCACTCTCCTCCTGTACCATGGCTTCCTCCAGAGATGGAGGCCCAGCCACCGGCAGCTCTCATCTCAGCTTTGTCTTTGAAAGGGAAAGTGGGGGGTCCCATCTGCTCCCGACCAGGGCAGTCGGGCAGTTCCCATGTGGACCACATGGCAAGAGTAGGGAGGGGAGGCCTCTGCCTGGAGGGAGGCCTGCTCAACCCTCACCCTGGCCAGGCAGTGCCGCAGCTGCTGATGGCTCTGGGATCCCAGGCCACACCAGGGGATCCCCACGGACGGGCTCAGCAGAGCACCAGGATGCCCTGAAGCCCAAGTTCCAGGTGTTGTGTGATGCCACTCTCCACCCACCCTCTCCACATCACGGCCTCGGCCTTGGTGGCCTCTGGAAGCGCCATTGTTGATCGTGGCCCCCCTTACTGGCTCTAGTCGGCCTGACTCATGGACTGATTCTCCTTGAGATCTTTGTATTGACAATGGCCACTCCCTCCATTCTTCCTCTCAGCCACGGGAACAACAAACATCCAGTTGCCTGGGCCTCGGCCTCACCCCAGAGGATGGCCTCACCCTGCCTGACTCTGCTTCCTTTCCTAGGATGGGGGTTATTGGTCCTGGGGTCTCCTAGTACCCCAGCAGCCTTGCCCACTCACGTGCACGCATGCGGCACAGTAATAGCCGTGAGTCAGAGAGCGAGGTCTCCTCCCTGTCACTATTTCCAGGGTCTCTGGGGGAGGGAGGTTTCACAAAATCTGAAACTTCTCTCCTCTTTGGCCTGGTTTTTGCATTTTTCCACCTGACCACTACTTCATGCCCTTTTTGGAGTCTTGGCTGCTGCTGGGGTCTCCCAGGGATGCTGATTCCCCGTCCCTGCCTCCCTCCCCCTCCCCCAGCCTCCCCTGTCTCTGCGGCAGCCTCCTGGGCCTTGTCCAGGGTGCTCAGCGCACAGCAGCCGCCTCCTTGCTGGTTTGCCACACAGCCCCAGGGTAGTCATCCCAACAGGGCCCAGGTGGGATGCCCGAGGCCAGGGAGGGCCATTGGCCTATCCTCAGACCCTGGGGCCAAGGGCCTCCCTGGAGGCTGTGCACACATGCTTTTTTCTCTCTGTCGCCTGGGCTGGGGTGCAGTGGCACAATCTCGGCTCACTGCAACCTCCACTTCCTGGGTTCAAGCAATTCTCCTGCCTCAAGCCTCCTAAGTAGCTGGGATTACAGGCGCATGCCACCATGCCCGGCTAATTTTTGTATTTTTGATAGAGACAGGGTTTCACCATGTTGGCCAGGCTGGTCTTGAATTCCTGACCTCGTGATCCGCCCACCTCGGCCTTCCAAAGTGCTGGGATTACAGGCGTGAGCCACCGTGCCCGGCCAGCTGTGCACACATTCTAATCATGCTGTTCCCCTTTGAGGCGCTGAAAGACTGGCCTTCGGCTGGGCTTGGTGGCACGTGCCTTTAATTCTAGCACTTTGGGAGGCCTCACAGGAGGATCAATTAAGGATAGCCTGGGCAACATAGCAAGACTGTCTCAAAAAAAAAAAAAAAAAAAAAGACTGGCATTTGGCTGAGAATGGCAATGGTAATGGCGTCCCAAATCCAGGCCCCAGCCCTTCAGCCCCACTCTTCTTGCCTTTGGCCGAGGTACTTTATCCAGCCTCTACCCCACCTTCCCTCAGTAAACCCAGGGTCCCTGGTCCTGCCCCTCAGGGCCTATAAGCCACTGGGACCCTCTGCCTGGCTTCTCCCTTGAAGACGGTGCTGCCTGAGTTGAGGCCTGACTTGGCATAACTTGGAAACTTGCTGGTCAGAGGGTGGCACCCTGTATGCCCCTCCCTTCCAGCCTGGTCAGTGATCCCTACTCCAGGCTGTTTGAGACCCAGGCCACACTATCATGTATCCAGTGAACTCTTCCCCCGCCGGGAACTGGTGACTCATCACTGAAGACTTGTGACAAAGAGCAGCTCCACACCTGTGCACACTTGGGGCAGGCGTGTTTCCAGAGGCCCAGAGGGACAGCGAGAGCGTGAGCAGCAACACTGTGCCAAGCAGGAAGGTGTCCAAGTGACACCCAGGACAACTGGAAGAAGCCCTCGGTGATCACAGAAATGGGGAGAGGCTCTGAGCCAGATGCTGGAAGGTGAGCTGACACAAGTGCTTTGGGCCAGTGCGATCCCTGAGGACCTGTAGAAAGAGATTTGGGCAGAGTCAGCCGCTACCTCTCCATCGTGCATGCCACACCCTTGGCTTTGCTATTTCAGGGATGCACACTGCCTTGCTTCCTCTAACTCTCCCTGACATAGTTCCTGATCCACCCAACATCCTGCCTCTGAGGCTGCACCGTCTTGCACGGCTTCTGCCAGTGGAGTGCTGGTAAACATTTAATAACCGGCTCTTGGGGGTGGGGGCTAAAGCTCTGGTTTGTGGTGCTTGCCAATTTCTGTGGTGTAAATACCCCCACCATGGCCAGTTTCAAGCTACCAAAATGATGTCACTGAACACAGAGCTGGGAAGAGATGTCCAGCAGCCTTTGTTAATTCTGTCATATTTCCACCATACAGATGCAACAGATGTGAATAACCTCCAGGACTGAGGACAGTGGATGCAGGAAAATCCTTAGGAAAGGATGTTTTGAGTATTTATTCCCTTTGTTCTTAATAGAATTTATTTTACTGTAAGTTTATATAACTTAAGTTTTGGTAATGGCTATGTTTAAAAGCAGCTCATAGAATTCCCCCAAACTGGGCCGGGCGCGGTGGCTCATGCCTGTAATCCCAGCACTTTGGAAGGCCAAGGTGGGCGGATTATCTGAGGTCAGGAGTTCGAGACCAGCCTGACGAACATGGTGAAACCTCGTCTCTCCTAAAAATCCAAAAATTAGCCAGGCATGGTGGCACGTGCCTGTAATCCCAGCTACTTGGGAGCCTGAGGCAGGAGAACTGCTTGAACCCGGGAGGCGGAGCTTGCAGTGAGCCGAGATCGCACCATTGCACTCCAGCCTGGGCAACAGAGCGAGACTCTGTCCTAAAAAAAAAAAAAAAAAGAATTCCCCCCAAACTTAGGAATCAGCTCTGTGAGCTGTCCCAAACTGGCCACACACCACTGCCTCCTGCCCAGGGGCCAGAGGAGAGCCTGGTGGACTCCTTGCTCCCCAGCACCCCTCAAGATCACAACTTTGAGGCCTTTGCTCCAGCCTCCCTTCTTAGAGCTCATGCCACCACTTCCCTGTCTTCTCTGGGTCTCCCCTCTGACCTCAATGCCTTTGGCATCCAGCTCACCGCCTTGACGGGCACTGGTGCAGGCTGACCTCTGGCCAGTGCTCTAAGGAAACTGCTCTCAAGCTGGCCTTAGCCTGTTATCTTCTTCCCCACCTCCTCTATAGCCCGACCATGGTGACCGCCCTCCATCCCCTGCTTTCCTCCCTGGGTTCCAGAGCTTGCATCCTTAGTCCTCCCCCTGCATTCCAAGTCCTCCTCCCTGCATCCCTAGTCCTCCTCCTCCTCCTTCCTTGAAACTCCTGCACCTGCCTATCGGGGAACCTGCCCCAGTAATCACATAGGTTCTTTTCTATTTTTCCTAAGCGTCGGCCGGCTTGAGAAATAAAGGGACAGAGTACAAAAGAGAGAAATTGTAAAGCTGGGTGTCCGGGGGAGACATCACACGTTGGTAGGATCCGTGATGCCCCACAAGCCACAAAAACCAGCAAGTTTTTATTAGGGATTTTCAAAAGGGGAGGGAGTGTGCGAATAGGTGTGGGTGACAGACATCAAGTACTTAACAGGGTAATAGAATATCACAAGGCAAGTGGAGGCAGGGCGAGATCACAGGACCACAGGACCAAGGCAAAATTAAAATTGCTAATGAAGTTTTGGGCACCATTGTCATTGATAACATCTTATCAGGAGACAGGGTTTGAGAGCAACCGGTCTGACCAAAATTTATTAGGCGGGAATTTCCTCCTCCTAATAAGCCTGGGAGCGCTATGGGAGACTGGAGTTTATTTCATCTCTGCAGCCTCGACCATAAGAGACGACCACGCCCCCGGGGGAGGGGGGCCAGTTCAGAGACCCACCCCCAGGTGTGCATTCTCTTTCTCAGGGGATGTTCCATGCTGAGAAAAAGAATTCAGCGATATTTCTCCCATTTGCTTTTGAAAGAAGAGAAATATGGCTCTGTTCCGCCCGACTCACCAGTGGTCAGAGTTTAAGGTTATCTCTCTTATTCCCTGAACAATTGCTGTTACCCTGTTCTTTTTTCAAGGTGCTCAGATTTCATATTGCGCAAACACACATGCTGTACAATTTGTGCAGTTAATGCAATTATTACAGGGTCCTGAGGCAACATACATCCCCCTCAGCTGACAGGATTAAGAGATTAAAGTAAAGACAGGCATAGGAAATCACAAGGGTATTGACTGGGGAAGTGATAAGTGTCCATGAAATATTCACAACTTATGTTTAGAGACTGTAGTAAAGACAGGCATAAGAAATTACAAAAGTATTAATTTGGGGGAACTAATAAATGTCCATGAAATCATCACAATCCACGTTCTTCTGTCATGGCTTCAGCCAGTCCCTCCGTTTGGGGTCCCTGACTTCCCACAACACCTGCTGTCTTCTTTCTCACCCCCGGGTTCTGTCCCCAGTTTCCTATTTCTCTAGTCCCCCTTCTGAGATCCCATCCACCCCCAGGCTTTAGTAGACACCTTAAGATGACGACTCTGGATAGGGCTCTGTAGCCCTGACTTTTTGCTAATTTTGCAACCATTTCCTAGAAACCTGCCTGATGTTTCAACCTGGGGCTGGTGCTCCGGCCTGGACCATGCCATCCGAAAAGGCCAGAAATTCTCCCTAGAAGATGGATGGCAACTTGAAAGCCAGTGGGACCATGTCTCCACATCTGACACACTGCAGCCCCAAAGAATATATTTGTTCAATTGAATCTAAATGGAGAGGGTATACCACAATGGAAAAACAGCCCTAAAAGATTTGGTCCTGCAAAGCTCTGAACAGCATCTATGTGGTAGCTTGCAGCAGTATTGCCTCTGGTTCATTCGGGGTCCCTGTATCCACATCCTTTCACACAGACTTGGGCCTTGGCCATGTGGTCTGCTTTGGACAATGGGAGAATAGTGAACGTGATATGAGACTTGGGCTTGATTTCTCTAACTGCCATGGGAGCCCCGAGGCCACCATGTGAACAAGCCTAAGCCAGAGGAGAACCAAGGGCTCAGCCAACAGCCAACTACCAGACATGAGCGAAGCCCCTGACTGCCCTCTGACCATAAGACATAGTTGAGTTCAGCCAAGCCCAGCAGAAGAATCGCCTGTCCGTGCCCAGCCCCCATCACTGATCCAAATCATTATAAAGCTAATACATTTGTTGGTTTAAGCCACTAAGTTTCAGAGGTAGTTTGTTAATATGCAAAAGCTAACCTAATCACTTCTTAGAACAGCACACCCCAAATAGTATCTGGAGAGATAAAGCTAGGCAAACAGGCACACCACCAGCCCCAGGCTGTGCTATCAGGCACTGTGGGAGGGACAGGAGGATCCCCCAGATTCTAGGCCAGGAGAGAGGGGTGAGGTATTCACCTTGCATACAAAATTTAAAGGGCTACCCCAAAACTCAGTAATGAAGACACATGATGTAATATTTTAATGTAATATTTAAAAAAAATCAAATTGGTATCTCTGGTCCACGTCCCAGCTGCCTATTTTGTAAATACAGTTTTATTAAAACTGGGGCTGGGATTAGGGTTAGACAAGCCAGGTGGGGTCATCCAAGTACAGGGCCAGACTTGTTTTTATTAAAAAGTTTGATATTTTATCATGGATTTCTTTTCTTTACCTTTTCTTTCTTTTCTTTTTTTTTCATGAACCTTATTTGTTCAACTATTTTATTTTTATTTTTATTTTATTATTTTTTTTTTAGCTCTTTTGATTTGGGCCAAATCTTTCCTCACCTATTGACTAATCTCTGGCATCTCACTGGATCTCAAACCTCCACCTGCCTATTAAAGTCCCCACCACAGGTCCTAATTTAAGCTCTTGCCAGACAGTTCCACCTTGCTGTGAATGCAGAAATGAGATCAAGTCCCACTCAGAAGAAACCAGAAGATGTGAGGTAACCAGAGGGGCGGCTCAGCCTCCAGGGCAGAGGAGCCATAATCTACCTGGGGCCTTACCATTTTCCAGAAGGTCCAAAGATCCCTCTCTGTGGCTTCCTTGGTAGTTTTCAAGGGCAAACCTTAGGCGCCATCTGCTTGGATCTCCATCTGGAGATCTGGCCTTTAAACAGGTTTACTTGTGTTTTAGATTCTTTCCCCTTAGACTGGGGTCATACCCATCCTCAGCAAGCTCATTGGAGCTGGTAGATAGTTGGAATATTTGTGAATAAGTTGTTGGTATTTTACAAAGTATATTTCTAGCTGTCAGCCTTGGAATGCAGAGGCGTGAGCCCAGGAGTGTACTCTCCCAGGGCGTGGCGCAGAGGCCTGGGTGATATTTTCAGCACTTTCCTGGAAGAACCACACATACCCCACCTGGTAATCTCAATGTATTTTTTTTTTTTTTTTGACGGAGTCTCTGTCGCCCAGGCTGGAGTGCAGGGGCGTGATCTTGGCTCACTGCATCTTCCATCTCCCGGTTCAAGCTATTCTTGTGCCTCAGCCTCCTTGAGTAGCTGAGATTACAGGCACCCACCACCACATCCAGCTAATTTTTTGTATTTTAGTAGAGACGGGGTTTCGCCATGTTGGCCAGGCTGGTCTCGAACTCCTGGAGGCCTCAAGTGATCCATCCGCCTCGGCCTCCCAAAGCACTGGGATTACAGGTGTGAGCCACTGTGCCCGGCCTAATCTCAGTGTATTTTGACCCTAAGTTGGATACTCCCCACTTCTCTAAAAGACTATCTTTTCTTCTCCTCAAACCATCAGACATCTACAGATCAGACTTTAGCTCTTTGGTAGGCTTGAGGGAAAAGTAGTGGTTGACTTCAGACGAGGGAGACACTGACCTGACCCCGATGATTCTCCCACCCCCGCTGGACTTCTGCTGCTCCCACACCAAGGGCGGGAAAGGCTGTGCCAGCCAGTGGCATCTGAGGAATCCGTAGGGGAGTGGACTTCTTGTGGGGAGCAAGAGAGATTTTTCCATTCCACTCCTTTGCTGTTTGTCTGCAACCACTCTACACCTTTTCAAAGTCTCACCACGGAGGAGTTGCATTTTGCGGACCCTCTGCTTTTCCTCTGTCTGCACCACTGACACCAGGGGCGAGCTTTGTGTTTGCTCCCAATGCCTCCGGGTCAAGTGAGGAGTTCAGAGAGGGCCTGGTGGCTGACAGGTCAGGACGGCAGCCTTCTTCCCTGAGCACAGAGTGGACACATTTCCAGAGAACCAAGAGGTGGCCACCAGGCCAGTCACATGACAGCATCTAATGTGCCCAGCCTGGAGCCGCTGCCAAGAATTCACGAGATGAACCAGGGTCCCGGCCCTGGATGAGCTTCTGGTCATCTCATGGGTAACCTGGCCTCCTGTTTACCTCCTCTGCCTGCGCTCCTGAGGAGTCAGGGGGCCATGGAAAAATCCAGCGCTTAGCCTTTATTTACGACCATTGGGACCAGAGATGTCCCCATTGAAGGGTCTGTGGGCAGATCAGGTGCCTGGGGGAGGGCACGCGACTTTTCTCTGCTTTCCATTTCCCTTCATACACTCATACACACACACACACACACACACACACACACACACACACACACACACACACACACACCACTAAATACTGATGGGTTTTATTTGATTTTAGAGCTTGGGTAACATCCAGGACACCTGTGACTTGCTGGTCCTGAAGGCAAACATCCTTCCTCTGTCCTAAGACTGGATTCTGATGACAGCCCTGGTGAGGGGCGTGCGCAGGCCTCCCCCGCGGGATGGGTCACTTTGCTGGTAGAGCTGTTTATGTTTATGGTCCCAGTGCAGGGAGGGAGGCAGAGGGTGCTCCCTGGTCACACTGGTGGCCTTTTTAAGGCCTTCAAAAAACGTGTGCAGAAGAGCAGAGCTTTGAAGAGGCTGGAACACACCATATTCTCAGAATTTTTTTTTTGGGGACGGAGTCTCGCTCTGTCACCCAGGCTAGAGTGCAGTGGCACGATCTCGGCTCACTGCAAGCTCCGCCTCCCGGGTTCACGCCATTCTCCTGCCTCAGCCTCCAGAGTAGCTGGGACTACAAGCGCCCGCCACCACGCCCGGCTAATTTTTTTGTATTTTTTTAGTAGAGACGGGGTTTCACCACGTTAGCCAGGATGGTCTCGATCTCCTGACCTCGTGATCTGCCCGCCTCAGCCTTCCAAAGTCCTGGAATTACAGGCGTGAGCCACCGCACCTGGCCTTCTTTCTCAGATTTTAACACAGGAAGAAAACACCAACTTTGCTGCTGAGACGCAGGCTTGAGAATAAAATGAGCTTCACCCTGAGTTCCTTCTGGGTCCTGGTAGTCAGCCCAAGTGAGGAGGGCTGGCTTCAGCAGCCTTGGAAAAGCCCTGCTCCAGGCTGGCCCTACACTGTCGCCCTGTTGGGGCCTGGAGGGCCAGGGCTGCAAATCCAGCACCTGCTGTTTCTGGGGCCAGAAGATCTCCTGCGGGCAAAAGCCACCCCTCTCCTCTGTGTGTGAAGGGTGAGCAGGAAATTCCCCTCTCCAGGAGGGCAATGCCAGGCTCTCCCCAGCCCTCCTTGGTGGCTCTGCCCTGGGAGAAAGTGACCCGGCTGGCGGGGCTGCGATGGCCTTGCTCTGGTGCTGCCTGGAGAGCCGGCCTCCCCTCAGCTCCCAGAGTCTTGTGGACAACTGTCCCTTCACATCCATCACCGGCAGCTGCTGCCAGCTGAGAGCGGGAAGCTGGCTGGTCCTCCGGCAACGTGATGGGGACACCCGGGGACATCCTTACTTCCTGTGAGACTGGCTGCCTGGAGAGAAAAGCCAGAGCAAGATGCCAGTGCTGTGTGGTCTCCGCACAGAATCCCCTCTGTCCCACTCAGTCCCTCTTTCAGCCGGCTCAGAAGCGAGGGAACCTTCCCTCTCCCAGGTCACCTGTTCTGTGGCCTGGGCTCGACTGGCGGGCCGGCTCTTTCCTCACAGGAAGCAGGCTGCTTGGTGCGGGTCACTCAGTCAGCTTTGCTGGCAACAGCTCACGTGTTTGTTGAGCCCACAGGACACACAACGCCCATGGCTGGCTGAGCTGTCCACACCGTGGCCACGCTATGCTGCTAGATGTGGGGCCAGGCCAGCCACCAGCTGCTGGTGTCACTGTTGCTATGACTGGGGATCCCTGCCCCAGTGGCACCTTCCTCCTGGCCGAGCCTCCCCTGGATTTGCTGCACCTCCTCTGCGCCTGACCTGGGCTGCGACTGGCTGGGCTGGGGTTTTGGGTGTGTTTCCCAGTGGGAAGTGGGAGGGGTCCCAACCTGGCTCCCCAGCCATGGCCATTACCCCCACTTCCAACCCAGCGTGTCCCCAGCTGACCAGAGCGCCCAGGGCCTGGCCAGGAAGGTAGTAGGGTGGGGCGGGCTGGGGGCGGCCAAAGAAATGCGCATATCCTAAGCGGGACTCCTTTCGTCCTGCCTGGCCTTTTGTTCTGTCCTTTTGTTTTCCCTGTGTTTTGGTAAAGCCCTCTAGAAAGGTTCAGCTCAGTTGGGGCGTGGAGGTGGAGGGGCTATCAATTGGCAGAGGCTGGAAGGGGACAGAGAAAGACAAAGAAGTGGTCCTTACAGTGAGCCTCAGGTGAGAGGGTGAGAGAGAGGCCCCAGGGAGAGAGTGGGGGCCCTTGGGCCCATCCCATCTTCAGGCCCTTCTGGCGGCCCCTCCATCCAGCCTGCGAGCAGACACCCGCTTCTGTTTGACCTGGGGGTGGCCTGACCGAGGCTGGGCCAGGCAGGGACACAGTGGCTGAACCAGGGGCTGGACCACCTCCCACCAGGGCAGGTCCGAGTTTCAGGGCCAACCCCGGGGCAGCAGGGCCAGCTCAGGGCCAACTCTGTGAGCTCCACAGAGGGAAGTGGGGAGGGGCTTCTCTCTCAGTGACCTGCCTGGAGGTCTCACTCCTCAGCTTGAGTTTGAGTCACTGAGGCCAAAGGGAATTTAATAGGAAGGAAGATTCATGCAGAACCGGTCCCTGGAGGAAAGGAAGCCACCTGCTGGGGCCTGGTTGTGTGGGGAAGGGAAGCAGGCCTTCTGCCCTTCTGGCCTGGCCTGGTACACACAGGAGCACGGGGCCAAATATAGCAGCAAAATGCCCTTCCCTGCAGGTTGGCGGGTGGCCAGGCTCCCACGCCAGTGGGGCCCAGGCTGACTTACTCGGCAGGCCCCTTGTGGAGGACGCTGTGGAGCCGGGGCGGCTGGCCTGCTGGGGGCCACACGAAGAGAACAGAGGGGCCAGAACTGACGCCTTTGCCTTGGGTGGGTTCCAGTCCAGCATCTCTGGAGTGCAGGGGGCCCGGGGCTTGCAGGTGAAGGCTGATGCACATTCCCTAGAACAAAACGTGCAACCTGGAGTCCCAGCTACTACAGCATTAGAAACCACAGGAGGGGCCGGGTGTGGTGGCTCCCGCCTATAATCCCAGCACTCTGAGAGGCCAAGGCGGACAAATCACCTGAAGTCAGGAGTTAGAGACCAGCCTGGCCAACATGGTGAAGCCCCGTCACTACTAAAAATTCAAAAATTAGCCGGGCGCGGTGGCGGGCACCTGTAATTCCAGCTCCTCAGGAGGCTGAGGCAGGAGAACCGCTTGAACCTGGGAGGAGGTTGCAGTGAGCCAAGACGGCACTGTTGCACTCCAGCCTGGGCGACAAGAGCAAAATTCTGTCTCAAAAAAAAAAAAAAAGAAACTGGCTGAGCATGGTGGCTCACGCCTGTAATCCAACACTTTGGGAGGCCGAGGCGGGCGGATCACCTGAGGTCAGGAGTTCGAGACCAGCCTGACCAATATGGTGAGACCCCCGTCTCTACTAAAAATACAAAAATTACCCAGGCATGGTGGCAGATGCCTGTAGTCCCAGCTAGTCAGGAGGCTGAGACAGGAGAATTGCTTGAACCTGGGAGGCAGAGGCTGCAGTGGGACAAGATCACGCCACTGCACTCCAGCCTGGGTGACAGAGTGAGACTCTGTCTCAAAAAAATAAAATAAAAAAAAAGAAAAAAAAGAAAGCACAGGAGGAAGGAGACGATGGGCATAAGGTGGGGAAATGCAGGCACCCATGGGCAAGAATCCCCATGCCATGGAGCCTTGGGTCCAGCCCCACCGCTCTCCAGATGGTGATTGCACGGGAGTTCCCTGACACCTTGGGAGCCTCAGTTTCCCTGCCTGTAAAATGTCTAAGGAACAGCTGTGAGAATTCAGTGAGGACATATCCTGGGCCCAGTTGTTAGCACCCCTTAGATGGAAGTATAGTTCTGGGAAGTAGGACTTGGGAGGAGACTGTGGGATTCTTTTGGTTTGATTTGTTTCTATATGCCTTTTTTTACATTGATAACATATCACTTTAATAATTAGAAAAATAGGCCGGGCGCGGTGGCTCATGCCTGTAATCCCAGCACTTTGGGAGGCCAAAGTGGGCAGATCACAAGGTCAGGAGTTCGCGACCAGCCTGGCCGGCATGGTGAAAACCCATCTCTACTAAAAATACAAAAAATTAGCGGGGCATGGTGGTATGTGCCTGTAATCCCAGCTACTTGGGAGGCTAGGCAGGAAGATCACTTGTGCCTGGGAGGTCAAGGCTGCAGTGAGCTTTGTTCACGCCAGGGCCCTCCAGCTTGGGCAACAAAGTGTGACCCTGTCTCAAAAAATAAAATTTTTGTATCACTCATAACACTATTCCCCCAAATATTTTCCATATTCTACCTTTTGCCTATGTGACATTGTTGCTTACTTGTGGGTACAGTTACAGGCTCCTGTTACCACTCTGCTTTTATGAGTCTCATCCCACCCTCTCCACACATCCATGCAGCCTGTCGTTAGCATTTACAAGAGTTGGGTATTATTTCTTCTGATTGATATACTCGGATTTAATAAATGGATGTTCTCCTTTTCTTTCATTCATTGATCAAGCTCACGCGTGCTGAGAATTCTGCTAGGGGCTGGGGATCAGAGATCAGGATGCATTTCCTGATGGGATGAGTTCACAGATACGCGGGGCTATCTGACCAGGGAACTGGGTTGTAAAATCATTACATGAAAGCTTTGCTGATGCTTTTTTCACACATACAAAGGAGCTTTGTACGTGGTCTAGTGAGGTGGTTTCTTTCTTTTTTAAACTGATAAATAATTGTACATATTTATGGGGTACAGTGTGATATTCTGATGCAGGTATAACGTGTGTAACCATCAAATGAGGTGTTTTAAAATTATTTGGTTCAAATTTTTATGTTTTACTATTCATATTTTGATATTTTGTGTCATTATTATAATAGTTAACTTATTTTAATTTATCTTTTTTTTTTTTTTGAAATGGAGTTTTGCTCGTTGCCCAGGCTGTAGTGCAATGGTGCGATCTCGGCTCATTGCAACCTCTGCCTCCTGGGTTCAAGTTCTCGTGACTCAGCCTCCCGAGTAGCTGCAATTACAGGCGCCCGCCACCACGCCCGGCTAATTTTTGTATTTTTAGAAGAGACAGGGTTTCACAATGTTGGCCAGGCTGGTCTCAAACTCCTGACCTCAGGTGATCCACCCACCTCTGCTTCCCAAAGTGCTGGGATTATAGGTATGAGCCACCGCGCCCGGCCAGTTAACTTATTTTAAATTGTAGTAAAATATCCATAATATTTACCATCTTTATCATTTTTAAGTGTAGCCCTGCCATATTTTAAGAAGGAACAACAGGAAACCTAGTAAAAACGACTCACATGAACAGCGGTACTATTCCCAGCACTGGTAAGGGCAGGGGTTAGTGCTGGGTTAGCCCTAGGACCATCGCATGGTCTTGGGGACAGGGCGGCCAGCACCAGCTAGCCTGGGAGGCAGCCCTCAAAGGCAGCCAGGGTCCCCCAGGGTTGGAGGAACTGGCAGTGCAATTCCAGGAGGGATAGCTGGCTTCCATATGGCGCCTTAAAGCCGGCAGGCAGCAAGGTCAAGTTGCAGGGTCAGGGTCAGCTGAGGTGAGTCAACAAGAAGCCCAAGGAGAGAAAGCCTGGGCGGCAGGGCCCAGGAATCCGTAACGTCCCACCTCAAGGATAACTGGAAGAGGACACCATCTTTTTGGAGAGCAATTTGCCACTGGGCATCAAAGCCCTTATGTGATGGTTATTAAAAATAATTTTTTAAAATTTGTTTTGTTGGCCGGGCATGGTGGCTCACGCCTGTAATCCCAGCACTTTGGGAGGCCGAGGCGGGGGGATCACGAGGTCATGAGATCGAGACCATCCTGGCTAACATGGTGAAACCCCATCTCTACTAAAAACACAAAAAATTAGCCAGGCGTGGTGGCGGGCGCCTGTAGTCCCAGCTACTCGGGAGGCTGAGGCAGGAGAATGGCGTGAACCCGGGAGGCAGAGGTTGCAGTGAGCCGAGATTGCGCCACTGCACTCTAGCCTGGGCGACAGAGCGAGACTCCGTCTCAAAAAAAAAAATTTGTTTGGTTTTGTTTTGAGACAGAGTCTCGCTCTATCACCAGGCTGGAGTGCAGTGGCATGATCTTGGGTCACTGCAACCTCCGCCTCATGGGTTCAAGCAATTCTCCTGCCTCAGCCTCCCGAGTAGCTGGGACTACAGGCACCCGCCACCATGCCCGGCTAATTTTTGTATTTTTAGTAGAGACGGGTTTTCACCATGTTGGCCAGGATGGTCTCGATCTCCTGACCTCGTGATCCACCCACCTCGGCCTCCCAAAGTGCTGGGATTACAGGCGTGAGCCACCGCAGCTGGCCCAATTTTTAAAATTTTATTATTTTTTTAGAGGTGGGGTTTTGCTAATGTTGCCCAGGCTGGCCTCACACTCCTGGCCTCAAGAGATCCTCCCACCTTGGCCTCCCACAGTGCCAGGATTATAAGCATAAGCCACCGTGCCTGGCCCGTAATGGTTATTTTTATGTGTCAATTTGGCTGGGCCATGGTGCCCAGATATTCGGTCAAATATTATTCTAGATGTTTCTGTGAAGTTCTTTTTTGGACAAGATGAACATTTAAATCAGTGGACTCTGAGTGAGGCAGATCACCCTCCGTAACATGAGTGCCCCCATCCAGTCAGCTGAAGGCCATAATAGAAAAAGACTGATATTCCCTGAGCAAGAAGGGGTTCTGCCAACTGATGGCCTTTGGACTTGAACGGCAACTCTCCCCTGACTCTCCAGCCTGCTGGTCTACCCCATCAGATTCTGCGCTTGCCAAGCCTCTCCAATCACATGAGCCAATTCCCTAAAATCAGCCTCTCTGTTTCCCTGGAGAGTCCTAACTAATACACCTTAAGCCTGTCCCCCTCTCCCTAGGACATGACTGTGAGGGGTGGGAATGAGCCTCCTCAGACCGGGGCTCCCTCTGCCTGGCCCCTCCCACTGGCACTGGAGAAAATAGCTGAGGCAGGAGAATCGCTTGAACCCGGGAGGCAGAGGTTGCAGTGAGCCAAGATCGTGCCACTGCACTCCAGCCTGGGTGACAGAGCGAGACTGTGTCTCAAAAAAAAAGAAAAAGAAACGACACATGAAGCCCCAGGAGGCCGAGGAGCTTGAGACGTGTCGCCAAGTGTGTGCCCATGGCATGGGAGCTGTGTGTGCGGCTGGGTCCTATCTGCTGTGTGTGCGGCTGGTTCCCATCTGCTGTGTGTGCGGCTGGTTCCTATCTGCCTTTATCTGCTGTATTCTGTTCTGGCCCGTTTCCCCACCTCTGCCCCTTTCTGGGTTTTCTTATAATCCAGATGAAATGTCCGCAGCAATAACTGAGAGCCGGTTATGAACCCTCTGGGCAGAGTCGCCTAGGGGCCCTGAATGCTTTTCTTTGGGCTTAATGCAAACAGAAGGGACACAGGATCCTCTGCTGGGTGATGCTTAGCAGCCGGATTATGACTCAGCAGCATTGCAAACACAGGGAAAGACTCAGCATCTCCCGAGGCATTTTATGGCTCTTCCCTCCCAACACAATGTTCCTATTGATACGCTGAGATCATATAAGGGCCAGGCTGCTCTAATAAACAATCGCCTACCTTGCAGAGCACCTCCCAACTTTCCCGTATATCACCCTTTACATTTTTTCCAGGACTCAGTCCCATGCGTTTCTGCGGCACGTGACTTCCCCTATGTCATAGGTGACTGCCGTCCTGGACTTCCTTTCCACATGGTTTCTCTGCTCTGCCCTAATCTGGCCTCATCTCAGGCCAGACCAGCGCCATTTCCTGGCCCTGGCTCCTGGCTGCCTCCAGGCTGCTGAGCTCACCATGCTGGGAGGATGGAGGGCCCTGAGGCCACCAGGGGCTCAGCTGACACTTACCAACAGCCGTCCACCCCACCTCCCACTGCATCCTTCCTAGAGCAGCTGGAGCATCCAATGATAGGGGCCCAGCCTCCTAGGTCAACACAGGCACTGCCTGAAGCAGCCCCCAAGGTGGTCAGGGTGCCTCACGGGGTGGGCTCTGCCAGGCCAAGGGGCAGCTCCCTGATGCTCTGCCGAGGGCCACTTTCTTTCTTTCTTTTTTTTTTTTGAAATGAAATCTTGCCCTGTTGTCCAGGCTGGAGTGCAATGGTGTGATCTCGGCTCACTGCAACCTCCACCTCCTGGGTTCAAATGATTCTCCTGCCTCAGCTTCCCGAGTAGCTGGGATTACAGGCATGCACCACCATGCCCGGCTAATTTTTGTATTTTTAGTAAAGACAGGGTTTCACCATGTTGGTCAGGCTGGTCTCAAACTCCTGGACCTCAGGTGATCCGCCCGCCTCGGCCTCCCAAAGTGCTGGGATTCCAGGCATGAGCATGTGTTGTTTCTTTAGCTGGATGCATGAATGTGCCATTGGGAGCTGCTGTCCATCCTCAGGGACAAACGTGAGGGGAAAGGCATACATGTAGACATATGTACAATCTCTTCTCATTTTAAAAAAGTCACAGCACTTGCAAAAGAATCACTTCTCATCTGTGGCAGGACAAGATTTTTGACATTTGCTTCTGATCCTGTCCTGGGCCTGAGTGCGAGGAGCTCCTCAGACAGAGCCACCTCCCTCACCTGTCCTCAGGCCACGTGGAGGTGAACTTCCAGGCACAAGCACCCCACACCTGGCTGGGGCTGCTCTTCTGGAGTGGCAGGGCCATGCTGAGAAGGACTGACAGGTGACAGTCAAGGCAGCCCTGCCATCACCTTCCTGCACATTCCGGGGTGCAACTCAGCCTCTGTGGTCTGGACTGACATACTTCTTGGGATGCACTTTGGCTCTTCGCAGGATAAATGCATTTGTTTCTTAATAAATACATCTTTAAAGCTGGTCAACATTCGTTTTATCCTGCTACTTAATCTAAGGAGTCTAAGAAGCTGACAAAGGAAAAGGAAAATTTCACCATGGGGGTTGGGGGAAGGCACCATGATTGTAGGGTCTGGGCTTTTTTTTTTTTTTTTTTTTTTTTTTTGAGACGGAGTCTTACTCTGTCGTCCAGGCTGGAGTGCAGTGGTGCGATCTCGGCTCACTGCAACCTCTGCTTCCCAGTTCAAGCGATTCTCCTGCCTCAGCCTCCCAAGTAGCTGGGACTACAAGCACGTGCCACCACGCCCAGCTAATTTTTGTATTTTTAGTAGAGACGGGGTTTCTCCATGTTGGCCAGGATGATCTTGATCTCTTGACCTCGTTGTCCGCCCGCCTTGGCCTCCCAAAGTGCTGGGATTACAGGCGTGAGCCACTGCGCCAGGCAGGTCTAGACTTTTATTCTCTAGCCTCCGAGAAAGTAATTTTACAGCAAGACAGTTGCTGGAAGTCACTGGCACAGAGCTTGAGTGGCCATTATCCTTAAAACACCTGAAAGCCGGGCTAAGTAAACAGTGCCATCATTCAGTCTACCACTGACCCAGACCTCTGCCCCAAGGGCTTCCTGGGCTAAGTAACAGTGCCATCATTCAGTCTACCACTGACCCCAGACCTCTGCCCCAAGGGCTTCCTGCCCATCCACCAATTCTTCTTCTGGGTATGAGACCTCACCTGAAAGAGCAAGAGAACAGAGCTCGGGGAAGTTGAGGGGACAAACGTTCCCCACCAAAGCCACATAGAGAACCACTCTTTCTCCCTTTCTCCTACTTGTTCATCAACAAGTACTCTAACCACCTAGGCCAGGTGCAGAAGCACAGCACAGATGCCCTGCACTCCTGGCACTCTGTGCACACTCCTGCATGCCCTGCATTCCCTGCACTCCTTGCACACTCCCTGCAGCCCTGCACTTCCTGAATACCTTGCACACTGTGCACACTCCCTGCAGCCCTGCATTCCCCGTATACCCAGCAGGCCCTGCACGCTCTCTGTGCCCTGCACACTGCGCTTGTCTCTGAGGCAGTGAGAGGCAGCCACATGACAACACAGTGGGGTCTCCGCCCCGTGGAGGGACTGTGGCTTCTGTGAGCCTGGCAGAAGGGCGTGACCCGCACTTTGGGGTCAGGCAGGAGGAAGGGATGCTTCAGTGAGACCTGAATTGGGGCTGAAGTCAGCCTGACAAGAGATGGCCACTTGTGATTTAGAATATTACAGCATTCTAGATGAGGTATACCATATACATATGAGGTATATATATATCTCTCATCTAGAATGCCGAAATATTCTAGATGACGTTGCCAGTGAGGGAGGAAGAGGAAGATGGAACAACTTGTACTTCTCCCTCCTTCCATCCTCTTCTTCCTCACACTGAACTCCCAGGCTTAAAATAAGAGCTGGCTTCAGTGACTGACACCAAGGGGAGGGCACCTCTGGGTTGGACCCTGAGGGGTCTTTGTGCTCAGTAGAATCTTGGGGGGCCAGCTAGGCAACGCTGCTTGATGTAATGAGGTCCCTCAGGGTCGGCTGCCTACCTACTGTGAAAACAGTTATTTCTGGGGAGAGAGGGCTGTCCCCAGTGGAGAGCCTCAGAAATGAACTCAGCATTTGCAGGAAGTAAAAAGAAGTGGCCTATACCGGAAGCGTAGGTTTGGCCTGGCTGAACCGCAGGGGAGGATCCAGTCTGGACTGGGGGCATGAGATAGCTCTAGCCCACTCCTCAGAGGTCTCTCATTTTGAGTCCCCATTTCAGGGGGATGCTGAGAGCCTGAGAACCCCTGGTCTAGCTGACAAGCTCCTCTTCAGCCACAGAAAGAGGGGAGGAGGCCCAGGTAGGGGAGGTAGGTCCCTGGGTCCCCAGGCAGGTTGGCAGTGGAACTGGAGGAGTCCAGAGGCTTGGCCCCTCCCCCAGTAATGCAGCCACCTTTGACCCCGTGCTTCTTAAAGATAGCTGGGACTGCCCCCACCCTTCCCTAGCCCAGGTCTTGAAGTCCTTCCCATCCTTCCCACAGTTCCGATTTCGGCTTCTAGCCCATCCCACCCAAGGAAGCTCAGCACACTTGTCTGCGCCCCCTTTCTCTTACATCCTCCTCCTGTCTGCCACTCCCCATTGATTTCTCTTCCTGCCTCTTTCTCTCTCCGATTTTCTCCACCAGTGGGTGCAGGTTCTGCTCAGTCTTCCTGCCTGTCCTCTCCGGGGGCCCCCAGAACTAAGCTGAGCCTGCTCCAGCCCCATATTTTACCGCAGGAGGTTGGCTTCCTTCATGGCCAGGAGGAAGTGGTGAGGGGCAGCTGGCATGCCTGGTGGTCAGGGACAGGCAGGGTCTGAGACCCAGGCCAGGCCCCTCTCCCTGAGCAGGTTTCTCCAGATCCAAAAGAAAGAGCTGGCGAGATTGGAAAGGTCCTTTCTAGACCCTAAAGAACCCCTAATAACCCACAGGGCCAGTCTGTGCTCACGTGGCACAGTGGAAGAGAGGACACTATTTTTTTTTTTCTTCTGCTCGGGGGTCCAGTTTTTTCTTTTCTTTTTTTTTTTTTAGTTTTTTGATTTTTTTTTTTTTTTTGAGACAGGGTCTCACTATGTTGCCCAGGCTAGTTTCAAACTCCTGGGCTCAAGCAATCCTCCTGCCTCAGCCTCCCAAAGTGTTGGGATTACAGGCGTGCGCCACCACGCCCCAGCCTGGAGGCCCAGTTTCTGTTTCAGGAAGTGACCTCTGAGCCAAACCATTTACTCACCTCCTTCTCCATCTTTCTGCCCTACAGCCCACTTCCTCCAAATGCAAAAAGCTGACAGGACACTGTCCCTAAGTCA
Source organism: Homo sapiens (assembly GCF_000001405.40). Classification (NCBI taxonomy): domain Eukaryota; kingdom Metazoa; phylum Chordata; class Mammalia; order Primates; family Hominidae; genus Homo; species Homo sapiens. Next base: position 231,361,186 of record NC_000002.12, on the reverse strand, counting down.
CCCCATCACCCAGCCCTGGACAAGTCCGCCTGGCAGTTTTGAAAACTAGTCCCATGGGCATGCTTCTGAGTGCTGTGTCCTTCCCGTCTGACTGATGGCTCTCAGGCAGCACAGCCCTCCGAGGTGGTCAGGAGTGGCGGCTGCACTCCGCTGGGAATCTTGACACTGCTCCTTAGCCTCCCCTGTCAGAGGCTGGGCCTCAGAGGAGCCTTCCAGGTCTCCTGGGTGCTCTGCATCCGGCGTGGGGCGCCCACTCCCAGAGCTCCGAGAGTCAGGTTCGAGGCCTTGTGATATCCCCCTTACCTGGTGGTCACTCCATTGCCTGGGTCCTGGGGCGCCTCCCTTGGCTGGCGGGGGGTCCCCGTGGGGGCTGGGCGAGGCTCTTCCTGGCGTCCTCTTGGGAGCCACTCTCCTGGCTTGGCGATGATGGCTGCTGGGGAGGAGGAGAGAAAGTTCAGTCCACATCTGCTCTGGAGCCCCTCTAAGGATGCCCTCTCGTGGGCTGGGTTGGAAAGCCAAGAAAAGCACGCACCCCAGGCCAGGCCCTGCGGGCTCCCTGGCGCCTGTGGCTTGGGATACTTGTTTACTCGTGCAGCCCGGGAACTTGCCAGGTAGCGGGGGATGGCAGGCACACTGCTGGTGGTGACAGGCACAGCCCAGGGAGGTTCAGATCACCCTGGCCGCTCAGCCTTCCTGGCACCCCTCAGCCTCTGGAAAGCCCTCAGAACAACAAATTGTCTCCCTGGGCCATGGCTAGGCGCCCCCAGACAGAATGTGGAGGCCCATTTGCTTATCTGAAACTCAAATGTAACTGGGTGGTGTGTAGTTTTATTTGCTAAAACCAACAACCTGAGAGGTAGGGTGCTCCTCACCGAGCAGCCCAAGGCTCCTTAATGCTGAACCACTCGGTACACCCAGGGTGGCCAGGAAGTGCCCTAACTCCCAGTGACTTGTGCTGTAGCTGATGCCCACCCAGAACCAGGCCACCCGGGACACGCAGGAGCCCTTCACGGGGAAGCAGACGGAGAATCCCAGATAGCATCATAGCATACGGAGGGCTCCCCAAGGGCCTGGGAACAGATGTTCCTGCATCTCAGATGCCACGCACCCCTTCCCCCACCCCGCCTCTCCTCTTCTCCTACAGCTGAAGGGGTCCATGTCACTGCTGCAGCGACACTGTGACAGAGGCTGCATCCGTGACTCCCTTAGGCCAAGCTCCTCTCAGCTCTTTCATTTTAGCAGCTCCTCTGTGGCTTTGCAATGTGATCTGTTTAATCTTAAATATAAAGGGATCTTCCCTGCAGGTTTCCCTGTAGCAAGGGGCTTTGACTTCCAGATAATTCTCTTTTGACCCAAACGAGAATCTATTTCTGATACCAGAACCCAGCGGGTGGCACTGGGCGGTCTCCACCTGGATCTGGGTCTAGAAATAGAGCTTCAGGACAGGAGGCACATGCTCAGTGTGCTTAGAATAAGGCCAGGAGAAAAAGCGTAGGTGTACAAGAGAATACTTGAGTGAAGTCACACCGAATTGCTGGGCTACACGCAGGGGAACCCCATTACAACGTGTGGAGTCACAAAGCTGTGCCCACGCCAGGCAAGTCCTCTAGGACCAGGACCAGGAGCTTCCCAGGGGGTGTGAGCGTAGGGGACGGGGTGGTCATAAAAAAGGAGGAACTGAGCTGGAGTGTCCCAAGACCATGAGGTGGTCTTGGTTCAACTGTCCCCTTCTCCTCTCCTACTTCCTCCAGCACAGGCCACACTGAAGACTTTCAGAGGTCCCACCAAGAACAAGAGACCAGCTGAGCACGGTGGCTCACGCCTGTAATCCCACCACTTTGGGAGGCTGGGGCAGGCAGATCACTTGAGGCCAGGAGTTTGAGACCAGCCTGGCCAACATGGTAAAACCCTGTCTCTACTAAAAATACAAAAATTAGCCGGGTATGGTAACACATGCCTGTAATCCCAGCTACTCAGGAGGCTGAGGCAGGGGAATCACTTGAACCCCGGGAGGCGGAGTTTGCAGTGAGCCAAGATCGCACCACTGCACTCCAGCCTGGGTGAGAGAGCGAGACTCCATCTCAAAAAAAAAAAAAAAAAAAAACAGGAGACCCCCCTAACTAAGACAGCCAGGAGCTAGGAGATGGGGCAGCCATGGGTGTGCACCGGGGTCTTCCTGGGACAGTAGTATCTCTTGCCTGCTGGTCCATTTCAGACAGGGCTGGGCATTTTAACTCCCAGGGCTATGAAGTCCCAAGGCATGTGATTTTGATATTGAAGATAGTCCTGGTTGGTGGGGAAATGAGAATAGCTTTCCTTAGGCCAACGTTCTGCAAAATGCTAAGCCATATTATTGGCCTTTTCCCTTGGGAACTATTTCCTGTTGGCATTTGGGGCTGTCTTTTGCCTAGAATGTACTTTCTGGGCCTGCACTCAACCGATCAAGCAGTTTGAGGGTCCAACAGGTTCCTCCTCATGAGTTTTCCCTGCGGTGCTGACTGAACGCAAAGCGCAAAGGCTCTTCCTCAAGAAACTCAGCGTGAAGGTGGGGGTTTCCACGGGGTCTCTGGGTGGGGCGTTAGTTCCCAGCACAGGCCAGACTCAGCAGCGAGCTGTGTGCAAGGAGACCTGTGGGGAGCGCTGCCTGGGGCCAGGATGGGCCTGGGGCAAGGTGAGTGAGAGAAGGGAAGTGGAGGGGGCCCCATGCCTGTAATCCCAGCACTTTGGGAGGCCGAGGCGGGAGGATCGCTTGAGCCCAAGGGTTCAAGACCAGCCTGGGCAGCACAGAGAGACACCTCTCTCTACAATCAATCAATCAATCAATCAATCAATCAATTGAAGTGGAGGGGAGGGATGGAGAAGCAGGACTGTCTGGAGGAAGTCAGAGCAAGCTCCTGAGCAGGGAAGGAATGAAGCAGAAGGCAACATGGCTCAGGGGTGCCCATGCCCAGCCCAGCACTGCCCACTCCCTGCTGTCCCTGCTGCTCATCCCCCTCCCCCTCATTCATACCCTGGCTTAATGGACTTAACCGCAGTCCCCCTATCTGCAAAGCCCAGATGGAGCACAGAAGCAGAGGGCTGTTTGCCATCCATCCCTTAGGCAGAGGCAGGTGACAGGACAGGGAGAGGGGCAGGGAGGCCAACTGGGGAGACGCAACAGGCCGTGGGCAGGCCTGTCTGAAAGAAGGTCAGAATGGAATCTACTCCAAGCGTGGCAAAGGCTTACTCATGACCCAGAGGAAACTGCACCTGGGGCTTGGTTTTTCCAAAGGAAGAACTTTTTGTCAAGTAAAAGGATTTTAAAGGAGACTAAGAGGGCCAGGCATGATGGCTCACGCCTGTAATCCCAGTGCTTTGGGAGGCTCAGGCAGGAGGATTACTTGAGACTAGGAGTTCAAGACCAGCCTAGGCAACAGCAAACTTCGTCTTTACAAAAAATAGAAAACCACTTTGCCTGGTATGGTGGTGCATCTGTAGTGCCAGCTACTCAGGAAGCTGATGCGGGAGGATCGCTTAGGAATGTGAGGCTGCAGTGAGCTATGACTGGCCACTGCACTCCAGCCTGGGGGACAGAGTGAGACCTTGTCTCAAAATAAAATAAAATAAAGTAAAATAAAATAAAATAAAAGGAGGACTAGGGGTGTTGGCCTGAGGCTCAGAGCGGGCCTGGCAGGGCCAGGGAGGGCAGTGACTATTCCTGGTCTCTGGCAGGTGGAGAAGGGCAGGGCTGCGTGGGTCCGTGTCCTGGGTCCCAGCCAGGCTGAGCCAATAGGAGCAGGCTTAAGGAAGGGACACTCAGAACACGGTCTCAGCATTTGGGGCAGGTTAATGGGGGCACTGACAGCGGGATTTGGGAAAAGCACTGCTCTGCCTCCAGCCGGTCCATCTGGGGGCTGGTGGGCAGCTGCTGCCTCCCTAGGAAGAAGCACTGGCAACCGCCCGTGACCACCAAGGCTGAGTGTCCTGGTGGGTGCCCACCCTGTTCATGCAAGAACCCGGAATGTGCCTGGGCCCAGACTTTGTCAGGGCTAAAGTAAACTGTTCTTGAAAACAACAATAACATCAACATTGCAGCAGCTGCTCCTTGGCCATTTCCATCCATGCCAACCTCAAGTGCCTCCGCCCTGCAGGTAACAGCATGACAGCTTCCCAAAGGCACGTCCAATCAGTGCAAAAATAAAGGGCCTCTCAGTGGTCATTTTGGTAAAGCAAGGATGTTACCGCTACGTTACCCTGAATGTACTGTGGAGCCTTTCAGGAAGTCCAGGCCTAAGAACTTGAAATGTTTTAACTCAATGGCATTCAGTCAAATTGGCAAAACTTTTCAGACGCCCCCTAAGACCTCCACCCTGGCAGCAGAAATCTCTGGATAAATTACTAAGCTGCTCACCTTTGGAGAGCATATTAATATTTACAGCTTTAGTAAAGCACATGTAAAATAACTGATGATCAACGCTGGCAAAACCTCTGAAACTGCTCATCACCAAGAGACCCAGGAGTTGCAAATAACCCAGCCAGTGCTGACTCGTCACTAGCTACCGCTCTGCACCTGGGCCTGGAAGCGTCTGAATCCAATTGTGAGCAGATGCAAGTTCTCAGATGTTTCTCAGACAGGAATCCAACCCGTTCCTCTGTTGTTTTTCCTACTCAAATGGAAATTAGAGTCTTATCTGAACTGCTCATAATCCTTTTAATTTCCTTTCAAAAATTAAAAAAAATACTTTGTACATTTCTGATTCAAAGTATATATATTTTTTCTGGCATCTAAAAAATACTTTTATCTCCCATCAGCCTCTGGTTAACTCAGCTGGAAGTTTCAAAGGCGTTTGGATCCCAGAGTTGTTTGTGCTCTTAGTTGCACATTTCTGCCTCCGTCCAGCCTTCCAGCAGGCGGCTGGCCTTCTCTGCACCAGAATCTGAGCTATCAGAATCAGGGTCACAGATCAACATCAGCCCGGCATTCCTCCTCCGAAATTTCACATTAAAGCCGGCTTTCACCAGTCAGAAATCTTGCCCCAGGAGCTCCCAGACGGGACAACAGGCAGTGCTCTGAGAAGGGGACGCAGAGGACCAGCCCAGCATGGGTCTGGCTGTGGGCTGGGAATCCCGTGAGCCTCTGTGACACGGGGCTGTTGCTGAGACCAGAGGGCTTCCCAGGAGCAGACGTGCGTCTGCCACTCCTGCTGCTGTTTTGCGTAGGTTCTAGACATCACAATCCCAGAACTGACCCAGTGTGCTGCCCACATTCTTACATGAAGAGGAGACGCAGGACTCCGGGGTGCTGGGCTTGCCCTCCCTGTAGACAGCCTCGTGAGCGGCTGGCAGGGCCTGCGGGTGGCCGTTTCTGGCGTGCTGGGCTGTCTGGGGAGGTGTGTGTTGGTCTTCCACCCTGGAGAAAAACATGAAAAACGGCAGTGAGTACAGCCAGCCAGGAGATTCGGACTGCCGACTGCCGACTGCAGCATCACAAATACAGGAGGGGGCGGTGCCTCAAAGTCTTGTTAAACCATCATTAGCATATCAGACCTTCTAAAGGGTCTTGGCAGGAGCCAGGAGGCTGACCCTGTGAGGCAGTAGCCTCCCCTTGTTCCTGTTAGCCCCCTTCTGTATTCACAGTGATACATGGCGTGGTGTATTCCTAACACACAATTACGTGTTACGACCCTGGGTGACATGGGACCATGACATTTCAAGCAAACAACGTAAGGCACGGATCTGCTGGTTTCTCCAAGGATGAAGCAGATGAATGAAGGGATGAATCCAACCAGAGAAGACATAACATGTCATGTCAGCCGTGGCAAGTGTTGGCCAAGAACGAGACTGCAGAACTTTCTTCTTTTTTTCTTAGAGACAGGGTCTCACTCTGTCGCCCAGGCTGGAGTGCCATGGTGCAACCACAGCTCACTTGTAGCCTTGACCTCCCAGGCTCAAGTGATCCTCCCATCTCAGCCTCTGGAGTAGCTGGGACTACAGATGGGCGCCTCCACACTCAACTGATTTTTTTATTTTTTGTAGAGACAAGGTCTCTCCATGTTGCTAGGACTGGTCTCGAACTCCTGGGCTCAAGCAATCCTCTCACCTTGGCCTCCCAAAGTGCTGGGATTACAGGTGTGAGCCACTGTGACTGGCCTAGAACTTACTTTCTTGTAACACTACCTAAAGGATGTGTGCAGAACAGCTCCTTTGCAGTGCCTAATGTTGGCACCCAAGCTGGGGGAGACACCTTCGCCCAGCAGACAAGTGCTGAGAGCTTCATTGCACCAGATCCAGCCAGTTGCAAGGGCCAGCTGGCTGGGACAGCCTCATTGGGTCAACCTTGACCACAGATCCCCGAGGAAGGCCCTCCAGTTATCTGTAAGGCAACGGAGCCCTCGCTCCCCCTTCAACAAGGAGATATGGGCCACCTAATCCAACAAGGGCTCAGTGGGGAACACACGACAAGCTCATGCCTGCCTAGGGCTGGACCCTGCAAATGGTTGTTTTTGAATGTCAATTTCATATGTCTGGCTAGGCGTGGTGGCTCATGCCTGTAATCCCAGCACTTTGGGAGGCCAAGGCGGGCAGATCACTTGAGGTCAGGAGTTTGAGACCAGCTTGGCCAACATGGTGAAACCCCGTCTCTACTAAAAATATAAAAATTAGTGGGACGTGGTGATGTATGCCTGTAGTCCCAGCTACTCAAGAGGCTGAGGCAGGAGAATCGCTTGAGCCAGGGAGGCGGAGGTTGTAGTGAGCCAAGATTGCGCCATTGCACTCCAGCCTGGGCAACAGAGTGAGACTCTGTCTCAAAAAAAAAAAAAAAAAAAAAAATTCACATGGCTCAACCCAAAGTCAAAGATAAGGAGACATGTAACCAGCCTGAGGGGGGCAGGAAAGTCTTCCCGAGGTGCGCAATCAGTCTTTTTTTTTTTTTTTTTTTTTTTAAATGGAGATGAGGTCTGTGTTGACTTGGCTGGTTTTGAACTGAGCTCAAGTGATCCTACCACCTTGGCCTCCCAAAGTCCTAGGATTACAGGCGTGAGCCACCACACTCCTAGCCAACTCAGTTTTGAACTCTTTTCTGAGTTTTGAACTCAGTTCTGCCAGGTGCCAGAAGAGGGAAGGTTTTCCAGCAGAAGTAACACCATGAGCAAGGTGAAGAGGGGAAAAAAATCTATATATCTATATATGGTGTGTGTGTGTGTGTGTGTGTGTGTGTGTGTGTGTATATATACATATATGCTGCATTGTTACAGAAAGATTTAAAACATCACAAAATATGGATGTCCCCTACCTCCCTCTCCTGAAAAGACCTGTGCGACAGTAGTGTGGAGGGGGCAGGGTGTCCTGGGGGGCTCTGATGCTTGTGGCAGGGGTGTCAATTGAGAAGCAGTCTGTAAGGCCTGGATTTAAACTTGATCCCCAAGTAATGGAGAACCAAAGGAATGACATTCCCTGCTAGAAACATCATTCCATCCACAGTCGTGGAAGGTGGCCGGTGGCAGGGAACACTGTTAGGAGGAACTCCCTGAGCCGTGAAGGCCAGTGGTGGGCAGGACGGGGTGGGAGGAGTGTGCAAACCTGCTGGACTCTGGCTTGGCTGTTTGCGGGCACTCATGCCATGCCCTGAAGCAGGGGACTTTGCTGCAGATCCAGGTTCTCTCTGCTGGGATTCCCTGGCCTTCCTGGTGTGGTTTTGCTTTTGTTCTTAGAATTGTCACTTTGTGGCCGGGTGCAGTGGCTCACACCTGTAATCCCAGCACTTTGGGAGGCCGAGACAGGCGGATCACGAGGTCAGGAGATCGAGACCATCCTAACACAGTGAAACCCCGTCTCTACTAAAAATACAAAAAAATAGCCGGGCGTGGTGGTAGGCGCCTGTAGTCCCAACTACTCGGGAAGCTGAGGCAGGAGAATGGCGTGAACTGGGAGATGGAGCTTGCAGTGAGCCGAGATCGTGCCACTGCACTCCAGCCTGGCTGACAGAGCGAGACTCTGTCTCAAAAAAAAAGAATTGTCACTTTGTGCAAATAGGATGGCTGCAGGACCTCCAAGCATAGCATCTCAAGCAACAGTCAAAGCCCAAAAGGGGAAAAGAAAGTACAGAGTTTCTCAAGCCCTTCATAAAAGTTGGAAAATCTTAGATCCCATGGCTGGAATGGATTGCATGCCCATTGAGATCATCATTGACAAGAGGAGTTAAATTTAAAGGTCTCTTGACCTTGTGATCTGCCCATCTTGGCCTCCCAAAGTGCTGGGATTACAGGCGTGAGCCATGGCGCCCGGCCAAATTTTTGTATTTTTAGTAGAGACGGGGATTCACCATCTTGGCCCAGGCTGGTGTGAGCCCCCGCGCCCGGCCTGGGAATGTAATTTCTAATTTTATGAATAATATTGCAACAAATAACCTTTTGTGTGTATATATGGTTATCTATTTATCTATATCTATGTCTACCTACCTACCTACCTATCTTCTATCCATCTATCTACCTACCTATCATCTATCTATCTATCTATCTATCTATCTATCTATCTATCTATCTATCCTGTGAACATCTGATTATTTCTCAGTATAAAATCCTAGCAGTGGGTGCGGTGGCTCACGCCTGTAATCCCAGCACTTTGGGAAGCCAAGGCGGGCGGATCACTTGAGGTCAGGAGTCCCAGATCAGCCTGGCCAACATGGTGAAAACCCGTCTCTACTAAAAAATAAATAAATAAAAAAATAAAATAAAATAAAATTAGCTGGGCGTGGTGGCAGGCGCCTGTAATCCCAGCTACTTGGGAGGCTGAGACAGGAGAAAGGAGAATCGCTTGAACCCAGGAGACCGAGGTTGCAAGAAGCTGAGATCGTACCATTGCACTCCAGCCTGGGCGACAGAGCAAGACTGTTAAAAAAAAAAATCCTAGCAGTGGAATTACTGGCTCCAAAAGTACTAGTGGCTGGGCTGGGCATAGTGGCTCACACCTGTAATCCCAGCACTTTGGAAGGCTGAGGTAGGAGGATTGCTTGAACTCAGGAGTTCAAGACTAGGCAACATAGTGAGACCCTATCTCTACAAAAAATTAAAAATTCAGCCAGATGTGGTGGCGCATGCCTGTGGTCCCAGCTGCTTGGGAGGCTGAGGTGGGAGGATGGTTTGAGCCCAGGAGGTCAAGCTGCAGTGAGCTGTGATTGTGCCGCTATACTCCAGCCGGGGTGACAGAGCGAGATGCTGTCTTAAAACAAAACCAAAAAAGTCCTGGTATTCTGAATGTGTGCAATACATACTGTCATTGTGTCCTCAAGAGGACTAAGATTCTAGATGTATCCACACTCCTGGCAACAGGATACCAGAGGGTGCTGGTGGTGAAGGGAGGGTCATAATTTTTTTTTGTTTTAGTTACGAATATTTATGTACTTACTGGTTCACCAAGCATATAATAACTCCAAATCAGTAAAAACGAATGTCAGAAATGGCAGCATGGCTATATAAATTATGGTATGTAAATATAATATAAATCATTAAATCATCTTTTACAGGATGTTCAACAATGCAAAAGAAAACAAACAAAAATCAAACTGCAAACAAACCATATATATATGTAGACACATACACAAACACTAAAAGGTTTCTCATTTGCTAAAAATATATGTAGGAAAAAACTATACTAAATGTAATACACTAAAATGATGATCATAATTCTCTCTGGCTGCTGGAATAAATAATTTTTATTTTCTTTATATTTACTTGTTCCATACATGTTTTGGACTACAAGTAACAAAAGTTCAACACCACTGGTTTAAACGGTAAGGGAAATGTAATATTCAACATAAACAGAATTCCAGAGGGAGCGAGTACAGGGTGGGGAATGCGAAGCTGAGTGACTTTGCTGCAGATCCAGGTTCTCTCTGCTGGGATTCCCTGGCCTTCCTGGTGTGGTTTTGCTTTTGTTCTTAGAATTGTCACTTTGTGGCCGGGTGCAGTGGCTCACACCTGTAATCCCAGCACTTTGGGAGGCCGAGACAGGCGGATCACGAGGTCAGGAGATCGAGACCATCCTAACACAGTGAAACCCCGTCTCTACTAAAAATACAAAAAAATAGCCGGGCGTGGTGGTAGGCGCCTGTAGTCCCAACTACTCGGGAAGCTGAGGCAGGAGAATGGCGTGAACTGGGAGATGGAGCTTGCAGTGAGCCGAGATCGTGCCACTGCACTCCAGCCTGGCTGACAGAGCGAGACTCTGTCTCAAAAAAAAAAAAAAAAAAAAAAAAAAAAAAGAATTGTCACTTTGTGCAAATAGGATGGCTGCAGGACCTCCAAGCATAGCATCTCAAGCAACAGTCAAAGCCCAAAAGGGGAAAAGAAAGTACAGAGTTTCTCAAGCCCTTCATAAAAGTTGGAAAATCTTAGATCCCATGGCTGGAATGGATTGCATGCCCATTGAGATCATCATTGACAAGAGGAGTTAAATTTAAAAAACTGGGCTAAATTAATCAAATCCAACCTCCAGGGCTGAGAAGGGTCCTGACCTTCCCTCAAGAACATGCCCACCATTGCCTTGAACATATGAAGTTTCTTTTTCTTTTTCTTTTTTTTTTTTTGAGACAAGGGTCTCACTTTGTTGCCCAGGCTGGAGAGCAGTGGCACAATCACAGCTCACTGCAGCCACGACCTCTGGGACTGAAGCAATGCTCCTGCCTCAACCTCCCAAAGTGCTAGGATTGCAGGTGTGAGCCACCATGCCTGGCCTCAGGTTTCTCCTAGCAAGGAAATGTATCAAACAAGACCTAAAGGACTGGAGAGTCATCCTGTACTTGCACACAGGATGGCTGTCTTCATTTTCTACTGCTGTTCTAACAAAGTACCGTAATATTTTTGTTTTAATTTTCAACTTTTAAGGCCAGGCACAGTGGCTCACACCTGTAATCCCAGCATTTTGGGAGGCTGAGGCAGGCAGATCGCCTGAGGTAAGGAGTTCAAGACCAGCCTGGCCAACATGGTGAAATCCCTTCTCTACAAAAAATTTAAAAATTAGCCAGGTGTGGTGGCGGGTGCCTGTAATCCCAGCTACTTGGGAGGCTGAGGCAGGAGAATCGCTTGAACCTGGGAGGCGGAGCTTGCAGTTGCCAAGACTGTGCCACTGCACTCCAGCCTGGGCAACAGAGCAAGACTTCCCCTCAATTTTTTTTTTTTTTTTAGATGTTTGTGGGTACAGTAGGTGTATATATGTATAGTATATGTGAATTGTTTTGATACAGGCATGCAATGTGTAAGAATCACATCATGGAGAATGGAGTACTCATCCCCTCAAGTATTCATCCTGTGTGTAAAAAAAATTCCAATCATACTCTTTTAGTTATTTTAAAATGTACAATTAAATTATTATTGACTATAGTCACTCTGTTGTGCTATCAAATACTAGGTCTTACTCATTTTTGTTTTAAGTTGGGGGTCTCACTCTGTTACCTAGGCTGGATTGCAGTGGTGTGATCTCAGCTCACTGCAACCTCCGTCTCCCAGGTTCAAGTGATTCTCCTGCCTCAGCCTCCCGAGGAGCTGGATTACAGGCACTCGCTACCGCACCTGGTTAATTTTTGTATTTTTAGTAGAGACAGGGTTTTACCACGTTGGCCAGGTTGGTCTCGAACTCCTGACCTTAAGTGATCTACCCGCCTCGGCCTCCCAAAGTGTTGAGATTACAGGCATGAGCCACCACGCCTGGCCCATTCTTTATGTGTTTTTTTGGCACCATTAACCTTCTCCAACTCCCCTAGCCACCACCCCCAACCAACCACCCTTCCCGGTCTCTAGTAACCATCCTTCTACTCTCTATCTCCATGAGCTCAATTGTTTAGATTGTTTAAGTAAGTGGGAACGTGTGATGTTTGACTTTCTGTGCCTGGCTTATTTCATGTAGCATAATGATCTCCAGTTCCATCCATGTTTTGCAAATGACTGGATCTCATTCTTTTGCACTGAATAGTACTCCATTGTGTATATGTACCACATTTTCTTTGTCCATTCATCTGCTGATGGACACTGAGGCTACTTCCAAATCTTGGCCCCTGTGAACGGTGCTGCAGCAAGCATGGGGTGCAGAGCTATCTTTGACACATGGACTTCCTTTCTGTTGGGTATATACCCAGCAGCGGGACTGCTGGATCATGTGGTAGCTCTATTTTTAGTTCTTTGAGGAATCTCCAAACTGTTCTCCATAGTGGCTGTACTAATTTACATTCTCACCAACAGTGTATGAGGGTTCCCTTTTCTCCACATCCTTGCCAGCATTTGTTATTGCCTGACTTTTGGAGATAAGCCGTTTTAACGGGGGTGAGAGGGTATCTCAGTGTAGTGTTGATTTGCATCTCTGATGATCAATGATGCTGAGCACCCTTTCATAAGCCTGTTTGTCATCTGTGTGTCTTCTTTTGAGAAATGTCTATTCAAATCTTTTGCCCATTTTTTAAATCCAACTATTAGACTTTTTCCTATAGAGTTGTTTGAGCTCCTTTTTAATTCTGATTATTAATCCTTTGTCAGATGGGTAGTTTGCAAATATTTTCTCCCATTCTGTGGGCTGTCTCTTCACTTTGTTGATTGTTTCCTTTGCTATAGAAGCTTTTTAACTTGATGTGATCCCATTTGTTCATTTTTGCTTTGGTTGCCTGTGCTTGTCAGGTATTACTCAAGAAATATTTGCCCAGAACAATGTCCTGGAGACATTCCCCAATGTTTTCCTGTAGTTGTTTCATAATTTGCAGTCTTACCACAAACTTAGTGACTGAAAACAACACAAACTTGTCTCATAATTATGGAGGTCAAGAGTTTACAATGGGTCAACAGGGGTGCATTCTTTCTGGAGGCTCCAGGAGAGAATTTATTTCCTTGCCTTTTCCAGTTTCTAGAGGGTGTCTGCATTCCTCGGCTCATGGCCTTGCGTCACTCAGACTTCTGACACAGTTGTCACACCTCCTTTTGTTTCTGACACTCCTGCTTCCCTTCAGTAAGGCCCCTTGTGATTACATTGGGTCCACCCAGATTATCCAGAATCATCCATCTCTAGATCCTTAACTTAATCACATCAGCAAAGTCCTTTTTGCCATGTAATGTCATTTAGTCACAGGTTGTGGGGATTGGGATGTGGACATCTTTGAGGGACCATTATTCTGTCTTAACATATAAAATTACTATGATGTAATGCTGCACAGTGACTTAACATTGCAAAGATTTCAATCATCTCCAAAACATTACATAAATTTAATGTGATACTAATCAAAATCCTAAAAGGATTTTTTAAGGAAGTTGCCAGACTTATTTTTAAATGCTTACAGAAAAATAAAGGTCTCTACATAGTTAAATCAACTCTGAAAGAGAAAGCCAAAGGCAGGCAGGGAGAGAGGATTTTTCTATGCAATATTTAGATATGCTAAGAACCTTTGCAATAAACACTGGTGTGGCAACAGGCAACTGGACAATGTGTCAAAATAGAGAGCTAGGGTGACTGGAGGGGATATAGAATTAAAGTGGCGCCTTGAATCAGTGGAGAAATAATGAGCTGTTTATAGGTGGTGTAGAGAAGAGTGGCTCTCTACATGGAGAAAAATAAGCTAGGATGCCTATCTTACATCACATATGGTAGTCTCTTATCTGTAGAGGATGATGTCTAAGACCCCCAGCATTCAAACTTTGTAGAGGTGAGCTCGAGATGCAAAGGACAGAACTACAAATTTTGCACATCAGCATCGTGTAGCCCGTCTGGAGTACCCAGTGTAGCTGGGGAGAGTGCCCACTGCATTCCATTGACCACCTCTTTCCCTACCACACAGCTTGGTCTGTGTGCTTCTGAGGGCAGGGAGTCACATCTTATTGATTTCTGCAACCCCAGCAATGAGAACACCATATGGCAGAGAAGTGATAAAAATGTTTGTTGAGACCTGATAAGGGAAGCTGGTGACGGGGCGACTGCATCATTATAGTGGGAAGGTCCATGGTTTCAGGAAAATGAGCTGCCCTCATTACCTGGCAGCTTGCCACAGTCAAAGATCTTGATGGGGCCACCCCCACATATCAGAGGGGAGATAGATGTGCTCCCAGGCATGGAAAACGTCCTCAAATTTCTCTTCAAAGAAGAACACCTGACCCAAGAATTAACTGTGCCCACTGGTTAGCCCCATATTTATTAGATTCCCTATCCTTATCTCTGATTAAAATAGCCTTATGTCATTGTTGCCTCTCATGAAAGCAGGGTTTTAATTATTTTAAAAAATAATTGAAAAATACTTTTAAGACAATGATTCAGTGTCCTCTTTCCCATGTCAAGCAAGAGGAATTTTATTAGTTCCTGTTGCTACTTCCATTTAAAAAGGTATTATATTTATCAACTAGATTTACTAGTAATTGGTAACTGACCGTATTCCTGGATGAAAACCAAATGACCCAAAACCACTCAGATGTAAAGAACCTTTAGGGGACAATTAAGGAATACTATAATACTATATCCATATTATTACTGTCAAATTTCTTAGCTGTGATAGTGGGGTTATGTGCAAAAGTCTGCAATCTTCTCTCAGATAGTTCAGCAAAAAAATGTATACGCATGTAAATTATGTATCATACACATAGAAGGAGAGCAAGAGAGAGAGATAGGGCACACAAATGTTAATTGAAAGCTCTTGAGTGTAATATTCTTTTTTTATATTTTTTGAGATAGAGTGTCACTCTATCGCCCAGGCTGAGTGCTAGTGGCGAGATCTCAGCTCACTGCAAGCTCCGCCTCCTGGGTTCACGGCATTCTCCTGCCTCAGCCTCCCGAGTAGCTGGGACTACAGGTGCCCGCCACCATGCTGGGCTAATTTTTTGTATTTTTAGTAGAGATGGGGTTTCACCACGTTAGCCAGGATGGTCTCGATCTCCTGACTTTGTGATTTGCCTGCCTCAGCCTCCCGAACTGCTGGGATTACAGGTGTGAGCCACCACGCCTGGCCATCTTCAGTGTAATATTCTTTAACTTTTCTGTAGGTTAAAAACACTGATTGTAAGTTTAAGAGAGAAAAGGGCATGTACTAGTTTATACATCAGTAACTAAAAATAAACACCTAGAAATATAAGCATATCATACCTAATTATGAAATCAAACCAAACAGATCTCAGAGCACTCATCTATGGCACGGGCCCTGAAACATTTATAGGACAAATCCCAGATGGGCAACAGAACTCATCAAGGAGCTGGGTCTGTCTTGCCTGGTGTCCCTGGTGTCCGTGGCAGCACAGAGCTCCATGAGGGCAGGCATTTCTGAGTTTTGTTGCTCAATTCCGTTGCCTGGTTGTTCATTACAAAATTGCAATAGAGTAAGACTGGAAAAAATAAAGTGCCCAGTTTCAGGGGATAACTAAGTAAAACACGGTATATTCTTTTAAAAATTACACGGCCATTATTTGTTGAATGAATATATGGAGGTTTTTAGCCTGCTCTCTGTAATATTTTGCTGTAATATTCTCTCTAGACAGGAAAAGAGAGGCCACCCAGACCACAGAAGTGGCTTCTCTACCGCCCACTGGACTGTCTGATCTGGGGCTCCTTAGCCCACAAGGGGTCTAGGCCCCCAGGGAGACCAGAGGCTCTACGTAACGAGACTAAAATTTCATTTCTATAAATGGGGTACGAGCAAGGCTATGGAAGATGAATAAGGCTCGGCAGCTAAAACAGCATCCAGTTGTTCCAAAAAGTCATCTAAAATAAATTGATTTCGAGTCTTAAACTGTAACATTCCAATCCCAACACAGGGCTTGGTGCTGTGACGAGAGGCCACAGAAAAGGCACGACAGGAGTCCTTCTGGAGAGAGCCCGATTCCTTTCAGGTCCCTTCTTTTGAAATTACTCTGGCCAACATTTGTCTTCTGAAGTGGCCCTGGAGATCCTGTAATCCAACCACTTCTCCTTCTGGAATAAAAAAATCCTGGGGGAAGGGAGAAGGACTCAACCTCTTTCCCTCCAAAAATCCCCCAAAAATAAAGAGATAAATGCTTTTCAAAATGAATGCTTTATTTTGAATTTTAAAAATACATACATCTTACACTGTAATCAAAACAAAGCTTAAGAAAGTCAATTCCCGCTTCCTTTAGCCCTGACTTACACTGGGTACCCGTTTCTGTGGCCGCCGGGGGTGACGGGCCTTTGCAGGGGCTCATCCCCGCTCCACTGCACATTAGCCAGCCCCTTCCGCCTTGTCTTCCCCGTGTTGGTCATGATCTGGTGGAAGGAAAGAGAAAAAAGGGCTGGAGAAATATCTATTAGAGAGCTGACCTAGAAGTCAAGCAGAATACACTGAATAAACTACTCTATAATGATAAGAAGCTTTGCAAATAAATGAGGAAGGATCATGTCACAAATTATTCAGGTAAACAGAAATTGTGGGGAAAAACCCTTTTTTTGCTAACGGTTTGTGTATCACACCATTTAGCAGTATAAATTAAAACAAAGTCAAACCCTAGGAAAAGGAAGAAAGCGGTTGATCTACTGGAACTCATCACATCTCTGAAAAGGACTGGGTTTGTAAAAATGAGAAGGGAAAAAAAGATGGACATTTGATTTCATAAAAATACGAACATTTCCACATGCGCAGTATGTTAAAAATAAACCAAATCAACAGGCAAACAACAAACTTGGAAGAAGTATTTGAAGCAAATTTAACAGATTAAAGGTTAACATTTTCATAGCTAAGGAGCTCCTACAAATCAGTAAGTAAAACACTAAATTGATAATCGGGCAAAGAATTCAAACCACCATGTCACAAAATAGAAAGTATTACTAGTAAGTAGAAGAAACAAAAAAGACCAACTTTACTAGAAATTAGAAACTACAACTTTACAAAACAAGGTGGCATTCTTCAACTATTATAAGAATGACAGAAAAACGATCCCGTCCACTGCTCCCAATAGTTTAAAACACTAGTTTAATGATTAACACTAATTAGAGAGATTGAAATTTGAGACAAGTCTTGGAAAACAATTTGGCATTTTATCAAGAGTTGTAAAAATGTTCACACATCCTTGAGTGTAAATACTAGTGAATGAATCCAAAACATGGAAAGCGTAAGATAAACAAGGTTGTTCATTATAAAGTTATTATAGAGTAAAACTGAAATGATCTAATGTCTAGTAACAGGGGAGTAAATAAGTAAAACATGGCATATTCACTTGATATATATATCATATAGCCATGTACAATGATAAAGAACAGGTTATGCAGAAATATATTTATTTAAAACATTAAATAAAAATCAGGTTATAATAATGTACATAAAGAATGCTTTTTTTTTTTTCCTCGAGACGAGGTCTTGCCATGTTGCCCAGGCTGGAGTGCAGTGGAGTGATCTTCCTGCCTTAGCCTCCCCAGTAGATGGGATTACAAGTGCACGCCACTCTGTCCAGCTAAACAATGCTTTCAATTGTGCTAAAAGTGCACAAAAAGACCTTGGAAAGAAATGAACCTTAACATGATTAGGGTGGCTCTACAGGACAGTAGAACTAAGAATATTTTTTTCTGCCACAATTTTTTGTAATATGGTTACTATTATGTTAATACTTAAGAAAAACTGTTTAAAAAGGAAATCACTGTCAAACTAGTGAAATGTGAATAAAGTCTGTGGATGATACCAATGTCAGCTTCCTGGTTTTGCTATTATTATGCTATAAATTACATAAGATATTAGCACCAGGGGAAATTATGTGAAGGGCGCCTGGGAACTGTCTGTGTTACTTTTGCAACTTCCTATCAATCTATAATTATTTCAAAACAAAAAGTAAATAAAATAAAAAACAAAAAACCAAACTTCTTGAACATTGGAATTTCATCTTTGATTTCTGCTGAAAATTCCTTTGTGTTTATCTAGTATCTTAGGCAGGGAGAGGAAGAAAAAAAGGGCCAGTGCCTACGGGATTCAGTGAGCCTCACTGGACCCTGGGACAGTTCTCAGCCAGGGAAGTGACAGGTGGGGTCAAAACCTGCCCTGGTCCGGGTACAGTGGCTCACACCTGTAATCCCAGCACTTTGGGAAGCCAAGGTGGGTGGATCACCTGAGGTTGGGAGTTCGAGACCAGCCTGACTAACATGGAGAAATCCCATCTCTACTAAAAATACAAAATTAGCTAGGCCTGGTGGTGCATGCCTGTAATCCCAGTGACTCAGGAGGCTGAGGCAGGAGAATCACTTGAACCAGGGAGGTGGAGGTTGCAGTGAGCCGAGATGGCACCATTGCACTCCAGCCTGGGCAACAAGAGCATCTCAAACAAAAACAAAAACAAAAAAACCCTGCCCTGACTAGGAGGTGGGGAGGGATGGAAAGAAGAGTGAAAGGGAAAAAGCCTGGGAGAGTGAGAAAGTGGGAGGCACCCAGCTTCTTGGGGGAAATGGAATGTAACTAAGCCACGTAAATAAAAACTAAAATGCAGTTGCGTCGCCTTTTCTGTCTCTAAAGAAATCTACCAAGGCAGGATATTTTCACTGCAACCACTTAACACTGCTGTCTGCTTCCACTGTAACTTCCCTTCCACCCCACTTCCCCGATCCAGGAGGATCTAGGGTCGGCTTTACACGCTCTCATCACGGTGCTCCAGGGTGACTCCTGCCTTCTCTTTTTCCTGTCCCTCATGCCAGAGGACCCCTGAGCCCTCCCACAGAGAAACACTAAGAAGGCAACTGGAAAAGGGGAAACAGTCAACATGCGGGTTTTCTCGAGCCTGTGACTAGTCCTCTGCCTCCACTTCCCCACTGTCAGCGGTCATCTGAGCTCGCTCCTCCCAATGTCTTCCTGGAAATGACAGAACATGTCACGTATTCGAGAATATTTTAGACTCTGCCAGTTATTTCATCTCCTTAAACTACAGAAACCTGGAAAATAATTTAAAGTGGGTGGCATTTTTCCTCTCCAGTGGATGGGGAAACTGCGTCTGGCCTGCGGGCCAGCACTGCCTGGTCTGTTGCAAAAATGCCTGAAGAAAGGCCCTCAGTGGAGCGGCTTCAGTGTGCAGGGCCTGGCAGTGCAGCTGCTTCCCAGCCTGTTCTTGCTGGCCTGGGCTTCCCCTCCCCTTGCTTGCAGTGTGAGCCACCCAGCCTACTCTCGGGCCCCTCAGTTGCAAAGAAGCCTTTGTGGGCTGAAGGATCTTAGAGGGTATCTTGTCCAACAACCTGCTGAGACAGAGCTGTTTATACTGAGTTCTGCAGAAATGCTTTGGGGTCTGGGGAGAGAGGAGAGCAAGGGCTCCTCACATCCACCTGTACTCATTCAGAGAACCCGGCTTTCATCAGTGTTACAGACGGAGATTATTTATTTGAAAGAAGGTTCTGCTACTAAAAAATGCAGCATATTTAAGCACAATAAAAAAAGAGCATATTATTTAGCTGAATGCAATTTACTCAGTAGTAAAAGTTGGTCAACATGTCAATTTAGGTAAAAAAAATTTCTTACTAATTGGTTTTGAGTATTTGTGAATCACTTAAAGACATTATAAAGCAGTATGAATTTCTGTAAAAAAATACAGGTATACTCTATCTATCTATCTATCTATCTATCTATCTATCTATCATCTATCTATCTATCAATCAATCATCTATATCTCTGTACACATAGAAAATAATCTGAAAGGGGAGGCAGACACTGTTAGCAGTCTACATAATATTCACCCTCTCCTTCCTGACCAACAGAACTGATTTTGTCGGCACGGCAATGTGTCTACTTAAAAATACTCACCTCCCAGACTCCCGTGCAGCTAGGGGCCATAGGACCCAGTTTTGACCAGTTAGTTAAGTGGAGGTCACCAAGTGGAGCTTCAGGAAAGCACTGTAGGGGCAGATTTGGCTGACCTGCACATTTGGCTTTCTTCCTGAGTTGATCACAGATTTGTGCCAGGAAGTGTACCCGTCATCATATGATCAAGAGGCAACAGGCATGTGAATGAAGACATCAAGGCAGAATTACCAGAGCTAATGAAACTTAATGTGTCACATGGTCATTTTATGTATGTGTAGGTTTTTTAGACAAGGTCTTGCTCTGCCACCTAGGCTGGAGTGCAGTGGTGCAATCATAGCTCACTGAAGCCTTGAACTCCTAGGCTCAAATGATCCTCCCGTCTCAGCCTCCCAAGTAGCTGAGACTACAGGCATGCGTCACCATAGCTAATTAATCTGTAGAGACGGGCCTTCCTATTGTTGCTGAGGCTGGTCTTGATCTCCTGGCCTCAAGTGATCCTCATTCCTCAGCCTCCCAAAGCACTGGGATTACACACGAGCCACCATGCCCAGCCCTACACTTGTTTTTTGTTTGTTTGTTTGTTTGTTTTGAGACGGAGCTTGCTCTGTTGCCCAGGCGGCAGTACAGTGGCGCGATCTTGGCTCACTGCAACCTCCGTCTCCCGGGTTCAAGCGATTCTCCTGCCTCAGCTTCCCGAGTAGCTGGGACTACAGGCATGTGCCACCATGCCTGGCTAATTTTTTGTGTTTTTAGTAGAGACGGGGTTTCACTATGCTGGCCAGGCTGGTCTCGAACTCCTGACCTCAGGTGATCCACTTGCCTCAGCCTCCCAAAGTGCTGGGATTACAGGAGTGAGCCACTCAGCCTGGCCTTAATTTAGATTTAGTGGGAAAAATTTCCATGATTCACAGTACCTTCCATGCATAGTCAAATGATTGCTATCTGTCCTGGTGTAGGAATGGTCTCTAGTAATTCTCTATGTTGTTAGAGTATTTGTGAATAATCAGTGTGCAAGAAAACTTCAAATGCCCCCAGTTACAGTTAAGGGGTGGCAGAATATGCCATTCCAAAATAAGCCACTTTGGCTTAGGATTATTTTGAGGTAAAGGCGCTTGATGCAAGAAGGACATTCTAATCTTCCTCTTTTCTTCCTGAAAACAAGCGATAAAAACTCCCATGTGAAAGATGCTCTCCGGGTACCAGAAGAAAAAAACCACATGTTGTCAGAGCTGAGAGAATTCTGTACAAACAGACCTGGGTAACATGATTCTTGTCTTCCTTTAGCCTCCCCATATAATTTGGTAACTTTTCCACCATTGCCTCTCTTTGTTCAACCTAGTTTAAAAGCATTTAGGTTCTGCCAGTTCTTTTCCCTTCGTTTCTGCAGGAGAGCTCCCATGTCACATAAAACTTATAGAATGTATATGCTTTTCTCCTGTGTATCTGTTTTACATCAATTTAATTCTCAGGCCCAGCCAAAAATGCTAAGGGAGAAAGGTAAAATTTTGCCTCCCCTATATAGTGTTTGCTGTTGTTGTGGTTGAGACAGAGTTTCACTCTTGTCACCCAGGCTGGAGTGCAATGTCGTGATTTTGGCCCGCTGCAACCTCTGCCTCCTGGGTTCAAGCGATTACTCCTGCCTTAGCCTTCCAAGTAGCTGGGATTACAGGCATGTGCTACCACGCCTGAATAATTTTTGTATTTTAAGTAGAGATACGGTTTCACCGTGTTGGCCAGGCTGGTCTTGAATTCAGGTGATCTGCCCACCTCGGCCTCCCAAGGTGTTGGGATTACAGGCGTGAGCCACTGCTCCCGGCCTAGTGTTTTTATGGAAGAAACTTGAGGATGGTTTTCTCAAATTTAATAACAAAACGGGTCATGCACAGTGGCTTACACCTGTTATCCCAGCACTCTGAGAGGCTGAGGCAGGAGGATTGCTTAATGCCACCCAGGAGTTTGAGGTGCAGTGAGCTATGATTGCACAACTGCACTCCAGCCTGGGTGACAGAGTGACATCATATCTCTAAAACAAAACAAAACAAAAATTTACATAAACATTTTCTTTTGTATTATTTTTTATTATTTTCTACAGGTGTTGATTTAAATTTTTGTCTTTTAAAAATACATATAATTTTTTTTTTTTTCACAAGACAGAGTCTTGCTCTGTCGCCCAGAGCTAGAGTGCAATGGCGCGATCTCGGCTCACTGCAACCTCTGCCTCCCAGGTTCAAGCAATTCTCCTGCCTCAGCCTCCTGAGTAGCTGGGATTACAGATGCACACCACCACGCCTGGCTAATTTTTGTATTTTTAGTAGAGACGGAGTTTCACCATGTTGGCCAGGCTGGTCTTGAACTCCTGACCTCGTGATCTGCCCGCCTTGGCCTCCCAAAGTGCTGGGATTACAGGCGTGAGCCACCACACCCAGCCTATACATATAATTTTTAAGTAAAAAGATTTACAGGGCATTACCATGAACTAAATGTGAGGCCAAAACAAAGTTTTTTAATCAATCAATATTAAGAAAATTTGATCAAATATGTTACAGGAAAGGCTAATCTTTTTTTCTTTCTCGGTAGAAAACATTAAAAACATCTTCATATATGTAGACAGAAACATTACATTTTTATGTTTATGCTTGTAAAACATTACTAATTTGCCATATACAGAAGCAATCAAAGGGCATAAAACAGAAGATATATGAAGAAAAACTATGAGGTGTTTGCCAAGCAGCTAGTTAATATAAACATTATTTTTCTAGATTTTATAATGTTTGTGTTATCTGCCAATTTTTAACATTTGAATTTGTACTTGGGGGGCTGAGGTGGGAAGATCGTTTAAGCCTAGGAGGTTGAAGCCACAGTGAGCCATGTTTGCTCTACCGCATTCCAGCCTGTGTGACAGAGCGAGACACTGTCGCAAAAAAAAAAAAAAAAAAAAAAGTGAATTGGGGCCGGGCGAGGTGGCTCATGCCTGTAATCCCAACACTTTGAGAGGCTGAGGCAGGTGGATCACTTGAGGCCAGGAGTTCGAGACCACCCTGGCCAACATGGTGAAACCCCATCTCTACCAATGATACCAAAATTAGCCAGGCGTAGTGGCACATACGCCTGTAGTCCCAGCTTCTTGGGAGGCTGAGGCTGAGGCACGAGAATTGCATGAACCTGGGAGGTGGAGGCTACAGTAAGCCGAGATTGCGCCACTGCACTCCAGCCTGGGCAGCAGAGCAAGACTGTTTTAAAAAAAAAAAAAAAAAGTGAACTTCACTATGATTTATGTTCTAATTCTCATTCCACAGAAGCACTCGCTTTGATACCTAATTTTGCATTCCATTATTTTAGAGGACGCCTCCCAAGCCCTTGTAAGCTGGAGGACCCACAAAGCCTAAATCTGCCCTTCTGGCAGGCAGGGCCACGCTAAGAGATGAAAAGAGCCTGGGCTCTGACAGCCCCCACCCGCCAGGAATTTTTAGCTGGATTGATAAGGTAGGACTCTCTGCTATTTGCAGCTCAGCCCAATCCTAACTGATAAGGAAAGACAACAAGAGATAGTGATTACCTCTGGTTGGGTAGACTTAGGGTTGGTCTTTACGTTCTGTTACTTTGACTTTTTAGAATAAGCATACATTTCTTTTGTAATTAGAAAAAAGAATAAGAAACAAATGGCAAACGAAAAGGATTCAAGATATTTTGGGGTTTGGGATTTTTCCCTGCTTACTTGGTTGTGTTTTCATGCACAAGAATATAGACATTGAGGCCGGGTGAGGTGGCTCACGAGGTCAGGAGTTCGAGACCAGCCTGATCAACATGGTGAAACCCTGTCTCTACTAAAAATACAAAAACTAGCCGGGCGTAGTGGCGGGCGCCTGTAGTCCCAGCTACTTGGGAGGCTGAGGCAGGAGAATGGCGTGAACCCGGGAGGTGGAGCTTGCAGTGAGCCGAGATCCCGCCACTGAACTCCAGCCTGGGCGACAGAGCGAGACTCTGTCTCAAAAAAAAAAAAAAAAAACAAAAATTAGCCGGGCGTGGTGGCGCGCGCCTGTAATTCCAGCTACTCAGGAGGCTGAGGCAGGAGAATCCTCGAACCTGGGAGGCGGAGGCTGCAATGAGCCAAGATTGTGCCACTGCACTCCAGCTGGGACAACAAAGTGAGACACTGTCTCAAAAAAAAAAAAAAAAAAAAAAAAATATATATATATATATATATACACACACACGTATAGACATTGAGTCAGTTCCAACAAATCCCCTAATAAGCAGAGGCAATGGCTCTTCAACCATTACAGTCACACAGGGCAGGAATAATAGACTGAAAAGGGATTAGGAAATGCCCCAAAGTGGAGACATATGTGAAAAAAAACCCGAAAAGTAATATTTGGAAACAGAGGCCTTTTCTCCTCTAGTTTTGGTTTTTGTTGTGAGCAGAGAGGGGCAGGAGCTCTCAGGGCCCGCTGCAAGCCACCTCATGCTTCTGCCCCTCTAGGCACAGCAGGACCGGGTACAGCAGGATCCCAGGGCCCTCTCCTGTCTCCAGGGGCTCGCCCAGGTCTGAGCCCAGCCTAGGAGGGCCTCAGCTCTGCACGGTGCCATGCTGCAGAAGACAGGCTGGGGGCAGCTCCATGAACACCCTGAGTTCTGTCCAAATGGGCCAAGTCTCCAGGGCCCAGACTCCTGCTTCAGAACCACTTTAGGGGAAAATAAAAACGCACACTCCTGGGGCACTGCCACAGCCTCAGATTCTCTGGATGTGGGGCCAGGAACCTGCACTTTAACCAGCCCTTTCGGGGATTCTTAGGAAAACTAAATGAATTTGGGTTCTCACTTGATGGAGGGGAAAGGAAGTGTGGAAAGGGAGCAATTAGCATTCACTATAGGCATTTCCCCCAAAACTGAGTCTGTGACGAAAACATAGATCATATAGTTATTACGAATATGTCACACGGGTCGCAGCTCTCTCAACTTGCAAGTACAGAATCCACTCACCTGACAACGGCCAGCGCTGCTGCAAGGCGGCCCGGCTGAGTGGTAAAAGGCAGGTGGGCTCAGGTGACGCCTGGAAGCGACTCAGCCTTTCTCAGCCTCAGCGCCCTCCTCTATAAAATGCAGATACTAGTGGAAGATGCCCCATAAGTTTGCTGGGAGGATTCAGTCAAATGGAGTTGTGTGAAGCAGTCAGCACAGGGCTTGGCCCATGGCATGAACTGAATTAATCTGAGATCTGCCTATTACTGTTAAAGGTCACTATGAAATTAAAAAAAAAAAAAAGCTGGGATTCTATGATTCTGTCATAAATGTTTATATCCTTTAACCCAGGTGATGGAGCTATTTAAGTCAGGGCATTCTTCTTAAGAAGAATTGTTTTCTATTTGTATTTGTATTTATTTATTTTTATAATAATAATTTATTTATTTATTTTTGCACTCCAAGGCTGGAATGTAGTGGTGCAATCACAGCTCCCTGAAGCCTCCATCTCCTGGGCTCAGGTGATCCTCCCACCTCAGCCTCCTGAATAGCTGGGACCACAGGTGCGTGCCACCATACCTGGCTAATTTTTAAAAAAATTTTAGGAAAGACAAGGTTTCCCTACATTGCCCAGGCTGGTCCTGAACTCCTGAGCTCAAGCGATCCTCCCACCTCGTCTCTCAAAGTCTTGGAATCACACGCGTCAGCCACCGCACCCGGCCAGAGGCATTGTTGATTACTCAGCACGGTATGCACGGTACTAAAAATTTCACAAATACTAGAGGCAGGAGAAGCAGGAGGAAAGTCAGCAGTCTTGAACTCTGACGTTCACAGCCTATAGCAGAACACAGCACATGGCTTCACTAGAATTACGAGTAAGCAACACATCTCATGGGGCCATCGCTACTCTCCCGCAAGCCTTGGAAGCATGACCTATTCTCTGTCCCTAGCTTTCTGAGATCGCCGTGCTCTTCAGCATTTTGCATAGCCTGTGCTCTGCAGAGCAGAGGAGCTGTGGGTAGACTTTGAGGGTGGGGACTAGCAGTGTGGCCCTGCAGGGAACAGGTGGGCTACTGGTCCAGGATCCTGGGAATAGCTTCCTCCCATCCCCGAACACTCTGGCGGACGCCCCAGTCGCACCTCCACCCTTACTCCCAAGCTGCTGGTTGGTTTTTAAATTACTGGCGTGCACCATGATTGGTTCCTGGGATTTGGTCAGGAGGTATAGGGTAGGGCCTAGACTCTATCCTTAACCCAGATTCAGTGGTCTGGGACTAGCTCTCACCCTGCAGGATCACACCTGCTGGCCACTGACCAGCTGTTATCTACCCCACTCAGCAAGAGCAGTTTTATCTGTTTGGTGCCTTCTGAAAACTTCTTGACGGTAACAGCTGTGTCTTAAGCCTCTTCGGCATTCCGCTGTGTTGGGCAGATGGCACAGGTTCACTCAAAGCTTTTTGAATACAATTTTCTGACAGAATGTTTCAAAACGCCAACATCTTTAGAGTCATCTTGAAAAATCTGCAATGTACCCAGTACATCGGAACAAGGGGCCTGGATCATGACTTTCAGGCACATATTTCCCAGTGAAACGTCTTCTATCTTGGTCAGAGCTCCTCAGCTTGGCACACACACAAAACGCGACAAAAATGTGAATTTAAAGGCTTTTCACGCACCACAAGAGCAAGGGCATGACAAGGTGGGAATCCCATCTTCTGAGATCCCCAACCCGGCACACAGAGGCTGGCAGGCTGGCAATGTCAGATCACAAGACCGGGTGACAGGGCGGTGGGGGATGACTCATGAACAGGGGCAGTGCTGGGAGTGCATCCGGCCTCAGCGCTTACTGCTCCACGTTAAATTTTCTAATCAAAATATTCATGAGATCCTATGGTGACCTGGTGTGGTCAGCTGAATGGTGGCCCCCAGAAGCTATGCCCATGTCCTGACCCCTGGAAACTGTGAATGAGTTTATTTGGAAAAAAGACCCTTGTAGATGTAATAAGGACCCTTGAGAGGAAGAACTCATCCTGGGTCACCCGGGGGAACAAGTGTCCTTACAAAAGACAGAAGAGGGGAAGGCCATGTGAAGGCAGGCCAGGGATTGGCATGTTGCAGCCACAAGCCAAGCATGGCCTGGGGCCACCAGAGGCTGGAAGAGGCAAGAAGGATCCTCCCATAGAGTCCTTCGGGGGAGCTGAGCCCTAAGGATACCTTGATTTTGGATTTCTGCCTTTCAAAACGAAGACAGAATACATTTCTGCTGTTTTAAGTCTGCAGTTAGTGGTGCTTTGTTACTGCAGCCACGGGAAATACCAAATTGTACTGGCTCTTCCCATCTTCACAGTGGATTCTTTCTGTGTTTCTCAGTACTCACATGTCCACCCATGGTTTCCTTCTAGTAAAAGGATCATCCATAAACATTTAGGAGGTTTAGAACTGCATATTATGGTAAGATGGTACCATTTCCAGATGCCATTAAACTGGGGTTACTGATTGATTTGAAAGCTCTGTGCCTTTGCGCCTCACCAATCTGCATGATTAAACTAGCAGTCTCACCACGTTCTGCACCTTGCTTTTTTGTTGTTACTGAAGATGTTTACCATATCAACAGAAGATCCTCCCCCATGGCATTTTGCCGGGGAGAGGTCCTCTAGATTATTAACTGAGCGCTGTATTCAAGCTTCTGTCTGACCTGGCTGCAAATGGCCATCCTTGCTCATGTTTACGTGCCTGCGTGTCTGTCTGTGCGGTAGTGTGGTCAGGGGTACATGCGTCGCGGTCTCAACAGGTATCAACACGTGCCCTCTGAGGAAGCCCCACCAATTTGCCTCCTCTGTTTTCCTCACCGCCTGCCTGTGAAACCAATCACACGGAGCCGCGTCTCTGACAAAACCAGCGCTCTTCCAAAGGGCGACAGAGGCCTAGTCAAGCCTTAGGCTTCCATCAACAACTTGGAACCTTGACGGCTGCACTTCTGACCTTTCCTGAGCACCTCCCTGCTCCACCTAATGTAAACAGCTCCACAGCCAATTAGACTACTTTAATCCTTGAGATGTTCTAAGGAATGGCAGGTACTGCCCAGCAACCCCTATCCCTGAAGGGGTTCGCGGTGGTTCCCCGCCCCCCAGCCTCCATCAGTCACCTCCCTGCCTTCACAAAGCAGCAGAGTGAAAATGTAGTGGATATGTTAGAACATGAGTCAAACCGAGTCACTTCCTTGCTCTCACCTCCAGTGGCGTCCTAGCTCTTGTAAATAAAATCCCAAACCCTTGCCATGACCTACAAAGCCACATGATCTGGACTGTGGCTCTCTCTCCAACCTGAAGTCCCACCACCAAGCACTGCACTCCAGCCTAGAATCCCTGAAGTTCCACAGATGATGAGGAAGAGATGAGGGCCAGGTGACCAGGGGGCCCAGTGTCCTGGGGAGGTGCCAAGGGTCTGGGTTGGGGGTGGCAACGGGACCTGGCAGGCACTTTCTGCTTCCACCTGCTCCCATAAAGCCTCAGGCCACCTGCATGCATCGTCTTTCTCCTTCCCAAGGCTCTGGCTGTGCCAGTCAACTGTTGAGACGCTGGCTCCACCCTTCTTCTCCAACACCAACCTGCTGGCCGTGAGGAAGACTTTGGGGTCCAAACAACTGACTGAAGCAACCACCAGCTTCAAAGTTCTAGGAGCCTCTTTTAGTGACTCTTCTACCCTATGTGCTCAGCTGTCCCACACAGGGTTTCAGTCTGAATTGGTCCTGGTTCCTGGCAATTGCTCCTCCCTTCCAGACCCTTACACTCCAGCATCCCACCAGGCCCCCCTACCTGCTCTCTGAGATATCTGCGGGCCCTGGCACTGCTATCCTCTCCTGAGGAGTGGCTGCTTCCTCCTGACTCACATCCTGCCCTATTTAGCTGGTGGGTCGTAAGCCAGTGGTTCTGGAGCTGGCTGAGCATCCGAGCCAACGGGAGCTCTCACAGGTCAGCTTAAGGACCCATCCCAGATGGTGACTCCACAGGCCTCTTGGATGCTTGCACTGACCACTGGCTCCATCCTGAAACACCTCTCCCTTCTGTTTCCATAACCCTCTTCAGTTCTCCTGAAGACGCAGTGACTACTCACTTTCTGGCCTTCTCGGGTCCTCTCCTTTCTCCCACTCCTGACTGCTGGAATGCCCCTCCTTGCTCAGCCCCCACTCTCTCTCCACACTGTGCTTCAGTGGGTAACCTCATGGGCTATGATGGTTTCAGCCAACACCTCTGCGCCAAGGACTTCCAAGTCTACCTCAGTATTCCCTTCCAATACATAAGGCATGCAGAAATTAAAAAGTGGGATGGTAGGCAATTGCTACTGGGGCCAGGCATATCTTCTGATGTTCCAAAGGCCCCTGGCATATGCCTTCTAGTTATATCTTTCCCCAATCCGTACACCTGTCTACTTGTGACAGGTAGCTAGGGCCACAGTGCATTTCAGGGCCACTGAGAGCAGACTGGCTAACATGGACCTTCTCATAAATACAGTATGGTAACAAACCAAACTAAACCCTCTGTGTCACTGAAAACACGAAATCCATCAATGTCCATCTGGCCTTTCTGTTTCAGGATCCCCACCCTTTGTGTGGCACTTACCCCCAGGTACTCCGTGGTCAGAAGCTTCTCTCCTGAGAGTTCTCCGAGCTGGGGCTGGATCAGTTCGTCTTTGTCCAGATCGGCTTCCATGATGTCATGGTCCTCCTGTTTCAGGAGACATGGGGTGAATGCCATGGACACCCTGACACAAGCTCCCAAGGCGTGGCTCCCCAGAATGTGTAGCTGTCATGAAACAAGAAGGCCTCGGCCAATCACAGCAACTTGCAGGCTTATATTCCAAGGGGGCTCAGGGGCAGTCTGCCTCTGCTCCCAACCTCTCCATGAAGACCAAAGGGACAAGGCCAACCAGCCTCTTCAGGAAGCTAGGGAGCTAGGGAGCCTCCACTGCTTAGTTGTGCGGAGGTTCCAGAAGGCTCTTTAAAGTCTCTCCTAATCACAGTTCTCAGAACTTCTCTCTCTGTGAGATCAAGGCACCATATAGAACAGCCAGTCAGTCATACACAGGCCTTATGGGGGATAGGGAACTCT
Source organism: Homo sapiens (assembly GCF_000001405.40). NCBI lineage: Eukaryota > Metazoa > Chordata > Mammalia > Primates > Hominidae > Homo > Homo sapiens. The sequence continues at coordinate 231,331,408 of NC_000002.12, read as the reverse complement.
AGAACAGGTCTGCTCATCTCAAGAACGTTTACAGCCAATAAGTAACAAGACTCAGCAAAAAGGGCAGCACCGTTCTGCTTCTGGGAAGACCCAGTGGATGTTCCTTTCCATATTCCTCCCACTACGTACAACCAAAAACACTGGACACTACCTATAAAAGAAACATAAAGTGACTCTGAAAGATGGAGAGATGAAAGCAGACTGCCTAGGGGCCTTGAGACCCAAGGATGACAGCTGGTGACTTCCCTGGGTTTTCTTTTCTTTTTTGAGATAGGGTCTCGCTCTGTCACCCAGGCTGCAGTGCAGTGGCATGATCACAGGTCATTGTGCCCTTGACCTCCTGGGCTCAAGTGATCCTCCCTTCTCAGCCTCCCAAGTAGCTGGAACTACAGGTGTATGCCACCACATCCGGCTACTTTTTGTATTTTTTTGTATAGACGAGGTTTTGCCAGGTTACCCAGGTTGCCTGGGTTTTCTTTTTGTTTCATATATGCCACACCTGGAGCCCAAGAAACCAACAACCCAGAAATGTCAATGGTGAAAACAAAAAAAGCCCCCCAAAGCCTGCTTCCTTTAGCCAAAGCCTGCTTCCTTTACCCAAAGCCTGCTTCCTTTAGCCAAAGGACCTGACAGGGGAAGGCTGGCATGACAGGAAGATTTTAGGAAATAAACACTGGAGAAAATATGGTAGCTCCACTCCCACCTGCGCCAGCAAGGGCCTCAGGAGCCCCAGCTGTACCCTCACCAGGCTGGGCCGCACACCCCAACACCCCTGGCGGTGGGTTCTCTATACCAGAGAAGGCTGGGTAGGCAGCAGTTTCATCCCTGCTGGGTGGTAAGGAGGCCCCCACCCCACAATGTAAGTGAAGACCAGGTGGGAGCCCAGACTTCTACCCACACTTGGCAGTGACCAGATGCCCCTCACACCCTTCCTGGGGTGGTGTTGGAGGAGCCATGTGGGGCGCAGTGAGTGACGGGGCACTCTCGTCCCTTCTAGGCAGGGAGGCATTAGTGGAGGCGTAGTGGGTTTCCGGGACCCCCCATCATCTGGTGTCAACCAGGCCAAGCATGGAACCTGGAATTCTACTCAAACCTGGCAGTAATTAGAAGACGAAATTGCGCCATCGTACTTCAGTCTGGGTGACAGAGCGAGATTCCGTCTCAAAAAAAAAAAAAAAAGAAAGAAAAAGAAAATTGAACACGCTAAGACAATTTTGAAAACAATATGGTAAGAATCGATCTACATGATTTCAAGCTATAGTAGTCCACATTGTATGCTACTGGCAGAGGGGCAGACACATAGATCAATGGAATGGAACACAGAACTCCAAAATGGACCTACACAAATATGTCCAGTGGGTTTAAGACTAAGGTACAAAAGAAATTCAATGAGAAAGGATAGTTATCTCATCAAATAGTGCTGGAGAAATTGAACATTTGTAGGAAAAGGAGTCCTGACAAGGCAAGAAAAGCAAATAAAAGCCATACAGATGAGAAAAGGAAGAAAAACTATCCCTATTTGCACATAATATGACTGTCTATGTAGAAATAAGGAATCTACAAAGAAACCACATACACACACAAAAAACCCTCCTAGAAGTAATGAATTCAAAAAGCTCACAGGATATAAGAAAGACATATAAAATCAATTTCTGTATACTAGTAAGGAACACACGAACATTGAAATTAAAAATACAATGCCATTTACAAGTGCTCAAAAAAAGAGAAATAGGCATAAATCTAACAAAACATATACAACATTTGTATGCTGAGAACTACAAAAATCTAGTGAAAGAAATCTGCCGGGCGCGGTGGCTCACACCTGTAATCTCAGTACTTTGGGAGGCTGAGATGGGCGGATCACCTGAGGTCAGTAGTTCAAGACCAGCCTGACCAACATGGTGAAAACCCATCTCTACTAAAAATACAAAATTAGCTGGGCGTGGTGGCGCATGCCTGTAATCCCAGCTACTCAGAGGCTGAGGCAGGAGGATCACTTGAACCCAGGAGGCGGAGGTTGAAGTGAGCCAAGATCACGCCACTGCACTCCAGCTTGGGCAAAAAGAGCAAAATTCTGTCTCAAAAAAGAAAAGAAAAAAGAAATCAAAAATTCAAATAAATACAGAACCACACCTCGTTCATGAATCAAGAAGACTCAACATAGTTCTCCCCATATTTATTTACAGGTGTAAAGGAATTTCTATCAAAATCCCAGCAAGATATTTTGTAGTCATAAGTAAGATTATTCTAAAATCTATATGGAAAGGGCAAAGAAAATTAAACACGTTGGCCGGGCGCGGTGGCTCACGCCTGTAATCCCAGCACTTTGGGAGGCCGAGGTGGGTGGACCATGAGGTCAGGAGATCAAGACCATTCTGGCTAACTAACATGGTGAAACCCTGTCTCTACTAAAAAATACAAAAAAAAGTAGCCCGCCGTGGTGGTGGGTTCCTGTAGTCCCAGCTACTTGGGAGGCTGAGGCAGGGGAATGGTGTGAACCCGGGAGGCGGAGCTTGCAGTGAGCCGAGATTGTCCCATTGCACTCCAGCCTGGGCGACAGAGCAAGACTCCGACTCAAAAAAAAAAAAAGAAAAGAAAAGAAAAGAAAATTGAACACGCTAAGACAACTTTGAAAAAGAAGAACAATATATGGGAAGAATCAATCTACATGATTTCAAGCTTAGTAGTCCAGATTGTATGCTACTGGTAGAGGGACAGACACATAGATCAATGGAATGGAACAGAGAACTCCAAAATGGACCTACACAAATATGTCCAGTGGGTTTTAGACTAAGGTACAAAAGAAATTCAATGAGAAAGGATAGTCCTTTCAACAAATAGTGCTGGAGAAATTGAACATTTGTAGGAAAAAAACTGAACCTCAATCTAATTCTCGTATCTTACATAAAAATCAACTCGAAATGAATCATGGACTTAAACGTAAAACTAACACATTTTTAGAACACCCATAAAAGGAAAAAATTGATAAAATGAATTTCATCAAAAAACTTAAAAACTTGTTCGGTGAAAAGACGCTGTTAAGAAGATAAAAAGGAAAGTTATAGACAGGGAGAAAGTATTTGGAAACCACATATTCAGCAGAAGACTAGTAACTAAAATAAAGAACTCTCAAAACTCAACATTCAAAATACCCAAACAATCTAATTAGAAAATGGGCAAAAGACATGAAGAGACATTTCACCAGGGAGAATATACAGATGGCAATAAGCACATGAAAAGATGTTCAATATCATTAGCCATTAAGGAAATGCAAATTAAAACCACAATGAGATATCACTACATGCCTATTAGAATGGCAAAAACAGGCCAGGAGCAGTGGGTTATGCCTGTAATCCCAGCACTTTGGAAAGCCGAGGCGAGCGAATCACTTGAATCAGGAGTTTGAGACCAGCCTGGGCAACATGGCGAAACACCGTCTCTACGAAAAAAACAAAAATTAGCCAGGCCTGGTGGCATGTGCCTGTAATCCCAACTACTTTGGAGGTTGAAGCATGAGAATCACTTGAGCCCGGGAGGCAGAGGTTGCAGTGAGCCGAGATCATGCCACCGCACTCCAGCCTGGGTGACAGAGCAAGACTCAGTGTCAAAAAAAACCAAAAAAACAAAAACAAAAAAAGCTAAACATGCAACTACATTTCGGCAATTTCTTAAAGAGGTAAACATGCAACTATACAGAACCAGCAATTATACTCCTGGGCATTTATCCCAGAGAAATAAAAACTTGTTGGCATACAAAAATCTGTATATGAATGTTTCATGGCAGCTTTATTCATAATAGCCCCAAACTGGAAACAGTAGATGCCCTTCAACAAGAGAACAGGTAAACAAATGTGGTACATACACACCACAGAATACTACTCAGAAAGAAAAGGAACTACTGATGTACACAAGCCTGGATGGATCTCCGGAGAATGATGTTGGTGAAAAAAGCCAGTCCTCAATGGTTGCATACTATATGATTCCATTTCTATAACATTCTGGAAATGATAAAATTATAGAAATGGAGAACAGATTAGTGGTTGCCAGGTGTTAAGGAGGAAATGGCGGTGGCTGTAAAAGGGATCCTTCTATGAGGGATCCTTGAGTGATGGAAACGTTCTGATCTTGAATTAAAAACAGAAGAGTTAAAAATTAAAAAACGAGCATATGTGAGATGTCACAAGGCTCTGTATACTCGAACGCCGACCGAACGGCACACACAATCATGGGGGAGCGTGCACTGCCCCTTCCTCGTCCCTGCCAAAGCTTCCGGCCAACCTTAGACTGTCCTTTGCAGGTTAAATTACAAAGAGCAATACAAATATTAACTCAGAAAGAGGGAAGCTGCTGGCTATGGAGGGAAAAATGGGAAGGAGGGGCCCTGGAGGAAGGTGGCAGCCAAGTGCTGGAGTGGTCTAAGGGTGCAGGGGGAGGGCAGGCCATCATCTCCTGGTGACAGTGTTCCCTAAGATCATCTAGCCAGTCCTTCCCTTTGACTCCTGGCCCACCCAACAATCTAATGACTATAATTGGCTCCTTGACACTTGCCAACAGGCAGAGAAAGCTCTATTCTGCAAAAATGAGTACCCTGTCTTCATTTCCGACTAATTTCTAGTTATTCAGGATGTTCTGGTCTTTGGTGAGTTTGATTTGCCCCAGTCAGTTTCCAAGGAATATGAAGGCTCAACCTCCTGGGCCTGGAAGGCAGGTTGTGGCTGGGAACTGGGCCTTGAAATGTGATGCTGCCTGTCCTAGGGCTGCGCTGGGGGAAGCTACCCCGCCTCTCCACTCTCTCAACCACATAGTCAGTGCCACCTGCCATCACTAGATGGTGTCACCTTGGGATGGGCTGTCCTAAGAAAAGGGGATTCGACTTACTCTAGGCTGTCCCCAAAGACAGGCCTGAACCAGCAGAATAAGAGGCAGGCCCCAGATCAATCCAGAGCCTTTTCCAACAATCAGCACCATCTTACTCAGGGAAGGGGCTACTGAGGAGATGCTGCTCCTGCTAGCTTGCATTTGGGGGCATTTATTTGATGTCCCTTGTCATAGAATAATTAAGGAACCCACCTTACATTTCCATAGCACTTTACATCTTAACTTTCACAATGGCTTGGTGTGGATTTTCCTGGTGTGGAAACAGAGGCCCAGAGAAGTGACAAATCCACAGCAGTAGCCCAGCTCTGAGTCTAGGAATCTGGACTTTAAGCTTGGGGCAGCCCCTTTCTGCCCAGGTCTTTGACTTGGCCTCTTGGGGCCCCACAGAAGAAGCCTGTTTCTGAGGAGGTACAGGCTGGACAGCTTGGGTCCCTGCTGCCTGGCTAAGACTGAGCTCAACAGGACACAGAGAGTAATGGGAGGGAGGGCTATAGTGGCATCTGAAGTTCAGGGTCTCGTCCCTCTCTCTCCCCTTCTCTTGTCTAATCACAAATGGAGAATCCACTCTTGCCCCACCCAGGGCCCAGGCTCACAGTTACCACTGCGATTTAAGCTCTAGTTGGGACTCATGCCCTATGGTGAGGGCAGCCACCTTCTTCTGCTGCTGCACCTGAGTTGCCAGCTCTGCCAAGTGCTAGCAGACCCGCTGTCCTGAAATTTCCTTAAAGGTAATCCTGTTGTGAGGCCCTACCCCAAGTCAACTCTGGGACGGTTACGGAAGATTGAGGTTGTTGCCTTGGCTTAGAGTACTTCACCAAAATAACAACATCTCAGTGATCAAAGGGTGTGTGTGCATTTTATGATGAATTTTAGGAAAATGAGTACTCCTTGTGAACCAAAGCAGCAGCTCTGTGGTCTGAGTGAGTGGCAGGGAGCTCTGGGCATGGAGTAGTGTTTCACCTCTTCTCCAGGGGACAGAGCCTCAGAGGCCCCAGCTGGAAATGGGCATTGGAATCACAGTTTCACCAAGGTATTGGTGAGACACTACTTCCCTGCCAGGAGGGAATACGAAACATTAAGAAACAAAATAAATGTCCATATTCCATTTCAACGAGAAACACATAGTCAATGGCTAACTTCAGTCAATGCCAGCAAAAGTGTTTCTTTATCCTGGACAAGTACATATGTAAGACCCATTTACTTGCAAATCAACTTACATAAACACAAACTAGCAAACAACACATCTCAATCACAAGTTAAAGTTATTTATTCCATTTTATTTTATTTATTGTTATTATTTTCTGAGACAGGGTCTCTTGCTCTGTCTCCCATGCTGGAAAGCAGTGGCGTAATCAAGGGCCCCATTGCAGCCTCAACTTCCCAGGCTCCAGTGATCCTCCTACCTCAGCCTCCCAAGTAGCTGGGACCACAGGCATGTACCAGTACGCCTGGCTAATTTTTGTATTTTTGGTAGAGACAGGGTTTTTCCATGTTGCCCAGGCTGGTCTCAAACTCTTGAGCTCAAGTGATCCACCCCTCTCGGACTCTCAAAGTGCTGGGATTACAGGCATGAGCCACTGCACCCAGCTCGTTTTGTTTTAATTAAACAAAATTTTTTTTTTTGAGATGGGGTTTTGCTATGTTGCTCAGGCTGGACTTGAACTCCTGGGCTCAAGCGATCTTCTGCCTCAGCCTCTGAATAGCTAGGGTTATAGGCGTGAGTCACTGTACCTGTCTTCATTTTGGTTTATTTTATTTATTTATTTATTTAGTTAGTTATCTATTTAGAGATGGAGTTTTGCTTTTGTTGCCCAGGCTGAGTGCAATGGTGTGATCTCCACTCACCACAACCTCCGCCTCCTCGGTTCAAGTGATTCTCTCGCCTCAGCCTCCCGAGTAGCTGGGATTATAGGCAGGCGCCACTACTAATTTTGTATTTTCAGTAGGGACGGGGTTTCTTCATGTTGGTCAGGCTGGTCTCGAACTCCCAACCTCAGGTGATCTGCCCACCTTGGCCTCCCGAAGTGCTGGGATTACAGGCGTGAGCCACTGTGCTTGGCCTTTTTTTTTTTTTTTAATTAAAACAAAGCTGTTTTTTAATTAAACGTACTTTATAGGCCGCGTGGCCTATAATCCCAGCACTTTGGGAGGCCGAGGTGGGCGGATTACGAGGTCAGGCGTTCAAGACCAGCCTGGCCAATATGGTGAAACCCCGTCTTTACTAAAAATACAAAAATTAGCTGGGCGTGGTGGCGTGTGCCTGTAGTCCCAGCTACTCAGGAGGCTGAGGCAGAAGAATCGCTTGAACCTGGGAGGCGGAGGTTGCAGTGAGCCGAGATTGCACCACTGCACTCCAGCCTGGGCAACAGAGCAAGACTACATCACAAAAAAAAAAAAAAAAAAAAAAGTACTTTACAATTAAATTTGCTGAGAATTGATAGGCCCTCCCTAACCTCCAGAAACACAGGACAGTTTCTGCATTTGTTCCTAATATTTGCTACCCATTAATAAAAGTTAACTTGAATTGCAGCTTAGCAGTGTGAGCAGGGGGCCTGGGGCAGAACCAGGGCCCCGCAGCTGACCTGCTCACAACAGGGACAGTTGGCTTCCGCTGCCTCAGTTTCTCTAGTGCAACATGCAGGCAAACGCTATTGTTATTTCAATGTCAAATGCATAGATGTAAGAAAACTGAGGTGAAAATCATCACCAAATTGATGGTTCTTGGTTTAAAAAGTTTTGTACCAAGGTTCTAATTCAGAAAGACATGATTCTTGTCAGCGCCTCATTTTCTCTAGCTAGTAAATGGGATCACTTGGCTGCCTCCTTTAAAATCATGACTTACTGATGGAAGAAATTTCTTAAATTCTCTGCTTTTGGAACGCCATGATACTGTGTAGATATAAACAAGTCACTGCCATGGTTTCTGAGAAACACTGAAACCGGCGAAAAGGGAACGGAGGCATCCTTAGGGCTTGGGAGGGGAGAGAGCGGAAGCAAACTGAGCTGCGCTAGTTGAGGTGGGAAGGGCAGCTTAACAAAGAAGCCAGAGCTTCATTCAACCGTTCCCAGTAACACCTGCAGGCAGAGGAGCCCACTACCTGCGGTGGGAAATGTAAGCAGAGAACCTCCCAGCAATGAAGCTTGCTGATAGCAGGCGCTTGCTCCACTTTCTCAATCAGTGCCAGGCAGATGAAAACAACTCTGAGGATGTATCTGGACTTTTAATAATGGGCAAACCCAGAGGTGAGGCCAAGAGGCACCCTCTGAGAATGCCAACTCAGGCCTTCCAGCTGGGAGGGGAGCCACTGCTGCCATCAGTTCTCCCCCCATTTTTTTTTTTAAGAGACAGGTTTTTGCTCTGTAGCTCACGTTGGAGTGCAGTGGTATGATCACAGCTCACTATAGCCTCTAACTCCTGGCCTCAAGCATTCCTCCCACCTTAGCCTCCTGAAGTGCTGGGATTACAGGCATGAGCCACCGTGCCCTGCTCGGGGAAAGAATTCTGCTAGCCTCTCTCAATGCAAGCCTGGCAAGGTGCTGGGTGCACTGGGCGACAAGGGCACCAGCCACTGTGCTAACTTGTCTGAGCTGCTTGTGAATTCCAAACGAAACGACATATTTTAAAATCTACTTTGTGAAGTAAGGGAGTGATGGATAAAGAAATACTCAAGAATAAATGCCTCGTTAGGGTGGGTCTTAAATACCATTGTTGGAGGAATTTGACTAAAATTACTGGTCTTTATGTACCAGAGCAGAATGCATCAGATTACTAATGTTAGAGCTCAGTGATAACTGATTACTTCAAGAAATTAAGAATGCCTCATAAAAAAGGCGCTCGAGCTGAGATGAATTTAGATGTCCTAATGCGAAGCTTCCCCATGGCAGCTTGGTGACCTTATGACATTACAAGATGCTTAACTGGAGGCTTTCGATACATAATACTCCAGACAAACCAGATTCTAAGCAACTGGCCTGAAAACAAAACTAAGGGTGACCACTAAATGCATTTGAAAACTCAGATTCTTACAGATAGAATGCAGAGCAGAATGTGTTCAGGCGGTTTTACACATGACAAGTGAAAGTATCCGGTGTGCTTTCCACTTGAAATAATTATAAGACTTCTATAAGTAGTTTAAATTTGAGACACCTTCTCAGAACGCTGAATTGTAAATCTCACTCTTTGTGAAAATAAGGGAAAAACACTCCACATGGGAGAGCGAGGGTGGACTGAGGTGACCAGGCCAGGCAGCGTGAGGCGCTGACTTCCCCAGTGGAATGGGCCCTGGCCACGTGTGCAGCTTTCCTCCTGAGCACGTGCCCACGACTGCAGATGGAAGCACGTCCGGGATCCTTGAGGGCTCCCCGCGACGCGGAGAAGTCTCCCTCTACATTCATTTCCCCATTCACAAAAATGCAGCCCAGGGTATGACAGTTGGTTTCACAACCAGACCAGTTCATTAAATAAGGATATGACAGAAACCGGAGAACCCAAACAACCTTTACTTCCCTAATTCTCCCAGTCTCTTGCTTTCGCCGCTCAGTTTACTTGCTTAAACTTTTTCTGTACTCTAAGCAAAAACAGCAAGAAATGTGGAGATGATGGCAAAGTCGCCCTAGGAAAAGCAGGGCTTATCGCAATATTTAATACACCCAATAAGAGAAGACCTGGAGGCTCAGTGGGACAGGAAGTGAAAGAGCAGAAAGCTTCCATGAGGTTAGAGGGAGAGGGACCCAGTGCCCCAGCAGTACCACAGACACCGCGCTTCACATGGAGAAGAGGAAGAGGGTAACCGAAATCAGGGCCCCTTCCAAACAGGATCCTAAGAGTGTGCTCAGGACACAACGGGCAAAGGGGAACAAAAGACCTAGGGACCAAGGCAGGGTATGTCCCCGCCCCAACCTGGAGCAAGTGAAGATGGGCTAGTTAAGAAGAAACCACCACTCCAGGACTGGACACACTCCTGACCCAATGAAGGGATTTTCTTACATGCCAGCAGGAATGTCATAAAGACAAAAAAAACTATTATTCAATATAATGTCTATGTTCTGAAATACTGTTTAGATGAATCTTAAAGTTTCACAGAAAAAACCTCAGGAAAAACTCCCAGGCTGCTGCTACCCAAAGTGTGGCCTGGGACCAGCCTCCTCCCACCCCTCCTTTCCCCACTGAGGGTGCTCTACTTCTCTGCCAGCTGCTTTCCATCCCCGCTCCATCCGGGCCAGCCCTGGCCTTGGCTCTCTCTAATTCTGGCCAGGCAGCACATGAGGAACCTCCACTCCAGCAGACTTCGGCTTGCCTCTAGACCAGTCAGGCCAGTCTGTCTCTAGATCGCAAGGGCGGCGTTAAAAACAGCTGACAGGCATTGAGTCTGCCTGGCACTTGACATGGATTGTTTCATTTGATCCTCACAAGCACCTGATGAAAAGGGTATTAATATTCTCGCTTTACAGATGAGAACACTGAGGCTTGGTGAGGTTCACCAGCTTGCCCAAAGCCACACACAGCTGGTAAGTTGTCAGGCAGGACTCAAACACAGGGAGTTAGCTTCTGAACCCTTTCTTGGTGTTCAGATTCTGCCAGTCACTGACTCGACATTCAGCAAGTATTAACCATGCATCTATCATTTTTGTGGGTCTCTGGCAGGTATAGAGAGGCTTCCATGCTTGGCCCCACCTGTTCCCTGTTGCCTTGGACTTGGAATAAGGACAGGAAGAGCATGCTGATCAAATGCACACATGATACAAGACAAGGATGTGATCCAATACCTCAGTGAGCTGTGACCATCAGCTCACCTGCCAATAAGATGCCTACCAGGGATTAAGACAGGTCCCAGCCTTGGCTTTAATGCCACCCCCTGCCACTGCCTTTTCTGGATTAGGCTTATTCTATATAGCTCCAGAAGAAAGACCAGCGAGTGGACACTATACGGAAGAAAAGGAAGGAAAGGACACTATCTTTTTTTTTTTTTTTTGTCCATGAGGGGCCACAGATGAACTTGCTGTTCACATCTCTGTCATGATGATTTATCCCTATTTTTACAGATGAAAAAACAAATATAAATAAAAATATAAAGGTAGACAGGGTCTTAATGAGTGAGGCTTTGAATACTACCGTTAGCAACTTGAGATTGTGCCAAGTGATGGGGAGCAAGAAAGTGTTTTAAAAGGCATCATGTGAATGTGCAAATGGGTCAGCCCTTTGGGGAGCAATTTGGCAGGATTTAGTAAAGATGAGACCCTCATCCCCCTGCATCAGCAATTCAACATCTAGGTGTGAGCTGCAGAGAAGCACTCAAGGGCATATAAGGACACGAGGATGAAGAAGCTCTTTGCTGCACTGTGGAAAACACAGGAAAGGAAGGAGAAACACACAGGGGCTTATTCTGACAATGAAATACTACATACAGCAGCTAAGTGGGTGAACTGGGTATTGGGATGAGTAAACCTCTAACACATAATGTTGAATGAAAAAAGCAAGCCAGTAAACAATTCATATAATACTAGCCACTTATGTAAAATTAAAAACCATAACAGTGTATATTATGAAAGTACAGAATCATCTGTGGAATTAATACACCAACTTCAAGATAGTGGTTAATTCTGGGGAGAGAAGGAGGGGAGGGAGAGGAAGGGATACAGCCACAGCTGTCTGTTATATTATTTTCTGTTCTTTCTGAAAAGTTTAAAATGTTCCCTAATTTAAAAATTAAGTGATCATGTCCCCGTGTGGTCCAAGCTCTGCTTTAAGAAGATGGTCTGGTGGCCACATGCAGGACAAGCTGGGAGGGCCAGAGACCGAAGGCTGGGAAGTTAGTACAGAGAGGGGTGTGAGGCTTAAGCCAGGATGTGGAGCAGAAAGGAAATGAAGGGGAAGATGAAAGTGACTTCCAGAACGATGAGCCACAGTGTGTAGACACCATCTGGAAGATGACAGCAAAGTGTAAGGGAGAGGAAGAGTCCCTGGTCACTTAGCAGTTTAAGGAGCATGGGCGCCTGGGACCGCCAGGTGATTTATGAGCCTCAGGTGTTTGTTATGCCCACATCTGGGTTAGAACCCCTTACTAGTGCCTAGCATGGGGGTGAGATGCTGGGCTGAGCATTGCTCAGGTTCGTGGCAGTTAGTTTTAGCCCATTTAGAGAAACTAAGGCTTGTACATGGCAGAATCAGGACCCGAACAGGGCTCCTGATCCTAGGATGGGGGACACTTGGCAGAGCCCAATGGCCACTTCCACCTGGATGTTCATGAGCTCTACAAGGCTACCTGGTCCCAGCGCCTTTGGGCTCAGTTCAAGTCCCAGGAATAGCCCAGCCCAGTCAGTGACTTACTGACCTCACTCAGGCAGTTTTATTTCTCACTGTAAATTAGTAAACTAGCACTTTGATCACTTAAAAATGAAAGTGACCTTCTAACAGCTTCCCTCCTCTCTCAGGATAGAAGCCAAGGTCCTTCCCCAGGCCCTAGGTGATCTGACCTCATATCCAACTCCCTCCCTGCTTCTTCCTGTTCCCGCAAGGCCCCCAATATGCTTCTGCCTCAGGACCTTGCCACTTGCTCTTCCCTCTGCCCCACTGCTCTTCAAAGCACTCATGGTCACCTGGCTATCATCTCTGCTTATTTGTTGAAGGCTTGCTTTCTCCAAATAGGATGTCTGCTTTGCTTTTACCGCTATATCCCTAGGATCTAACGACTTCTGGCCCTAGGCATATACTCCTGTTCCTGGAACAGGAGTAGGTCAGGCAATTCCTCTCTACAGTTATCAAGTGCAAAATGTGATACGTTTACTAAAAATAATCATTCCAGGACACTGGAAAATGACCAATGGCAGGCAACAACTTAAGCAGTACTTGCTCAGTGGGGAAGTGCTAGGGCACTGGGTGAGAACTGTGTGTTCATGGCCTTCCTGCCTGGAGGCGTTCCCATCGTAGGCAGTGACACCCCAGGGCCTGGAGGTGTGAACGTGGTAGAGGGCAAGTGGCAGGCACAGCTGCTAGAAATTGAAGGGGGACAGCTGGAAGCAAGAGGGCTACAGAGGTTAAGAGATGTTACAATCTCCCCACATCTCTGACTGCTAAACTACAGGTACATGCAGAAAACCCAAGGAACCCAGAGGAAGCTAACAGTGTGGGAAAACTTGCAGATAATTTTTTGTGCTTGCAAATGTATTCCTCAATCCACACACAGCTCAAGCAGCAGAAGGTGGAAACCTTACTGGCTTCAGGCATCTGAGCACAATTTCCATCCCAATCAACAGTTAAATTATGGAGGGGAGACCCTGGGATTGGAGAAAATGATAGACACACTCATGGCTGCCTTCTACAGGGGAGACACATTTCTCAGTTTAAGAGCAGGCAAGTTAACTGCTTACCAAACAAATGAAAGCAACAGCCCTCAGGAGAGCAAAACGTAATCTAGAATCACGACAACACGTTATCTATAACGTCTGGTTGTCAACCAAATGCATTACTAGATACAGCAGAAACAAAGCGTGACCTGTCCTTGGGGGAAAAATAGACAAGAGAAACTAACTTTGAGTGGGCCCAGATGTTAGATTTAGTAGAAAAACACTTCAAAGCAGCTATTATAAATATGCTCAAAGAATTAAAGGAAAATGTGCTCAGAAGTTTTAAAAAAAATACTGAAAATCAGTGAAAAACGGGAAATCTCAACAGAAAAATAGACACTATAAAAAGGAACCAAATGGGAATTCTAGAGCTGAAAAGTACAATAACTGAAATGAAGAATTCAATAGATGAGCTCAACAGCAGATACAAAAGGGTAAAAGAATCAGTTAACTGGAAGGACGATCAACAGAAAGTATCCAGCTCAAAGAAGAGAACAAACATTGGATAAAAATGAAGAAATCCTCAGAAATCTGTTAGACAATATCAGCATTCTAACATGTGTGCAACTGGATTTTCAGGAGGAGAGGAAAGGGGCAGAAAATAACACTTGAGTAAATAATGGTTATACACTACTCAAATTTGGTTTAAAAAAAAAAAAACCCCAAAACAAACACACACAAAAAAAACACTGTAACTTATAGATCCAAGAAGTTCCAGGCCGGGTGCAGTGGCTCACACCTGTAATCCTAGCACTTTGGGAGGCCAAGGCAGGAGGATTGCCTCAGGTCGGGTGTTCGAGACCAGTCTGGCCAGCATGGTGAAACCCTGCCTCGACTAAAAATATAAAAATCAGCCAGGCATGGTGGCAGGCGCCTGTAATCCCAGCCACTCAGGAAGCTGAGGCAGGAGAATCGCTTGAACCCAGGAGGCGGAGGTTGCAGTGAGCCACGATTGCGCCATTGAGCTCCAGCCTGGGCGACAGAATGAGACTCCGTCTCAAAAAAAAAAAAGTTCCATGAACCCTAAAAAAGATTAACACAGAAAAACCCACACCTAGGTACATCATAGACAAACCGCTAAGAACCAAAGAAAAAAAATATTCAAAAGTAAGGGGAAAACAACCCATTACATACAGGGGAGCAATGATAAAATATGCAATTAACAGCTGGCTTCTTATCATAAACAATGGGGCTGGGCGCAGTTTGAGACCAGCCTGGCCAACATGGTGAAACCCCATCTCTACCAAAAATACAAAAGTCAGCCAGGTGTGGTGGTGCATGCCTGTAATCCCAGATACTCAGGAGGCTGAGGCATGAGAATTGCTTGAACCTGGGAGGTAGAGGTTGCAGTGAGCCAAGGTCAAGCCACTGTACTCCAGCTTGGGTAACACAGTGAGACTCTGTCACAAACAAACAAAACAAAACAATGGAAGCCAGAAGACAAAAGAATGACCTATTAAAAGTGCTGGGGAAAAAACACCTGTTGACTAAGAATTCTTTTTTTTTCTTTCTTTTTTTTTTTTGAGATGGAGTCTTGCTCTGTCACCCAGGCTGGAGTGCAGTGGTATGATCTCGGCTCATTGCAACCTCCGCCTCAATTCAAGTGATTCTCCTGGGTTCAAGCGATTCTCCCACCTCAGCCTCCCAAGTAGCATGTGCCACCACGCTTGGCTAATTTTTTATATTTTTAGTAGAGATGGGGTTTCACCATGTTGGCCAGGCTGGTCTCGAACTCCTGACCTCAGGTGATCCACCTGCCTCGGCCTCTCAAGGTGCTGGGATTACAGGCATGAACCACTGCGCCCTGCCAACTAAGAATTCTATATGCAGTGAAACTATGCTTCAAAAATGAAGGTGTTTTGACCAAATCAAGTAGCAATTAAAAAGAAGGTGAACTAAAGAAAATTCCAGATTAAAAAAAAAACAAAACAGAATTTGTTGTTAAGAGACCAGCATTACAGAGCACTGGAAATGGTAAATATGTAGGTGGAGATACACACACACACACACACACACACACACACACATACATACACACATGTTCCTTCTTTAAATGATACATGACTATTTATAGCACCGGGTTGATAATAAACATAAATGTAGCAAATATGGCAACAAGAGCACAAAAGAGGAACAGAAATCGAGCCTACTGATGCAAAGTTCTTCTATTTGACCAGTAATAAATCAGTATTAACTCAAAGTAGTTTGTGACAAGTGAAAGATGCATACTGAATCCCTAGAACCAACTTACAAACAAAAAGGCAAATACGGCTAAAAAGTTAGTAGAGTTATTAAAATGGTTTACTAAAAAATATTTGCTTAATACAAAGGGCAGCAGTACATATATTACTTAATACAAAAGAAGGCAGGAAGGACAGAGTAACAAAGAGATAAATAGAACACTGATAGCAAATGGCAGAATTAAACCCAACCGTATCAATTATTACATTAATATGAATATTAAACAAAACAATTTTGAAAAAGAAAACAAAGTTGAAGAACTCGTGTTTTGAAACCTACTATAAAGCTATAGTAATTAACATCATGTGGTACTAGCATAGAGCTAGACATATGAATCAAGTGAACAAAATTGAGAGTCCAGAAATAAATTCTTACATTTGTGGTCAATTTATTTATTTATTTATTTATGAGATGGAGCCTTGCTCTGTTGCCCAGGCTGGAGTGCAGTGGCACAATCTCGGCTCACTGTAACCTCTGCCTGCAAGGTTCAAGCAGCTCTCCTGCCTCAGCCTCCTGAGTAGCTGGGACTACAGGTGTGCGCCACCACGCCTGGCTAATTTTTTTGTATTTTTAGTAGAGATGGGGTTTCACCATGCTGGCCAGGCTGGTCTTGAACTCTTGACTTCGTGATCTGCCCACCTTGGCCTCCCAAAGTGCCGGGATTACAAGCATGAGCTACTGCGTCCAGCATTTTTTTTTTTTTTTTTTGAGATAGAGTCTTGCTCTGTCACCCAGGCTGGAGTGCAGTGGCATGATCTTGGCTTACTGCAACTTCTGCCTCCCAGGTTCAAGTGATTCTCCTGCCTCAGCCTCCCAAGTAACTGGGACTACAGGCATGCACCACCACACCCGGCTAATTTTCGTATGTTTAATAGAGATGGGGTTTCACCATATTGGTCAGGCTGGTCTTGAACTCCTGACCTCATGATCCGCCTGCCTCGGCCTCCCAAAGTGCTGGGATTATGGCCACCGCACCCGGCCAATTTATTTTTTACAAAGGTGTTATTTGACAAAGCAATACAACGGGTTGAATAATAGTCTTTTCAACAAATGATACTGGGGCAACTGGATATTCATATGCAGGAGGGTGAATTTAGATCTTTATCTCACATCACACACAAAAATTAACTAAAAATGGTCCTATACCTAAACATAGGAGTTAAAACAACAAAGCCCTTAGAAGGAAACATAAAAGAAAATCTTTGCAATGTTGGCCTAGGCCAATGGTTTCCAACTAGGAGTAATTTTGCCTCCTAGGGGACATTTAGCAACGTCTAGAAACATTTTTGGTTGTGACAACTGGGAAGAGGGGTGGATTAATACTAGCATCTAATGGGCAGAGGCCATGGATGCCGCTAAACACCCAATAACGCATAGCACAGCCTCCCCAACAAAGAATTATCTGGCCCAAAATGTCAATAGTGCCAAGGTTGAGAAAGTCTGGGTTGGGCAAAAAGTTCTTAGATACAACAACAAAAGCAGAGACCATAAATGAAAAAATGAAAAAGATAAACTAGACCTCATCAAAATAAAAAACTTTTACAAATCAAAAGACACTATTAGGAAAATGACCTGGCGCAGTGGCTCACACCTGTAATCCCAGCACTTTGGGAGGCCAAGGCGGCGGATCAGCTGAGGTCGGGAGTTCGAGACCAGCCTGACCAACATGGTGAAACCCCATCTCTACTAAAAACACAAAATTAGCCGGGCATGGTGGCGCATGCCTGTAATCCCAGCTACTTGGGAGGGTGAGGCAGGAGAATCACTTGAACCTGTGAGGCGGAGGTTGTAGTGAGCTGAGATTGCGCCATCACACTCCAGCCTGGTCAATAAGAGTGAAACTCCGTCTCAAAAACAAAAAACAAAAAAAAAAAAAAAAAGAAAAGATGGCTGGTGTGGTGGCTCATGCCTGTAATCCCAGTACTTTGGGAGGTCAAGGTGGGAAGATCACTTGAGCCCAGAAGTTTAAGACCACCCTGGGCAACATAGTGGGATTCCGTCCTACCAAAAAAAAAAAAAAAAAATTAGGCAGAAGTGGTGGCACACACCTGCAGTTCCAGCTACTCAAGGAGGCTGAGGTGGTAGGATCCCTTGAGCCCAGGAGGTGGAGGTTGCAGTGAGCCGTGATTGCACCCCTGCACTCCAGCCTGCGTGACAAGAGTGACACCCTGTCTCAAACAAACAAAAAAAAGAAAATGAAAACACTAGCCACATGCATACGATATAAAATCTCCAGAAAAGGCAAATATCTAGAGACAGAAGCAGATTGATGGTTACCTGGGGTTTGTGGGGGTGGGGGACCCAGGCAAGGGCTGACTACAAATGTGCACAAGGGAGCTTTGCAGGGTGATGAAAATATTTTAAAATTGAATTGTGGGGATGGTAGCACAACTCTATAAATTTACTAAAATTCATGGAATTATACATTTACTTAAAACAGATGAATTTTATGGTATATAAATTATATCCTCAATAAAACTGTCAAAAATGTGAACACACTAAATAAATACTCCAATCAAAGGCAGATTGTCGGACTGGATTAAAAAAGCAAAAGCTAGCTATATCCTGTCTACAAGAGAAGTACTTTATATTAAAAGACACGAATAGGTTGAAAGTAAAAGAATAAAACATGTCATGCAAACAGCAAGCATGAGAGAGCTGAAGTGGCTATATTAATATTGGACAGACCAAATATTCTAGAGACATTATTAGAGACAAAGGACATTTCATGGTGATAAAGGGTCAACACTGTTGGATGATAGAATTACAAACATATATGCTTAAAGCAAATGAATTCCACAATAGATGAACCCAAAACTGACAGAATTGAAAGGGAAAATAGGCAAATTCACAATTTAGTTGGAGATTTCTATACTCCTCTCTTAGTAACTGGTAGAATGAGTAGACAGAAAAAAACACTAAGGATATAGAATAGACCTGGGCATATAACAGGTGCTTGATACATATTTGTTAAATAGATGAATTCTAGCCAAGTCAGTTTTTACAACATTCCCAGAGCTTGATCCACTCGGGAGAACTAGGAGGAAACAAAAAAGCAAGCCTGAACCGAATGTATACTATACACCCAAGGCACTCTGTTCAGGATAATATACAGATTAGTTCATTGAGTCCTTACAATACTACTTTTTTGTTAGAAAAAGAATGGTAACGTTTCTGAAATTAAGAACTGAGGATAGAGCGTGGTAAGGCCAGGGTAGTATAAGACTGAAATAGCCAGCTGGCTTTTCCCACCTAGTAAGGGCCAACATAAATGTCAGTTTTGATCACCAAAACTCTAACTTCAATTGGAAAAAAAAATCTTAGATTTTGCAAAAAAAAAAAAAAAAAGTGTGTGAAACTGTAAAAGGCTGTTTTGCACACAAAGACTATCTTCAAACGGTTTGTTCGGAGAAGAATCTCCCTGTAGCAGACTGTTTAACCGCCACAAACTCCTGCCATCCTGGCAAGGACATCCTTTTGCTATGTGGCTTTGCCACTCATCCCATGCAGGGAAGGGTCTATTTTTCTAATCCTTTGAGACTGGGCTGGCCTTGTGACTTTGACAGTAGAATTTGGCAGAAATGAGGCCCTGAGAATTCTGGAGCCTCAGCCTCAAGAGGACTGGAAGCTTCCAACTTCAACCTCTTGGAACTCAGAGATGCCCAGTTCCAGCTCACTGGAGGAGTGAAGTCACGTGGCGGAGAACTGAGGCACACTGCACTGGCAGCCTGCACCAACTGCCAAACCACCTCGAACCTTCCGGCCCAGCTGACATCCAGCCGAATGAAGCCACATGAGTAAGTCCAGGTGAAACCAGCAGAGGACCTGCCAAGCCAACCCACAGAATTGGGAGGAAAATATTATTGTTTTTTAAGCCACTAAGATTTGGGGTAGTTTTTTGGGGGTTAGCAAACATAACATTGATCAAATGAGCCAGACACATGAGTATATTATACTGAATAACTCCATTTATATAAATTTCAAGAAGAGGTCAAGAACTTGAGGGGGTGGGTGGTGTCTGAATTACATAGGTATATGCACTTTGTGAAAATTCTCCAGGCTGGGATTGGGTGAATCTGCCTTCTTACATTCCTCTGAAGGGATGAAGGGATTCTCTGCGGAAAGGAACCATCAGAACCCCTGCACAATATTTTTTTTTTTTTTTTTTTTTTTTTTGGCGATGGAGTCTTACTTTGTCACCCAGGCTAGAGTGTAGTGGCACGATCTCGGCTCACTGAGAACTCCACCTCCCGGATTCAAGCGATTCTCACTCCTCAGCCTCCAGGGTAGCTGAGATTACAGGCGCATGCCACCACACCTGGCTAATTTTTGTACTTTTAGTAGAGACGGTGTTTCACCATGTTGGCCAGGCTGGTCTCGAACTCCTGACCTCAAGTGATCCGCCTGCCTTGGCCTCCCAAAGTGCTGGGATTATAGGCGTGAGCAACTGCGCCCAGCAGAACCCCTGCACAGTGTTCTATACGGGGCACATGCTCAGTCAGCAAATACCTACCCCACCATTGGTATGTGCCAAGTGCTGTGCCGGTAGTGAGGAGCCTCTGGAGAACCACACTGATACGGCCCTGTCCCAGCAGCACTTACAATTCACTAACACAGAATAAAAGGTAGTGTGAATAGCAGCAAAAGAAAAAAAAATGACTCCACCAGGAAAGAGGATATGAAAATAAATGCCAGAAAGTAGCACACAGCCGGCTGCAAAGTGAGCTGCATAGCAAATTCTCTGCAGTGTCCCTCCCCACACAGCAACATTAACTTTCACTATGCTTCTGTCTTTTTCTATTTTTATTTTTATTTTTTTGAGACACAGTCTTGCTCTGTCACCCAGGCTGGGGTGCAATGGCACAAATTTCAGCTCTCTGAAGCCTCAACCTCTTGGGCTCAAGCGATCTTCCCATCTCAGCCTCCCAAGTAGCTGGGACTACAGTTACGCACAAGCACACTTAGCTAATTTTTAAATTTTTTGTAGAGATGAGGTCTCATCATGTTGCCCAGGCTGGTCTCAAACTCCTGGGCTCAAGCGATCCTCCCACCTCAGCCTCCCAAAGTGCTGGGATTACAAGCATGAGTCACTGTGCCTGGCCTGCTTTTCTGTCTTTCTATTTTAAGTGAACTTACTCTGCTTTTCCCCTTAAAGATTGGACTGCCCCTAGCAGCAGATCACAGCTTACCTTTTTTTTTTTTATCTTTTGAGACGGAGTTTCACTCGTTGCCCAGGCTGGAGTGCAATGGCACAATCTCGGCTCACTGCAACCTCCGTTCCCCCCTACCCCGGGTTCAAGCGATTCTCCTGCCTCAGCCTCCCAAGTAGCTGGGATTACAGGCATGCACCACCACACCTGGCTAATTTTTGTATTTTTAGTTGAGATGGGGTTTCTCCATGTTGGTCAGGCTGGTCGTGAACTCCCGACCTCAGGTGATCCGCCCACCTCGGCCTCCCAAAGTGCTGGGATTACAGGCGTGAGCCATTGCACCCGCCCATAGCTTAACTTTACCTTTTTTTTTTTTTTGAGATGGAGTTTCACTCTTGTTGCCCAGGCTGGAGTGCAATGGCGCGATCTCGGCTCACTGCAACCTTGCCTCCCGGGTTCAAGCAATTCAATTCTCCTGCCTCAGCCTCCTGGGTAGCTGGGATTACAGGCATGTGCCACCATGCCTGCCTAATTTTGTAGTTTTAGTTGAGACGGGGTTTCTCCATGTTGGTCAGGCTGGTCGCGAACTCCCGACCTCAGGTGATCCTCCCGCCTCAGCCTCCCAAAGTGCTGGGATTACAGGCGTGAGCCACCGCGCCCGGCCCCATAGCTGAACTTTAATACACCATGCCTAACAAATGCTTAATGAATGACTATCAGTTAGTTATGTAGTCCTCGTCACTCCACTAAACCGAGTATGGTGCATTGCTTACTTGCTCACGATTAACAGAAAATTGCTTCTATTTCTATGTTTTCTATAACAGACATGCTCCATATTTTACATAACATGGATGGCACACAGAATTTAGATATAAAATGGCTCAATTTGAGTAAACAGACCCTGAGCTCTTAAAACCAAGCAGCGATGCAAGCCAAGAACCTTGGTCAGGATAGTATAAGACTGAAATAATTAGTTGGATTTTCCCACTTGCTAAGGTTCAGCATAAACATCAGTTTTGATCACTTAAACTCTAACTTCAATTGGAAAAAACATCTTAGATTTTGCAAAAAAAAAAAATTGTAAAAAGTGGTATATGGCCTGTTGTCCTTCCAACTTCAGAATTCAAGACATCTATGCCCTAGATGCCTCGAATTCTGAAGTTGCAAGGAACAGCAGGCCATACACATTTTTTCTCCAGTCATATTTCTAGACCCAGACGCTAAGCATTTCATCTTTGAATACCAAGTGATAGTGATTTGATCAAATGGATAGAAACGTATTTATTTATTAAATAAATATTGTAAAATGAAATAATGTAGAATGCATTTATTTATCAAATAATGAAAAACTAGAAATATGCTTCACTACATAAAATGTACTATTATTCCCAAATTCCGTGATAACAGGAAAAACTCATCACTGCTTTGGTAAAATTTTTAAAAAATCAGATAAGAGAGAAAACCTTTTCTGCACCTGTTTCCAAGGCAACCGATGTTGGACAAATAGGGTTTATAAATGCCTAGGAATCATGAGGTGTCTACAAGCCCTCACCTTGTTTTGAGCCATCGGATGTCTATTTCCATAGAAACCAGAGTGGAAATGAGGGCAGGAGCCATGAGTCAGCCTGCTGGGTGGTGCATCCCAGCCAGGGTCTGAGAGCACACGAGCAGTGTTGCAGAAATAAACGAATTTAGAAGCTGAAAAGGTACCAGAAAGAAGCAAAAGCCTTAATTGGGAAACACTGGTTTCTTTATTGACTTGGTTAAATAATGGAAAGGTCCTGCAAGTAACACAGACATAAGACAGACACTTCTTTACTCATTAGGTAACGGGGATTAGAAGCGTAGCCTGTGCCACGCCAAGCGAGCTGGCCATGCCAAGCGAGCTGGCCACGATGGGTGACCCATCAGAGGTGACTGATTCATGGAGAGCAGCTAGCCTCTGGCTCTCTGGACATGCACCTAGAAGCAGCTTCAAGTGGGTCCACAATCTCACAGGTCACGTATGAAGGTGGCCGAAGAGAAAGGAGGCCCCAAACCCTCAACAGTATGTCTCTGCGTATGGAATGCAAAGTCACCTGGAGGAAGGCTGGTCAGGAACTGTCTGGTTCTATGCCCTATCATTTTCCGTTCTAGCCACATCATCTTGTTGTGCCTCCTGACACGTGCAAAATCTAGTTTCGCCCTACACATGATCTGCTCTTACCCCCAGCCTGTGTTCCCCGTATTGTTAATGGCATCGCTATCCTCCCAGCTACCTAGGGTCCAAGGTTACCAGCCTTTGGTTACTCATGTCATGCCTCCTGAGTTCCCAACTCCTGCAGGTCCCACCTCCAGGAGCACCCTCTGCCATCAGCCAAGCTCAGCCCCACTCCCGCTGCAGCCTGCAGGCTCTCACGCCAGCCTGGGCTTAAATCTCTGTCCCACCAGCTACTGCCTTGGGACCCTAGACAAGTTTCTGAACCTCTCTGAACTTTGGTTTTCTTATCCATAAAATGGGGCTAAGAATAGCACACACCTGGCAGAAGGGTGAGGGGAATACACGGGAGAAAGCCAGGGAAGCTCTTGGCCCATGCCTGCACACGGAAGCACTGGGAAAATACTGGCTGTGTTGCCGCACTAAGCTCTTCCGGTCCCCAGTGAACTTGAACACTGATGCCAGAGTAGTCCTCTGAAGGCATGGCTCTGCTCACGTCTCTTGGGCTCACAAATCTTCAGTGAGTGTCCACTCTTTACTGTCTGGCTCCAATTCATCCTTCCAGCTTTGTCTCCCACCCTTGCCCTCCATACTCCCTGAGCTGTGGCCAAAGTGAACCCCCCTTGGTTAGCATCAGGCTGGTGCCTTGGCTCCTGCTGCTCCTCAGCTGGGATGTCACCTGCTCTGCAGTTTCAATCTGGAACCTATGCTTGAACACCTCTCTTATTTGCTAAGTTTCTTCCTTTAGTTTTTAATAAAAGTTCCTTTTGAAAGACTTCAGTTTTTGTCAATTGGGCTGAATAACAAGGGGAGCAATGTCAACGTTATGGCCAGATGCCTGGTGGCAGTCAACTGTCCCTGCTCTGGAACCTGGTTGACAGCAATGATGGGATAAAGGAAGTGGGAAAACCAAGAAGGGGGGTTTGGGGCCATGTAAGGTCCCTGGAACTCCTTCAGGCCCAGAGTCCATTTCCGAGAGGAGAGGGAGATGAGACTAGATATTCAGTGAGGCCAGGCTGTGGAGGTTTCATGTTTTAGCCATGTCTTCCATTCCCTCTACGCTGATGCTTTGATTGGAGCTTGCCTGGCCCTGGAGGGACTGCCCCTTCCAGAACTAGTCAGCTCTTAGGAATATTAAAACATTTGCCCCCAAGTGTGCTTTCCAAATACAAATCAACCAATCCAGAGCTCACACCCCAACCATCTCCTTTATTGGGCTCTTACACGCCTGGCCATTATCCACCTGCCCTAATCACCCCAGGGCTAGGTGCCAGACAAGTAGGGAAAGCCCCTTTGCTCGAGAGCCCACTGAAATTCATCCAAACGAAACAGTCCTCAGCATGCTTATGCCACCTCACCTATACTTACCCCTCTCTCAGCCTCTTGCTCCACCCCAGTGCTTCCTTGTGTGACTCCCTGTGGTGTGGCACGCCCCTGCCCCTGGGGCACTGTGAGCAGCAAACTGTCTTTTCCATGGAGCAGAGCTGTTCCCAGGCAAAATTGAGATGGAGAGGGGAGAACACCAGGGCAAGGGAAAGGAAAACCAGGGGCACCTTGAGGTTTGCACTGGAGCCCTCTGGAGAGGCACTCTCAGAGGAACTCAATGATCCAGCCCTGAGCACCATCCTTGGGCCAGACACCCTAGAGCTCCACATCCGTGCTAAGGCCACCTGTGGCTCTGGTCAAGAAGGGAAGGAAGAATAAGATTATAAAACTCTTGCTTTGTGTTAAGCTTCACTGTCGCTTCCCCTGTTGTTCAAGACTCACTGCCCAGATCCTCTGTGTGGATTACAAGTCCCATGTTGTTTCTTATTGTCTCCTTGCCTGAGTTCTATTTTTTTTTTTTCCTCCTTGCCTGAGTTCTTAGGCCTCACTTGGAAGATCTTGTTACTCTTGACTGCTTGGACAATTAGCTTGTTCCTATCTTGTTCAGCCCATCTTCTTGAATTTAACTTCTTGCTCTCGAGATGTATACAAGTTCCATGCCCCGGTCTAGCTAGTTCTGATTGCACTTTGTTGGATCTGTCATGCTGTGTTTCATTACAATTCCATTATAGCACTAATGTGACCAACAGCCACATTTTTCTATTTCTTGTCTCAAATTCTAAGAAAAGTATCGATTTGGCCATTATACTGTTCTAACTCTACCAATTAGCTTCTTCAAATGATTCACATTTGAATTTATTCACATTGGATTATTCTCCAAATGATTCTGGATATTAAAAAAAGGTGGCAATGACTCAAGTCTTTATGTATCAGGTATTTAAATTAGATTTGAAGCACAGTATAAAAAGGCCTCAAAACAATGGAGACATACTATGCTCATGGTATAAAACACTCAAATTGATTTATAGATTTAATGTAGTCCCAATCAAAATCCCAACTAGTGGCAAGAAGGAGGGAAGTAATAAGGGAGGGAAAGTTCTCTGACTCATGGAAGGGAGGAATCTATTCCAAAGAAGCTGGATGAAACTGCCAGTAAAAAATAAATATGATGAAAGCTGTCTTTCCCTCAGTTTTACAGATGTCAATAATTTACCTTATTGTAACTTATGTAACAGAATATATTTAACTATGTCAGTTAAGTTGGAGTGTAAACGTCAGTTAAGTTGGAGTGCAATTTTGAGACCAATCATTCGGAGTTTAATGAAAAAGAATTTGACTATTTAAACAAGATGAGTTTGTTTAAATATTGATGAGTGATGAGTTTATTTAAATCGTGATGAGTTCTTTAAAAGTGAGAAATTGAACATTTGTTTTTTATCACTTTTCAAACTAGAAATTAAAAAGCCACTGCAGCTGTATGATGGGTAGACAGGAATCCTCTCTACTATTTTTTTTCTGTAAATCTAAAATTATTCTCCCCCCACCACCCAAAATTTTAAAACACGGCCAGTAAAGAACCTTGCAGGGTAGGTAAGTTATATTGCCTTCGCTAGAGAAACACACACGATAGCCTTGTACAGCTGCCACTGCTGAATGCCTGCTGGATGGAAAGTTACAAAAGAAATCACATTAGTGTCACTTTCCAATGAAACAATAGCCTGTCGAATTAAAGATGAAGCTGTAAACGTGAATGCTGAGTTAATATCTCATCTGCAGAACTACGCCTGGATTTGTTATTTTGCTTGTAATCTTCCAGTATCAACAGTCACTAATCACAAAGATCTCTTATGTAAATACTTGGCAACGAAGCACAAGTAATACTGGCTGAAATACTTAAAGTGTTGGATGCTTTACTGACTTTCATGGTTTATCCTGGAACAAATGCATTGACATTTCCACTCATGATACAAAAGCAATGATGGGTAAAACCACTGGTGCCTTAGCACAAACCAAGGCAGCGATCTCAAACTCTAGTAGCAGTCACTGTATTTCACCATAGATAAATACGGGGATGATGATAGATGATAGATGACAGGTAGATAGAGTTTCATTTAAGGCTGTCCTTGATGAACTGGTAGGAATTAATTTTATTAACTCTTAACCCTTATGGCCCATCTTTTGGAATGTACAGGCAGATAAAGCAGTACTGCTATACTAAAGCGGATGGTTATCTTCAGGAATGGGACTTGTGAGATAAAGTTGCAAGCCACTTTTTTCAAGGAACACCATTTTCATTTGAAAGAGTAACTGACAGACTATGGTTATTTAGACTTAAGTATACAGCAGATGTCTTCTCAAAAATTAATGAAGTGAGCCTGTCACTTTAAGGAAAACAACCAATAGTATTTGTCAGCAATAATACAATTTAAACTTTCAAGAAAAAATGAGAATTTTGAGAAACCTATATCTGCCATTGTGAGCTCAATAGCTTCCCAATACCTAAAGGCTTTTCTGATGCTATTGGTGTTGATAATACACAATTTCTTATGTTATATAATAAAATGTATCAACATTTGGGGCTGGGCACAGTGGCTCACACCTGTAATCCCAGCACTTTGGGAGGACGAGGTGGGCAGATCACCTGAGGTCAGGAGTTCAAGATCAGCCTGGCCAACATAGTGAAGCCCTGTCTCTACTAAAAATACAAAAAATTAGCCAGGCGTGGTGGCACATGCCTGTAACCCAGCTACTTGGGAGGCTGAGGCAAAAGAACCACTTGAACCCAGGAGGCGGAGGTTGCAGCTGGCCGAGAGATGGCACCATTGCACTCCAGCCTGGGCGATAGAGTGAGACTTCGTCTCAAACAAACAAAAAATTTGGAAAAACTGTAAAACTTGGTAAGCCAATATTTTCCAAATGATCAATGAATTATAATACAAAATCCTGCATGGGTAAAAGAGCTATTGAAAATATGAAACAGGCAGGATGCCAGTAGAAATTGGGAAGTAAGAAAAGCAATATGATAATAATAATGATTATTATTATTATTGAGATGCAGTCTCTGTTGCCAGGCTGGAGTGCAGTGGCGCGATCTCGGCTCACTGCAACCTCTGCCTCCTGGGCTCAAGCAATTCTCCTGCCTTTGTCTCCGGAGTAGCTGGGACTACAGGCGTGCGCCACCACACCCAGCTAACTTTTGTATTTTCAGTAGAGATGGGGTTTTACCATGTTGGCCAGGATGGTCTTGATCTCTTGACCCAGTGATCCATCCACCTTGGCCTCCCAAAGTGCTGAGATTACAGGCGTGAGCCACCACGCCTGGCCATAATTATTTTTTTGAGACTGAGTCTCGCTCTGTTGCCCAGTCTGGAGTGCAGTAGCGCAATCTCGGCTCACTGCAACCTCCACCTCCCAGGTTCAAGCAATTTTCATGCCTCAGCCTCTGAGTAGCTAGGATTACAAGCATGCACCATCACACCCGGCTAATTTTTGTATTTTAGTAGAAATGGGGTTTCATCATGTTGGCCAGGCTGGTCTTGAACTCCTGGCCTCAGGTGATCCACCGGCCTTAGCCTCCCAAAATGCTGGGATTACAGGCATGAGCCACCGCACCTGGTCTGAAAGTCAATATAAATAAATACACCATATCAGTAGTATGAAAGGGAAAAAATCAAAGAATGATCATCTCATATGATGAAGAAAAAGCATTTAACAAAACCCAACACTCAGCAAACTAGGAACAGAGGGAAACTTTCTTAATCTTATAATCAGATCTATGAAAAAATCCCAGCTAACGCTGTACTAGATGGAGAAGGACTGAAAACATTCACTGTAAGATCAGGAACAAGCAAAAGATGCCTGCTCTCTCCACTTCTATTTGGCATTGTACTAGAGTCTCTAGCCAGCACAATCAGGCAAGGCAAGAAAATAAAGGATAGCTAGATTGAAAAGGAAGTAAAATGATCTCTATTCACAGATGACACAATCTTGTTATACAGAAAATCCTAAGGAATTCAAAACAAAACAAAACAAAACAAAACAACCCAAACAAACCCAAAACCCACAACAAACAAAAAACTCTTTGAGCTAATAAATTCAGTAAGGTTGTAGGATACAAGTTCAATATTCTAAAATCAATTGTATTTCTATACATTAGCACATCTGATTGTTAGGGAACAATCAGAAAATCAAATTAACAAAATGCAAAATAGATCAATAGATTTTAATTAACAAGATAAAAATGACTATTTACTTATTTATTTATTTTTTTGAGACGGAGTCTCGCTCCGTCACCCAGGCTGGAGTGCAGTGGTGTGATCTTGGCTCACTGCAATCTCCGCATCCCGGGTTCAGGCGATTCTCCCACCTCAGCCTCCAGAGTAGCTGAGATTACAGGCGCACACCACGATGCCCAGCTAATTTTTGTATTTTTGGTAGAGACAGGGTTTCACCATGTTGGCCAGGCTGGTCTCAAAACTCCTGACCTCAGGTGATCCACCCACCTGGGGCTCCGAAAGTGCTGAGATTACAGGCGTGAGCCACTGCACCCAGCCAATAAAAATGATATTTAAAATTGGTTTCTAATTCCACATTGCAACTAACTTTTAATAAACTATTACCTGTCTGGTTTTAAAGTAATATTGAGCAAAAATATCTATCTGAAAAGGCTTTGAAAATACTTCACCCCTTTCCAAGTACACAGGTGTGTGAGGCTAGATTTTCTTTATGTCCTTCAATCAAAACAACATATGACAACAGATACAGCCCAGATCAAACTGTGTTTTTCTGATCCAGACATTAAAGAGATTGGCAAAAAAAAAAAAAAAAAAAAAAAAACAAACCCACAATGCTACACTTTTTCATAAAATTTTGTTTTGAAAAATAATTCTTTTTCATAAGAATATCTTATTTATATTAATGTAATGGATTTACTATTGCCATTTTAAGTTATTTAATATTTTAATATTTAACATTTTATCATATTTAAGTTCTCATTTAAAAAATTTTGATAGACAAAATACTCATTAACTCTTCAGAATCTTCAGTAATTTTTAAGAATGTAAATGGCTCCTGAAACCAAAAATTGGAGAATGGTTACTTCAAACCTTATATAAACATATATGTTTTTCTTTCCTATGCATAACATATTTAATGACTACAACTTAGATGAAAAAATTAAAATCTTAAAAGAAAACCTAGGAGACTACATGTAAAATTTAGGGTTAGGGAAGACCTTAACCAGGACAGGAGACCCAGGAACTATAAAATAAAAGCGAATATATTTAACTTTTTTTTTTTGAGATGGAGTCTTGCTCTGCCCAGGCTGGAGTGCAGCGGCGTGATGTTGGATCACTGCAACCTCCACCTCCCGGGTTCAAATGATTCTTGCGCCTCAGACTACCGAGTAGCTTGGATTACAGGTGTGCACCACCACGCCCAGCTGATTTTTGTATTTTTAGTAGAGACAGGGTTTCACCATGTTGGCCAGGGTGGTCTTGAACTCCTGGCCTCAGGTGATGTGCCTGTTTTGGCCTCTCAAATTGCTGGGATTCAGGCGTGAGCCACCACATCCCGCCTCAATCTTTAACTTAAAAAAAATTTTAAAAAAGATTTGTGGCAAAAGAGATTAGAAAAAATATATCTTTAAAACATTTGTAATGATGGTGAAAAGGGTTTGGAAAGAAGCACAACTGAAAAAAACAGAAAGGATATGAAATTGGAAATGTACAATGTAGCAAATCCAAATCCAGATTGGCAAAAACATTAAAAAAAAATAGAGTAACAGCACCTATTGCTAGTGGAGATGGAGGGAAGAGGCTCCTTCATGTTCTCCTAGTGAAATCTGAATTATTAACAGCCTTTGAAAAGAGCAATCTGGAAAAATCTATTATTAAAAAAATACTTTTTCATCCAGCAGCAAGAGCCCATATAAATAAAAGCCCTGGTAAATAAGGATATTTTTACAAAGATTTTACTACAGCATTGTTTGAAATAGCAAAAAATCTAGAAAATTATACATTCATAGCATTAAAAAGTATCAACTTGCTACACTGCCTAACTCAGAAGGACTTTCAAGAAACATTAACAAGAGAAAAAGGCAACATGGTGTAGAAGTATGTGTATTTCTATCTCTATGTTATCTCATTTTGAAAAACAAATACTGACAAAAGTATATATGGATCTGTGTGTAGTACATACCTCCGTGTACTCTGTGTGTGCATCTTTTAAGTATGAAAGCGCATGCACACACTAGATCACTAACATGGGTTTCTTGGGGGGGTTGATGTGAGTGCAGTGGAGAGGCAAAGGATAAAGCTTATGCTTGTGCTGTCTCCCCCAGAGGATGCCACCCCTGCTGGCCACACCCTTCCCTTCCTCAACTCATCTCACTTCCTCTTTACCCCACGCCAGCCATCTCCCAGTATTCCTGGAGTACTTGGAATTTCTGTGGCACTTCCTGTGTCTATCACCTTTATGAATCTGTGATCACATATTTATTTTCTGTTATTTGCTATTTTGCATTCATGTATGTCTCACAAGAAGGTAATATAGGGCAGTGGTTAGGAGCATGGACCACTGAGTCAGACCACCTGGATTTGAATCCCAGCCCCATCACAGTTACTTATTAGCTGTGTGAACTTGGCAAGTGACCTATTTTCTCTCTGTCTCTTCATCTGTGAAATGTGAATAAAAATAGCACCTACCACAGGGCTGCTAAGAAGAGGAGATGACTGAACACCCATAAGGCGCCTAGAACAGTGCCTGGCACCCGGCACTGCCAGCAGGCGGGAGCTGCTGTTGTCAGAATCACTGTGATCTTCCCTATCTAGGCTGGAAATTCTTGGAGGTATTTTAAACCACAGATACTCTTTTAGATTTCTTTTGCATCCCTTCCCCATTAGTTCCTACAATAGTGTTATTTCGAGGCCCTCAAATATTTGTTGAGTAAATATATGAGCAACTCTTAGATCTGAGCACTTTGTATAGAAGGAAATTGCTGAGCATACGATTGGCACTTACATGGCAACCAGCAAGTAAATGTCCACGGCTGACCTCACCTGGCACTTAAACCTATTTTGTCAAGAGGCGAGAATATTTGTCTTAAAATCAGTCTTCTAGAATAGCACAGGAAGGTCTTGCATTTCTACTTAAGGAAGCCATACAAGGAAACTGGCTGTGATATATAGTAAGGAAACCTGAGTCACTGGGGGTGAGAACAACGGAACCAGGCTCCTAAGCTTAGTGATTTACCAACAGCCCTTTTGTAACATATTACGTCTGTTTCATATAAAATAAATGCATCAGGTAACACATTTCTCTGAAGTGCTAAATGAGATGCATTTGAATCCTTAAATAACAGCTGTCATTGTCCATTCCCTGGGGTGTATTGTCCAAGCTGATCTAATGATGGTTTTGTTTCTCTGGAGGTTTAAATGGGTCTGGGGCTTTGTGGGCCAAGAAAGTATAAGTGGTTTAGAAAACAATGAAAACACCCATATTTTCAATGCCATCCTGTAGACTCTTCCTGCCTTGAATGTTCCAGCTCTCCCTCTCGGCTGGAGCTACTCCATCAGCATTTTAACATGCTCAGGTTTCTCTCATCTTAAAACAAACAAAAATGCCCCCTTCAGCCACTATTGCTCTTCTGTGCACAGCCAGACTGGGCGAGGAGCAGCATACACTTCTTAAGCCATTTTCTCACTTCCCACCTGGCCCTCAATCCATTCATTTCGCTTTTGCTCCATCAACCCACAAAAATGCACAGCAACTGACTTCCACGCCACTAAACCCCGTGTCCTAGTCTCACTTCTCTCTCTTGAGGAGCCTCAGGGCCTCTCTGCATTTTTCACCCAAACTTCCTTATTCCTATTCCCCCCTTGCAGTTTATAATGTCAGCAAAGAGGGCGTACATGTCCACACCTTTCCGCTACATAGGCACATACATAATCCATAGCCCTGTGTCTTTATACATTTGCTTTTTCCGAAATTATTGGTCAAATTACTTTATGATTTCCTTTTTCTATTTGACATTATATCCTAGACAGTCTATAAATCAGAAGATGCATTTCTAGCTCTACCTTTATTTTTTTTAAAATTTTAGTATATAAACGTATGTATATTCAGACATAACTTTGTTAGGTTAGCACATTAGATCAAGTCATTATAAATTACAGAGAAAAACGAGACTTTGCATCAGGGGTTCTCTTGAGAGTTTCCAGTGAAGCAGGGATAGCAGTGGTGGAAGTTGTGAGCGCACAGATTTCAGCTCAATGTGATTTAGAGTGAGCATAATTTACCCTGGTCTCAGGCCCCATCCCACTACAGCCCCCCACTTTTTTTGAGATGGGGTCTTGCTTTGTTGCCTAGGCTGGAGTGCACTGGCAGGATCTTAGCTCACTGCAGCCTCCGCCTCCCAGGTTCAGGTGATTCTCGTGCCTCAGCTTCCCTAGTAGCTGGGATTACAGGCGCACGCCACCATGAACCAGCTAATTTTTGTATTTTTAGTAGAGATGGGGTTTCACCATGTGGGCCAGGCTGGTCTCAAGTGATCCGCCCACCTCGGCCTCCCAAAGTGTTGAGATTGCAGGTGTGAGCCACCGTGCCTGGCCCCATTAGAACCATTTTATCTTTAGAGTTGCTAAGCAGCTAACTGAAAACAGTGGTTTCATTTTTCTGTGTTTTGGGTCTAAATATTAAATGAAAGAACATTTACACTGCTAAGCAAGATAAGGTATGACTCCAACACCTTGCAAATAATTTTGCTGTCTCCTTCAGAGCTGTCACCTTGGGAAGTGATAACCACATTCCAACAACAGTGCTACTTCTCAAAGGATTCTTAGAAATTTTCTTTAGCCTAAGATCTGTCACTCTCTTTTTTCCCTCCAACTTTGAAAGACAGTTATAAACGTAATGCTAGCCTCCGGTGAAAGCTGAGTAAAATCCAGGCAAGACCGGCTGTGCCCGGACTGCCCCGGCTGGCACCGGTGATGCGCAGTGAGGCTTACCTGGGAGAAGGAGCCCCCATCTGCTGCCCGGGGTTCATCACAGAGTCCCATTTGGCCCAAATGACAGATCTTTTCCTTATAATTTTCCAACTAAACCTCTTCTAGAAATCTTCTGAAAATTCTAGTTATCACAAGTATTTTCAAACATCAACCTCTTAAAAGAGTAGCAAAAGTCCAGAAAATTATAAGACTTCTGTATTTGTTCATTTACAGTAGACAATTGCTTTCAGAATGAAATTTCCAGAAATTGAGTTCTCATCATTAACTAGAACAGTTGAACAAAATGAATTTTCCCTTATAAGATAAAAACAGGATTTATAGCAAAAACAAAGCAAAATGAAAAACCAAAGCAAACCGAAAAACCCAAAGGGATGATACAAGAAGGGAAGAAAACAGATCTCGAGACAAACTTTAGGACACAATGAAAAAAAGTTGTTAAAAACAAATAATTAAATATTAATTTAAACTATCATTTAGAATGATATTGAAGGGCCAGGCACAAAGGTGGTGACTCATTATAATCAAGAGAAGGCTGCCCAAGTCCGGGAACTGCCTAGGGGCTGGCAAACAATGGCCCACGAGTCAGGTGCCTGCTTTCCTATGCTCGCCAGCTAAGAATGATTTTTGTGTTTTTAAGTATTTGAAAGAATATTTAATGACATGCAAAAATTGTATGAAATTCAAATTTTTAGCGTCCATAAATAGTTTTACAGGAACACAGCCACGTTCAGCCACTTATGTACTGCTGACAGCCACCGTGTTACAATGGCAGAATTGAGTGGTTGGAACAGAGACTGTGTGGCCTGCAAGCCCTAAAATAGTTCCTATCTTTTCCTTTACACAAAGTGTCTGCCGACTCCTGTTCTAAACCCAATTTTACCACCATCAACTCTCTGTGTGAGCTCAAGCTGGTGTTTTTCCCTCTGCCTCCACCTTTGTAAACAAAGGGGCCTGGAGAAGATGATAGGGGCCAGGACCCCTATCTGGAGGTCAAGCTCTGCACTGCTGGACAAGGCAGGAAGAGCCAGCAGGAGCACGTACCCGCTGATGCCACCTGCAGCCTGTGAAGAAAACGGCAGCCACAGAGGCCGCCTGCTGAGGAAGCATCTCCCAGCAGATCTTAGCAGATCCTCTCTGGCAGGGGCTCTTAAATACCTCTTTCCCAACTGATGCCATCAGTGATCAAAAACCTGGCTTTTACACATTTTACAAGCTGATAGGCCACGACTCCAAACAAAAAAACATCCTCTGACATCCACTTTTTCAGTGAATGCTCCCCCCAAAATAGATGAAAATGTTCCAGCATTCACTGCAGGAGTAACTGCTCCCTGCAAATGAAGGCAGGCAAATCAAGGATGACCAGAGGGGACAACAGGTCTTTTCTTCCTAGGTATCTGAAGGAAAACCATGTAAAATCTTGTCATCTGAAAATCCAACTACAGTCCCTGAGTCACCATTCTTTACATCATTTCAGAGACTCGCATACATTAACTTCTAAACCTTCATGCTCTAAAACACCAGGCAAGTAGATTTTTCACAGCTGAGGAAACACAAGTCAAAAGAATGCAAATAACAGAGAAAACTGGTCAGTTCCGTTAGCTCTGAACTAAACCCAGGACCCCTCACGCCAGAGACTCTCGCCAGGCGCCTACACGCCCAGCACTCCCACCGGTGAGGAAGACAGGCCGAGGCTCGTGCCCCTTCAGAGCAAAAGCTCACACAGAAGAATGGTCATTGTTCAGCTTCCCATGAAACTCGAATGACATGCAATGCTGCGTCTCTGCTGTGAACCCAATGAGTGTGGGAGTCTTCAAACATGGCCGCTGGGCTCCCCACATGAGACCCCAAGTGAGACCCGAACCACCACCCAGCTGAGCTTTAGCCAACCCTCAGAATTGTGAGAAATAGTGTAGCAGGAATGAAAAATCTCCATTTCTGGACTAACTTGTCAAGGCAGGAAAGAGAGAATAGTTTGGTATGGGTTTTCTATGTGGTGTCAAGAACCTCCAACTTACTTCATCATCTTCATCTTCATCATCATCAGATTCAAGAACACCATCTGGTAGCTCTTCTATAAAGAAAAAAAGAATCAATGAATAATGGATAAACAGTGGGAGCCTTGGTCCACAGAATCTGTCAGCCTCTGCAGAGACATAAACACCTTAATGAGAATGAGGTTACATCAAAGTCATCATGCTCCTAACCATCCTAATCACAACCATTTCAGTCACTGTCTGAGATCATCCTAAGCAATTTTAAATAGTAAATCTCTCCATTTTTACCAGAACATGATTATAGTAGCATGGGGAAAATTAAAAGCCAGCATATAATTTTAGGGGAATTTAGGGAAAAGTAAGTAAATATTTATTTCAAGGCATCATGCTAGATTCTGCCATACCCGTTATTTCACTTAATCCTTACAAATATGTTGTTGACTATTATCCCCCATTTTACAGAGAGGCACAGAGAGGAAAGAGAGACTTCTTGGTCTCACTTCCAGTAAGTGGCAGGCAGCTGAGATTCAAGCCGAGTCTATCTCTAAACTCCATGATTTTTCCACGGGCGGTATGGGTGGTGGTCATGGCAGGTAGGGTTCCTGAAGGCTCTGTGGTTCATCGCTAGGTCTTTTTAAGAATTTACAAAAGAGCAGTAAGTTGGTAGCACAAAGGAGTTACAGAAAGAAAGAGCCCCGGCTTCCTCCTCTGTAGAATGGGGGTTGTACCAGCCACTTCTCAGGGTTGTCGGTAGGACCTCACAATACACCACAAGGGAAGCGCCCGGCTTAGGGCCAGGTAAGAAGCAGGCACTGCAGAGGTGTTGGTACTTTCTCCTCCACGAAGTCTTCCCTGATCCCCTTGCTCAGCAGCCATCTCTTCCTCCCCGAACACACTCAGCGTTTTATCTAGAACTCCTGACAGTTCACGCCACTTCTGGAAGATTGCTGCTTACTAATGAATGAATGCTTACTGACTCGTCTCTCACCCACTGCACTGAACTGTGAGTCCCTGGGGACAGAGCAGCTGACTTACTCCTCCCTCTATCCCTACTACATCTTTCTTATTATCACTTGTTTCTTGAACAAATGACATGAAGGTAAAGAAAGCCTGAAAGAAGAAAGGAAGTCAAATGGGAAGTAGGAGAAAAGAAGGAACTAAAGCCATACTTGAGGAGAGCACCCAGCTTGTAAAGTGGCAGGCAGGGTGCACCCACATTTGATCAAACACCAAACCATTCCCAGGAGGGAAGATGTAGAAACCCATGTTCTCAACCCAACGCTCGTTCTAAAGGGAAGGACTCCACTGACTTCACTGGACCGAGGCCAGTGGGACACCAAAGTGTCCCCCTGCTCACTGAGGCTTGCATGCCCCACGGGTCGCAGCACTGTTGTGGAATGCCATTTAGTCTAGAAAGCTACTGTGCAGGCATGAAGATGTGATGCCACTCTGCTTTCTGGCTGAAGTTTAATGACTAACTTCCCTATCCACCAACAGCATACACCATTCCACCTTCAGGAAGTGCTGCTGTACTCATCAGTTATAAACCGCTCATTTTCGAATACAGAAATGCCTTTTTTAAGACTCTTGGCTATTTTGTAAGGCCACAGACAGCCCAGCCACGCTTCTCTTTCTCTGCCTCCTCCTGCCCAGCTCCCCTTCTCCTGACCCCATAACCTCAAGGCCTGCTGGCTCAGACTCATCCCACTACCCAGAATAATCCTGTCCTGAGAAGTGAAGTGCCTTGTAGACCTCAGCTCCTTTCTGGGATGACTATCTCCCATCCTGTTCCCTGAGTTGGTCCACACTCCATGAGGTGCCCGCACTCCGATATCTAACACACGTGGGGCTAGAATGGCCAGTATCATTCCTTTCCCGGGGGCTCTGCCTTGCTCCTGCCCAGTGACCTGGCTGGTGCCCCTGTTGTCTCTCTGGTGCTGGTTCCCCTCCCTGAGGGCTGGCATTGTGGTCCAGGCCCAAGCCAGGGGACAAATCTCTCTGCTGTTGCTGTTGGCAGCTCACCCGGCGTTGTCAATGTCACCAGCTGGAATTTTCCTTTAGGCTTTGCCAGAATAGTCCTTCCCCACCTGTGGGGTTAGGTCGCTAAAATATACTTGAATTTTAATACTTGAAGACCTTAAAACTTTACTGGAAAAATTGTGCTAGAAGACTGTGATTGGACTTGGACGTGTGAAAACCCACAGAGATGTTTTCAAGTTTACTGAAATAGAACAAGGAAACCAATAATCTAAATAAAGATGGTGGCAATGCCATTTCACACATCTTAAGAACTGATACACTAGCAACAATTTGTACTCTGCTATTAATTTCCACTTGAGGATGAAGACAGGATGGAGGCTCTCCTCCTGGGTTTCACTTTGATTTGATGCTGGTGATGGATGTCCCGAGGTACTTGTGTGTCTGGTCTTCCATCTGAATGTTCAATCACTGTAAAATTTTGTTTCAAAGTGGCGGGCTCCTGCCGCTGTCCTATGGATACAGAATAACTTAGGTGCTTGAGATAGAAAGATAAATACTTTAGGCCCTCTTTATTTAAACAGTAACTTACTGAACTAAGTAGGTATTTCCCAAGCCTTCCAGAATGCCCAGGGTTAGAAGGTTTAGCTCTGCCCAACACAATTTCTTCCAGAGACATCCCTTACAAAAGTGTAAATTGTCCCCTTATCCCACTCTAGCAGGCTGGTCCAAGGGCAAGGCTTATAAAAGAGAAAAAGATGTTTTTTGGGCCAGAGAGTAAAGGGGGCCTGCACCCTGCTTCTTGGCTGCCAGGAAGGAGGGAAGACAAGGAGACAGATGTATCTCAGTGGACTAAAACACACAGGTGGCCTTGAAGAAGATTCTCAGGCTGAATGCAGAGAACTCCTGGCCTGGGAGGGCTGGGCACAGCTGATGACTATGGCGCGGATGTGCAACAATCCTCCGCCCCCACACCGTGGCCTACCCAGAGAAGGCAGGAGAGCAACCTCAGGCAGCACTGAGGTTCAGGTCTTATTTTTATTTTTTTCAATATGCCAGAATGAGGGCTGAGAGTCAGAAATGAAGTTACTGCAAAAAATAAAGTTCTAATTTTTGCCCACCTGAATTTGGGATGAATTATAGCTGTTCCATACAACCCAAAGAAGAGATATTCAAGGCAAATGGGCACCCAGCCTAAAAAGGACAAAGGTTTCAAAGCTCCCTGGCTGCTCTCCTCAGCTGCCTCCTTTTGATCGGGAGCCCCTTGGACACCCTCGTTTCTGCGACCCAGGCAGTGAGGCTCTGCCCTTGGCTGCACATGAGACCCCAACTGGGAGCTTGAAATCCCCTCTCTGAGAGGTTCTGATTTAATTTGTGTGGGGTACAGTCTTAAAGATTTAAACATCTCCCCAGGTGACCGCCCTGTACAGCCAGACTGTGAACCCTGAGCTAGAAGAAAGGCCACCTGGGGGCTTCTGGCCTTGGCCAAGCAGCTCTCTTGAGACTCACTCTTCACTTTCTGCTCGTGTGCAGAAGGGATTCACGCATGTGACTTGCAGGGATGTGGACTGCTGGGTGTCAGGGAAGGGCATGGAGAGAGACTCAGTGACAAACCTGGCCCCGGATTCCAGCAGTGCTTGGTACCTCTGGCAGGTGAATGATGTCAGGAGTCCACAGAAACAGCCGAAGAGCTTTCCCTACCACCTCTGCCCCATCCCAGGCTTCCTGGCCTTCCTCTCTCCTGCTTACTATGGGATGTGGGTTGTTATGGTAATGGAGGAGGCTGGATAGAATGAGGACCACATTGCCTCCTTCCACACTGCAGTTGGCAACATCAGTTTTTCTGCAGTGAATGAATAAAAGTGGGAAAATGATGAAGTTTCTTACAGTGGCATTTGCTTTCATTATCTGACCCCAGGACCCTGGGGAAGCCACCTTAATAGTGGGGCAGGATTTAGGAGGGGAAAGGGAGAGGCCACATAAAGAGAACTTACAAGGTTAGGGGAGGGTTTCTGTAATTGCTTCTAAGTTCTTTTTGTTGACTATATGCCTAGAGTACGATAAGAGATTGTTAATCTTTGGACAATCTGGCCTTGACTACCTGGCGGAACTTTTTTTTTTTTTTTTTTTGAGAAG
Organism: Homo sapiens; assembly: GCF_000001405.40. Classification (NCBI taxonomy): domain Eukaryota; kingdom Metazoa; phylum Chordata; class Mammalia; order Primates; family Hominidae; genus Homo; species Homo sapiens. The sequence goes on along the minus strand of NC_000002.12, from coordinate 231,292,161 downwards.
GAGTTTCGCTCTGTCGCCCAGGCTGGAGTGCAATGGCGCAATCTCGGCTCACTACAACCTCCGCCTCCCAGGTTCAAGCGATTCTCCTGCCTCAGCCTCCTGAGTAGCTGGGACTACAGGCATGCGCCACCACGCCTGGCTAATTTTGCATTTTTAGTAGAGACGGGGTTTCACCATGTTGGTAAGGCTGGTCTCGAACTCCTGACCTCAAGTGATCTGCCTGCCTCGGCCTCTCAAAGTGCTGGGATTACAGGTGTGAACCACCACGCTCAGCCTACCTGGCTGAACTTTTGTCTATGGGTTCACTTGGGTCTCCCCACCTTCCTAAAGGCCTCTTTTTTTTTTTTGAGATGGAGTCTCGCTCTGTCACCTAGGCTGGAGTGCAGTGGTGCAATCTCGGCTCACTGCAACTTCTGCCTCCTGGGTTCAAGCGATTCTCCTGTCTCAGCCTCCTGAGTAGCTGGGACTACAGGCCAAGCCACCACACCTGGCTAATTTTTGTATTTTTAGTAGAGACAGCGTTTCACCATATTGGCCAGGCTGGTCTCGAACTCCTGACCTCGTGATCCACCCACCTCGGCCTCCCAAAGTGCTGGGATTATAAGCACGAGCCACCGTGCCCGGCTTCCTAAAGGCCTCTTGAATGAAATGCCATGTGTCTTTCTGGCAAATGTGAATAATTCAAAAGATAGATCAAAGATTCTTGCATCAAACTGACCGGAATTTAGCTGCTTGATGATGAATTCTATCTGGCGGATCATTTCAGCATTGCCTTCTTTGATGAAGCAGCGTAGGATGTCTTCCATTCCCTAGAAGTATTGGCGAAAGTAATAGTTAACATTTCAGTGTCTGGAGGGAAACTACTTTTCAATGAGGTCATCTCATCTAATCCAAAAAATAATGTTTTGGGGAGAGGAAGAGGATACCTTGGGTGGGGGACAGAGAAGAGGAGACAGATATGTTTAAGAGATAGATACAAAAATTCAACTCTCCCAGCAGGGCAGGGCCAAGGCAGTCATTGGTTGGTAACTATCTCTTTGGCAAGACAAACCTGGCCAAGTGTCCAACTGGTCCCACAAGGGCAGAAGGAAAAATCCTTGGCTTATACTAAACATTCATTTTATCCTTTTCATAATTCATAGTGAAATAATTTTCTTTTTATTGACTCTCTGGCTGAATTATAACACATTTAGCAAAAAAAAAAAAAAAAACTATTGTAAAATTTTACTGCACAATATTGCCTTAAGTTTTGGCAATATGTTGGTCTGGGAGCTAGTTTTTTTTTTCCTGTGTTTTCCCTAAATTTATAAACTGTCTTCTGGATTTTAGGGCCAAATATGATCATTGAGAAGTGAAACCATATGCTTAGAGAAGTAAATGAATAGAACCTCTCTTTAAACAGATTTCATTCCTTTTCTATTAAAAGAATTATAAAGTCACTACACTATACATTGTTTATTATAATACCCTGATGCCAGAATTTTCAATATTGGGTAAAAGAATTCCAGGGAAAAGTAGGGATAATATACTGACTTAAGCACACTGTCTAATTCCTTTCCCTCCTCTTCCCTGGCAGGATTTGAATGAGTCCATACAGCTTGAGCTGACGAGGCCTCTAACCACTGTGAGGGGAAAGTGCTTCTAATAATGATCTCAAAACAGAGGAAGTGGAGTCCAGAAGTACTGCCAGAGAAACGGATCTAGTGGCATGTAAGCCCCTGATCAAACTGTGCCTGAACATTTTCCTGGACTTTTCAGTTACATGAGCCAACAAGTTCTCTTTTTATGTAGGCCAGTTTGGAATCAATAGCTCTAACTGAATTAAAGAAATGCCAAGTGCAGCTTTGAACATGCTGAGTTCTTATCATCCAAAACAGAGCACTACCTTCTAGAAAAGTTAAATCAGTATTGTAATTGCAATTAGCTCCCCCATGAATTTAATGTGTGACCTCACTCAAATCACTCAACTTCATCTAGCCTGTTTCTTCAACTATAAACATGAGGATAACAATTTGAGTTGACTTGAAATTTTTAAAAGACAAAGTGTATAACTGGTTGTTGGTATGCAGATATACACATTCGTCAAGATGTACTAAACTCCCCCATGTAAGGCCTGTGCTTTTCACTGTTTGTAAATTATACCTGAAGAAATAGCCTCTAGTCCAATGGCTGGCACAGAGTGGATGCTTGATAAATGGTCAAGATTGTGCTTGCTGTGTCCAGTAGGGGTTCGTGGCTCAGGAGAGAGATCTGGTAGCTGAAGCAAAGGGAAGAAACAAGGTTCCCCAGTGATGGCAGTGAGAGAAGAGCAGAGGGTTAGGATAGAACCTTAGGGAACAGTAACACTGAGCTGGGAGGCAGAGATGGGTAAGCTCACAGAGGAGGAGGTGACAATCTGGAAGGGAGGAAGAACTCTGGAAAGTTGTCCATGAGTTGAGGGACCAGCAGTGCCCAGGCTCCTGCGGGACCAGTTGGACACCTGGCCAGGCTTGTCGTACCAGAGAGACAGTTACCAACCAATGACTGCCTTGGCCCTGCACTGCTGGGAGAGCTGAATTTTATATCTATCTCACAAATGTGTCTCTCCTCTCTTCTCCATCCCCCACTCAATGTAAGGGCCACAGGAAGGAGAAAGTTATCAAGCAAAAAGCAGTGTGATAAGCCCCTTTTAAAAATTTTTACTTATTTATTTTTTGAGATGGAGTCTTGCTCTATCACTCAGGCTGGAGTGCAGTGGCACGATCTCTGATCACTGCAACCTCCAACTCCAAGACTCAAGTGACTCTCCTACCTTAGCCTCCCAAGTAGCTGGGACTACAGGCATGTGCCACCATGCCTGACTAATTTTTGTATTTTTTGTAGAGATGGGGTTTCACCATGTCACCCAGGCTGGTCTCGAACTCCTGGGCTCAAGTAGTCTTCCTACCTCAGCCTCCCAAAGTGGTGGGATTACAGGTGTGAGTTGTGTGCCCAGCCAAAATATCATGTATTTTTAAAAAATCACATATATTAGGTAATATTTGATCTAAATTATAGAAAGAAGTCATAGAACAACCACATCTTATCCTGAAAGTAATAACTTGTCATTTCAGATAATTTAGGTCAGGTAACAATGTCCAGGAAGACAGAAGGATAATAAAAGGTCCTAGTGAATAATCCAGATGCATAAAAATGGGAATACAAGCAGTGTGCAAAAAGTAAATAAGGAACTCCTGCTCCTTCCAGCTAGCTATCATTAAAGACTACCATAAAGATAATCATAGAGAAGCCTGTGTTTGTATATATAGTGTTAAAGAAAACAATTTGTCATGTGCAGATGTCTGACTAGGTGAAAGTCCCAAGTCTGGAGTGATACTGCAGCACAGGTGCAGAGGGCTCTGGAGTCAAACCACGGTGCGTAGCCCCTCGCCGGCCGTGTGGCCCTGGGCAGAGGATTTCACCTTTCAGCCTTGATGTTGTCAGCAGCAAAATGGGCACAACCGCAGTCACTCCTTCAGGGGACCTTTGAGGGATTAAATGAGAGAAAGCATCTCTTCCAGAGCCTGACAACACGCACTGAACACTACACAGAACAACTAACTTCGAACTCACTTCTACTTTTACTCAACAACTGAACTCTCTAGCGCATTCTATCGTTCCAGCTTCACAGTCTAATCCTCTATCACTAAAGGTCTTCAAGGGAAATTTTCCCCTGAGAAATTCAAATATCTATTTCAGGTAGATATAAATATTTTCCTCTAGTTATGAAAGTGACACAAGTTCTGTATAGAAAACTTGCAAACAACATAAAAGAAAGAATAAAAATTACTCACAGGCCCCCCACCCAGAGATAATTGGGAACATTCTGAAGTATTTCCTTCCTTTTATGTACATTGTTTTACGTAACTCAGAATATACTGATAATATGTTGCTTCTTATTTAACTTTATGATCATTTTCATGTTCAATAAAAATCTTATAAACTACATTTTCATAGCTATAATAATAATAATAGCAGCTAACATCTCAATGCTTACTGCACGCTAGGCAATCTTCTAAATATATTATGAGCTCCTTCAATGCTTTCAATCCTATGAGTTTGGTACTGCAATAATCCTCATCTTACAGATGGAAAAACGATCACACTGAGAGCTTCAGTTGTCACTAGCCAACTAGGAAGTGGTGGAACACGATTCGAAGCCAGCCTCAGGCTCAGGAGTACCCACTCTCAACTACTCTACCTTCCGGCCTCTGTTCTTAGTCACTCCCTCATGTTAGGTCTTGTCATTGTTTCCTGTCTTCTGCTATGATCAATAAAGCTGGAATGAACATTCTGATACATACATCTTTGCTCATGTCTTGTGTGGAGCTTCAGAAGTAGAATTATGGGGCCAAGAATATGAAAAATTTCTACACTAATTTTGAAAGGCCCATACTTAGGCCAGGCGTGGTGACTCATGTCTGTAATCTCATGATTACATGACATGATTACATGACATGATTGCATGACATGAGATTACATGACATGTAATCATGAGATTGGGAGGCTGAGGCAGGAGAATCGCTTGAGCCTAGGAGTTCGAGACCAGCCTGGTGACATAGTGAGACCCCGTCGAAAGGAAGGAGAGCAAAGCAAAGCAAAGCAAAGCAAAGCCCATACCTAGTGAGCATCACGGAATACAGTGACTAGGCTGACCACCTGTAATGGACAACTGTGACACCTGTGGCTGATGAATGCCTTATAACCAGGTTCTCTACACTGTTAATTTCCCAAGGCAACAGACAGAATACTCACATTCCAAGCCTCCCTTGCAGCTAGGGTGCAGGCACACCACCTAGATTCTGCCAAGCAAATGACTTTGATTCAGAAGTGGGCAATGTGGAGGATCAGGTGCGTGGGGAATACACATCATTCTGTTGGGTGGGGAGCAGCAGCACCCAGCCCTCTGGAGAGAGCGGAGGCAGTTTCTGGCATCATGGGCCTGTGCTGTGGGCCCCAGGGTCACTGGAGCAGAGCAGCCCCATGGTGTGCTTGGACATTCCTCTGGGCTGAGTGGCTTCTAAGCCCAGCTCCCTGGCCTTCCCAGATTCTGGGAGCTTTTATAACCTGCAGAGCCTCTGATCGGCTCCAGCCCTGGGCAGGATGTTTGTTGGGGTCCCCAGGGCAGAGGCCCATGGCTGACTATGACTCCAGCCCTAGTCGCAGGAGGCCTGGGGAGTGGGTATTAGGGCAGCTCCACTTATCTGATCTCTTCTCCAGCCCCAGGCCTTGGCAGGCTCTTAAAGTTCAAATGGGCCTCAGGGGATTCATTTATTTTGTTCTCCTTTTTCCCTTTAGGTATTCTTGTAAGATTACTATAATAGCATTTGGTACTAATGTAATTTTTATGTATATTGTGTCATTTTCCATGAGCACATACATTCTTAGATACTGTGCTTTTATCTCTCATTATACAGTAAAATAAATTTTTCCATACTGCTTCGTACTGCTTTTCCTAATTATCATCTTCAATAGATATTAATATTTTGAGCAAAAGAATCATAATTTCATTAGCAATTCCTGTATTACTAGATATTTATGTTGCTTCCAGCTTTTCCCTCATAAAAATGTTGAAATGAGCATTGTCATGCATAGAGCTCTTCTTCTGTGCATCAACAACCAGAAGAAAATGAATGAGTCCAAAAGATAGATCCTTTAGTGATTTTTCATGTAACTGCCAAACTGCTTTCCAGAAGGACTGTGCTGACACACATACAAATACCAGCAGGCACCGGGCGCGGTGGCTCACGCCTGTAATCCCAGCACTTTGGGAGGCTGAGGTGGGTGGATCACCTGAGGTAGAAGTTTGAGACCAGCCTGGCCAACACGGTGAAACCCCGTCTCTACTAAAAATACAAACATTAGCCGGGCATGGTGGTGGGCACCTGTAATCCCAGCTACTCTGGAGGCTGAGGTAGGAGAATTGCTTGAACTCGGGAGGCGGAGGTTACAGTAAGCCGAGATCCCACCACTGCACTCCAGCCTGGGCGACAGAGCAAGACGCTGTCTCAAAAAAATAAACAAATAAAAACCAAATACCAGCAGGGCTGAGGACATCAATTCTGCCTCCACTTCCCTAGCACCGTGCACGATCAGATGTCAAGGTGGAGGAATTGTGGGAAACGTTTTCCTTGTTGTCTTATTTCCTTCATTATTCAGCATTTCTAGCCTCCCTTTCAGCTAGGGTGCAGGCATACAACCTAAACTCTGCCAAGCAAATGCACCCATGTGAGACCTACATGCAAAGAGAATATAATGGCTTTATCAATCTAAAAACTTCCTCAAGGATAAACACGAAAGGAGGGAAATCTCAGGGTTTTAGAAAAACCTTATTGTGGGCATGATCATCCCTTAGAGGTCACTCTCACAAATAATTAAGTAGGCAACTGCCTAGCTGATGCGTTCTCAGGCTAAAAGGGGGTTCCTCCCTGGCTTATATCTTTAATCTCTGTTAAATGCCAGAGGGAAGCTTATTCTACTTACGTCTTTTTTTTTTTTGAGACGGAGTCTCACCCTGTTGCACAGGGTGGAGTCCAGTGGCATGATCTCAGCTCACTACAACCTCTGTCTCCTGGGTTCAAGCGATTCTCCTGCCTCAGCCTCCCGAGTAGCTGGGATTATCGGCGCCCACCACCACACCTGGCTAATTATTGTATTTTTAGTAGAGACAGGGTTTCTCCATGTTGGCCAGGCTGGTCTCGAACTCCTGACCTCAGGTGATCCACCCACCTCAGCCTCCCAAAGTGCTAGGATTACAGGCATGAGCCACCGTGCCCCATCATCTACTTACATCTTTATGTAAGTAATCCACATTTCCTTTTCAAAGTCCAAAACTCACAGCCTATCTAGAAACCTATGTAGAAGCCATTAAGGAAAATATTAACAGATCTGGCTATCATTAAAGCTGATGTTTGACCAAGACCGCTATAATTTTTTTTTTCCTTTTGAGACAGAGTCTTGCTCTGTTACCCAGGCTGGAGTGCAATGGCATGATCTTGGCTCACTGCAACCTCTGCCTCCTGGGTTCAAGTAATTTTCCTGCCTCAGCCTCCTGAGTAGCTGGAATTACAGGCACGTGCCACCACACGCGGCTAATTTTTGTATTTTTAGTAGAGACGGGGTTTCACCAAGTTGGCCAGGCTGGTCTCAAACTCCTGACCTCGTGATCTGCCCACATCGGCTTCCAACAGTGCTGAGATTACAGGCGTGAGCCACCGCTTCTGGCTAACTACCATAATTTAAAAAGACAAACCAAAATTGAGAAAATATTTGTAATATTTTTCAAAAGAATAGCCCCTCACTTCTCTTGTGCTTTTTTCTTTGACCCACAGTTACTTAGGAGTGTGTGGCAGCCAGCCCCAAGGTGGCCCCAGTGATTCCACCTCCTGGTAGTCACATCCTTGGTTCCATCCCCTCCACACTGTACCAGGGTGGGTCTGTGTAACCAAGACAATAAATGCGATGGTATCTCATTTCTGAGAGTAGGTTTTTCTAAAAGACACTGGGGCTTCTGTCTTGCTTACTTTCTCTCTCAAATCATTCATTCTAGGGGAAGCCAACTGCCATGTCAAGAGAAGCCTTATGGAGAGGCCCAAGGGGGAAGAAAATGAGGTCCCCAGTCAATAGCCAGAAGAAAACTGAGGCCTCCTGCTGACAGCCAGGTGAGTGAGCTTGGAAGCAGAGGCTGAAGTCTCAACTATAAACTGAGCAACTCTTAGTTAGGACTACGCTGCTATTGCTCTTGAATGTTTGTCCCACAGAAACAGTCATTGGTAGCTTAGTGATAGGGATATGTTCTGAGAAATGTGTTGTGAGATGATGTCATTATTGTATAAATATCATAGAGTAAGTGACAAACCTAGATGGTGTAGCCTACTACACACCTAGGCTATATGGCATAGCTAATAAGATCCTAGTGTACAAACCTGTTCAGCACGTGACTGTGTTGAATACTGTAGGCAACTGTAACAAGGTGGTATTTGTGTATCTAAGCATCTCTAAACATAGGTAAGGTACAGTAAAAATGGGGTATTATAATCTTATTGGACCATTATCACATATGCAGTCTTTTGTTGACCAAAATGTTGTTACATGGGACATGACTGTAATTTAAAAATTCAATGGCCAGGCTCAGCGGCTCATGCATGTAATCCCTGCATGGAGGCCAAGATGGGAGGATCACGTGAGCCTAGTAGTTTGAGACCAGCTTGGGCAACATGGTAAGACCCTGTCTCTTAAAAAAAATTAGCTAGGTGTGATGGCGCACACCTATAGTCCCAGCTACTGGATAAGCTGAGGCAGGAGGATGGCTTGAGCCTAGGAGATGGAGGCTGCAGTGTGCACTACTATCAGGCCACTGCACTCCAGCCTGGGCAAAAGAGCAAGACCCTGTCTCAAAAACTAAAACAAAAATTGGCTGGGCATGGTGGCTCACATCTGTAATCTCGGCGCTTTGGGAGGCTGAGGCAGGTGGATCACTTGAGGTTAGGAGCTTGAGACCAGCCTGGCCAAGATGGTGAAACCCCATCTCTACTAAAAATACAAAAATCAGCTAGGTGTGGTGGTGCACACCTGTAGTTCCAGCTACTTGGGAGGCTGAGACAGGAGAATCGCCTGAACCCAGGAGGCAGAGGTTGCAGTGAGTCAAGATGGTGCCACTGTACTCCAGTCTGGGTGACAGAGCCAGACTCTGTCTCAAAAACAAAAACAAAAACTTGTTTAAGCCACTAAGCTTTGGGGTAAATTGTTATGCAGTAATAGATAACTAATACCAGTGTGCTGTTTATTTTCCAAACATTTAGGGGTTTCCTAGACACCTTACTGTTACGTTTGTATTTTTCACCATGTCTTCATTATTTATTCAATCATTTTTCCGCCCCATTTGCTCACATTCGTCTCCTTCTGGAACTCCTATTGGGTATCTGTCAGACCTGATGTTGTCACATAGGTTTCGGAAGTTGTCCCTCTCTTCCGTCTTTTTTCTCCCTGCTCTGGGATCTCTAAGGGCAGTCCTGCTCTCACAACCTGCAACTGTGACTCTTCCTCACATGGCCCCATCCTCAGCTTCACTCCCCACCCCCTCCATCCCTTTGCCCTGGTGCCTTTCCTCCATGCTGCATCTCACACTTTGACTGAATGTTACCTCCATTCTTTCTCTTCAGCCTACATGTTTTTTCCTCTTCTTTGCCTTGGTTGACAACCCCTTTCTTTCACCTAAATGACCATAACGCAGAATTTAAGCAAGTTTATTTTCCCCTGTTCTGTAGTGAAATTTAAAAGCAGTAGGCAATTAAGGTCCACTGTTTAGTGTGATCACATAGAATGGTTCTTAAATAAGTTTGGTCTCTGGTGTAACTGTTGATGTAATTTTAAATGATCAATGAGAAGATTTAGCAATTCTTTAAGTAAGCAAAACCAATTAGAAGAATGTTTTGTTGGTCTCAATGAGAATTTTGCCTGTGTTTTGAAGGTGGAAATATATTTAATCCTTTCACCACAGCATTTAATACACTGTTAATCTGGTTTCACATGGTAGAAAGAAAAAAGACAAAACTCTAGTTGTTTTCCTGATTAGATCTAGAAACACTTGTCCTTTCAAAATAATATACTAATCACCTGAGGTTTGCTTTTTACTTCACATACAAGCGTTAACGTACACATTAAACACTGAGTTTACTATTTACCAACCAAACCAAGTCCTAGACAGTTTTATAATCTTTTCCATTTGGTTGCCATCAGAATGTCTATAACTTTGCAAAAGTCAGCCTGCTGGGAACTTTCTAACACTTTAATTTTTAACCATTTAGGAGTTAGGGATCCCCTTGAGGATCTGATAAAAGCTACAGACTCTCTCCCCAGGAAATGGCAAATATACATTTTACATACAATTTCAAGGAGTTTGGAACGGATCTGAGCCTTTCTATGGAGCCCAATCAAGGAGGTCTTGCTCTAAAAGCTCTGAACTGTGGCACTAAAGGAAGCTCACATGTTTCTCAGGCACGCTTTCTTACCATTGCTCTTGCTTCCTCACGAATGGATGGAACAGAAAGGATGCTGTACAGAGCTCCATTCACATACGGCTGTATCTTTAAGGGGAGGAAAAAAACCAGTTATTTGCAAGTTTTCAAATACTGCACAACTCTATATCAAACACCACACCTCAGAACAATCTGGCAAATGGGGAGAGTGGGTGTTCCCGTCCTCGCAGCTCTCCTGTGCTCCAGGATGTATGTTTCCAAGTGACAGACATCTCCATCTGCATGCCCAGGTGACAGCTACCACTGAGTCTAAAACCAAATTCGTCACTCCCTCCCAAAGCTTACTCCTGCGCATTTCATTGCTTAATTAAAGTTACCTTTAACTTCCTAATCACTCAGGCTAGAAACTCTGGAGTCATCGTTGATTTTGTTGTTGTTGTTGTTCAGTCTCCAATACTGTCTTCAAGCCTCTTCGATAGGAACCCCTCTTTTTCCATATCCACTGCTACTGTCCTTGTTCAGACATCATCGTCCATGAACCAGGCTACATCAAATCTCCAAACCAGTCTCTCTACCCTCAATATTCACCCTTTAATGTAACCATCGATCACTACCAACATTCTATAGCGTGGGCCAAATCATCCCTCTCTCCATCTCCGAAACCTTCCATAGAGCCCAGTTGGAAAGGTGGAACTCCTTGGTGTGGCACACAGGATCTTCAAGGGGTGGCCTCTATCTCATGACCTCTGCTTCTTCCTCCCTGCCACCACAAAGTGTCCATACTACCTAAGGGATGCCCCCCACCAGGCTGTTCCATGTCTCAGCCAGGTTCTGGCAGTTCACCTTGCCAGGAATGGTCTTCACACATACAATGAACCTTGAAAACTAAGCCCAGACATGTCTCCTGGGAAGGCTCTCCTGAACCCACCCCCGCCCCACTGCCCCCATACAGGCCACTCACTTCCGCTTCTTGTACATCCCTCCACTACAGCACTGGAGGCAGTATCCTTTTAAATTCACACTATGTCCCCTTTATTATGAGCTTTTTGAAGACAGGACCCATGTTTTACTTGCACACATGGGACATGGAGCATGGCAGGTGCTGATAAGCAAGTTCCCTTTTCAGCAGGCTGTACGCTGTGCCTGCCACAGCAATGGAGGAGGGCTCGTTTCCCACCGCCCTCCTTCGGCACTGGACTTCATTAGCACTTTCAATGCTTGCCAAGCTGATGGGTAAAAAAAGGCATCCTACGGTTGTTTTTATTTTCAGTTCCCGATTGAACTAGCACGACTGAACATCTTTTCATGTTTCTGGGGCAGCACGATTCTGTGAACTGTCTAGTCATATCCTTTATCCTTCTTTTCGATTGGATTGCTTGACTTTTACTTACCAATTTATACCAGCTCTTCATCTATTAGGAATATTAAACTTTTGTCACATGTGATGCAACTTTTCCTCGGGGTTTCATTCATCTTTTGACTTTGATTATGGCATCTTTTTCCAATCAAAAAATGTAATGTTCATATAGTCAGTTATGTGCATCTTTTTCTTTATTTTGGTTTTGTCTTTCAAGATCATGACTACTACAGTGTAGCAAACATATTACTTGGCTCTAAAGTATATATGTATGTATGTATGTATATATGTATATATATATGTCATTTTTCAAGCTCATTTTCTTTTTCTTACTTTATTTATTTATTTTTTTGAGACAGAGTCTCGCTCTGTCACCCATGCTGGAGTGCAACGGCACAATCTCAGCTCACTACAACCTCCACCTCCCAGGTTCAAGTGATTCTCATGCCTCAGCCTCCTGAGTAGCTAGGATTACAGGCACAAGCCACCATGCCTGGCTAATTTTTGTATTTTCAGTGGGAGAGAAGGGGTTTCACCATGTTGGCCAGGCTGGTCTCGAACTCCTGACTTCAAGTGATCCTCCTGCCTCGGTCTCCCAAAATTGCTGGGATTACAGGCGTAAGCCACCGTGCCCGGCCCATCCAGCTCATTTTCAAAGCCAATGCATTGGTAGCAGGTAATGATATGATGAATCCTTTGGTCTATTAAGTTTTCAGAGCAGACATATTGGTTCCAGTACTTGAAACCAACCTTTATTATGAGATGGAAGAATATGTTTCCCACTGGTTTCACCTGCCTGAGTTGAATAAAGTGAGGAACAGAGTTCATTCAGGCCTGGAAGTAGTTCAGAGCTCACTAGCTTTAAAATATAAAATGAATGTCACAAAGACACCAAACATCCACTTGCTAAAGAAGTCACACCAATCAGTGGATAGGGCTGGTGTAAAATGTGAATGGAATGACCAGAATGGGAGCTGTCTGCTTGAAATGGGAACAGACGGGCCAGGCATGGTGGCTCAGGCTTGTAATCCCAGCATTTTGGGAGGCCGAGGTGGGTGAATCACAAGGTCAGGAGTTCAAGACCAGCCTGGCCAACATGGTGAAACACCGTCTCTACTAAAAATACAAAAAATTAGCCAGACGTAGTGGCGGGCACCTGTAATCCCAGCTACTTGGGAGGCTGAGGCAGGAGAATCGCTTGAACCCGGGAGGTGGAGGTTGCAGTGAGCCAAGATCACACCACTGCACTCCAGCCTGGATGATAGAGTGAGACTCTGTCTCAAAAAAAAAAAAAAAAAGAAAAAAGAAAAAAAAGAAAAGAAAGAAAGAAATGGGAACAGATGTGTGGAAACCAAGTGGTACTCAATCGTATCCTGCTCAGATATACCCCTGGGTCTCATCTGTCTAAAGTGGTTAGATTTTTGTTGAAGCTTTGCCGTGGTTTCTGCAATGGCACTTGTAGAAGGCAAGTGAGAGAATAATCATATTTGATTATTTGTTTTTGTTAATTTGTTTACCCATACATACCTCTACTTTATTTAAAAAGTGCTTGGGGCCCATAGGTTAAAAACTTAGAAAATAACACCAGGTGTTGGGGCAACACTGGTGAGAGCAAACGCTAGTATAGCCATTCTGGAGGACAATTTGGCAGGACTCAGTGACCTGAAACTGATGTATGCTGGCAGCCAGTAGTGATGAGTGTCTACACATCCCTGGAAGCTCTGGCACAGGCTCCCATGGGGCAGGTGCAGCCATGCCCACTGAGGACTGCTGTGGCAACAGAGAGTGGATGGCACTCGAAGTGTACAGGCTGGATAAGTAAAATGTCAGGGGCACAAACAAGGGGCTATTTTGCAGTAGTGACACTTAATGAACTAGACATATGTAAAGCAACATAGAAAGGTCCTAAAAACACAAGGGAAAAGCCATAAACAGAATGAGACTTAAAGGGCAATCTATTTCTGTAAATTCAATACACACATACACAGTATCATATCTCTTTTAAGGCTCCATCCACATCCACAGAGATACATTAAACATACCAAGGGAATGGCATGTGGGGGAGGAATGTTGGGGGCTAGATGATGAGAAACAGCAATGCCGGAGGGGCCCGGCACAGGCCAGTGGGCCAAGCAGACAGGGACGGAAAGAACATCCTGCTTCTGACTTCCAAAATTCTAAAAATTATAAAAGATTTCCAGTTGCTTATGAAAATCCCAGAAGGACAGAGAACATGTACAGTTTTCAAATACAGCAACCATCCTGGGCCAGCTGTGTGCCTGTGGGGTCACAGGCATTGGGTCCCCAGTGTAGCCTCCCCGAGCCCAGGGCCAGCAGTGCTGAATGAGTACCTCATGGTTTTCATGGCCAAGAAGATCCGAAAGGACTTTGAGCACGAGGCCTGCCACCTTGGCACACATGTTCTTCCCTATGGGAAACAAATCAAAGCTAAACATGACATGTCTAAACCCAGAAGCACAATTTTAGGTCAGGTAGACTTGGAGACAAATCTTGGCTCCTCTGCTCATGAGCTGTATGACCTCGGGTGAGCTGTATGACCTCGGGTGAGTCATGTAACCAATCTGGGCCTCAGTTTCCTCTTCTTTACTACAGGGATTACTATTCATACCTACCTCAAAAGGTGATGCAAAATTAAGTAGACTAATGTATGTAAAGGACTCAGTGTAGCATAGAACCTCGGTGCTCAGTAAACCATCCCAAGTGGTGGCTATTACTCCGGTCAGAGCACAGAGCGAGTCATTACAGTGAAAGCACAATACATTATAGAGCAACGTTCTCCCTCCCACGCACGGACACCACCATCAGGAAGACCATATAGGCATTTTAGTAGTTATAAACATCATCATAAAAATCACTGCAAATATGGTGATGATGATGAAGAAAAGCTAATTCTAATCTGATAAACATATTAGAAGTTAGGACTTTTGGCTGGGTGCGGTGCTTTACGCCTGTAATCCCAGCACTTTGGGAGGGCGAAGTGGGTGGATCACTTGAAGTTAGGAGTTCAAGATCAGCCTTGCCAACATGGTAAAACCCCCTCCCTACTAAAAATACAAAAATTCGCCAGGTGTGGTGGTGGGCACCTGTAATCCCAGCTACTCGGGAGGCTGAGGCAGGAGAATCGCTTGAACCCGGGAGGCAGAGGTTGCACCACTGAGCCAAGATCATGCCACTGCCTCTAGCCTGGGCAATGGAGCGTGACTTCATCTCAAAAAAAAAAAAAAAAGGCTAGGACTTTTTGCATGCTATTTTTTTAAATGACTGAAATAACAGTCATTTACTCAGTCAACAACACACAGTTACATGGTTCAGTCTACAAAGTATATAGAGGGGAAGATGCTCCAACAAGTCCTCCTGAGCCAGCTGTTTACCCAGGGAGCCTTTCTCTCCTAACACTGGATGCTCAGGCTGGGGAAAGCCACAGCCTGGAGGTGGCACCTCTTCTAAAGAAGCTTCTTTCATCCCAGGTAACAATTTAAATGAGATAGTACCTGTACCTGGAAAAGCTCAAATCACTACCTTCAGCGATCAAGTATATAAATGACTGATCAAGTATATAAATGACTTGTGCCCACAGGAGAACCTCCACCTCCAGGGCTGGGGCAGGGAAAAGAGTGTGATTCAGGGCAGGAAGTGTGGTTTAGTGTCACTGCTACTGCGGCCAGCTTAATCCTATAGTATCTTGGGAACACACTTCTTTGTCTTCAGAAAAGGGGATCATATTCTTAATTTCCTACCTCTGAATAATGCAATAAAGAAAAAGGTAAATGAACTTAGTCTCCTCTTAATGCAGGCACTACATATATACAAGACATTTTTTCCAGGGCAAGAATGGATTTTGCCTTCAGGGATTCAACAGCTTGATACCTAGTTGGAAATGCTTTCTACTCCTTTTTCTGTTTTTAGTTTTCTATGAGACTAAAAGCAAACCATATCAGGCTCACTAGAAACCCAGCTTCAAGAGTCAAGATCTCTTCCCCTTCTTGCACTAGAATGAGGGTCGGGGCTGAGACCTGTGCTGCGGAGGCAGAGGTTCATGAGCAAAGCCACCGAGTACTCCAGCGTGTAGTCAGACAGGCAGTCAGGGTCCTTCAGAACATCAACCAGCCAGAAGATGAGGCCGTCTTGAATCATCGCTGTCTGCAGCGGGCGCCTGGGAAGAAAGAGCCTACGGTAAATACAAACTGCCAAGAAACTTTTCATATAAGAGGAAACAGTAGGCTGGAAGCAGTGGCTCATGCCTGTAATCCCAGCACTTTGGGAGGCCAAGGCGGACGGATCACCTGAGGTCAGGAGTTGGAGACAAGCCTGGCCAACATGGTGAAACCCCGTCTCTACTAAAAATACAAAAATTAGCCAGGCGTGGTGACGGCGCCTGTAATCCCAGCTACTTGGGAGGCTGAGGCACGAGAATTGCTTGAACCCGGGAGGCAGAGGTTGCAGTGAGCCGAGATCGTACCACTGCACTCCAGCCTGGGCGATGGAGCAAGACTCTGTCTCAAAAAAAAAAAAAAGAAGAAACAGTAATGTGAATGCATATCAGAAAAGACAAACTTACAGAAGACATAGACTCTGAGGAATATTTTTGTTAAACCCATACAATTGAAATAACAAAAATTCTTTACATTTCAGGGATATTTATTAAGGGTTTAAATAAAGATAAGGTGGTAAGGAGGCCTCCTACTTTGAAAGTTTCCTTTTCAATATTTAAAATTAGCAGAGCATTGCTTCAAATATCTAATAAATATTTATTTGTAGCTTTTGGTTTACTTAACCCAGGAAACAGGACCATAGAAATACTTCTTTGACAAATAGGTTTTTTGTTTTTTTTTCCTGAGACGGAGTTTTGCTCTTATTGCCCAGGCTGGAGTGCAATGGCACGATCTCGGCTCACCGCAACCTCCGCCTCCTGGGTTCAAGTGATTCTCTTGCCTCAGCCTCCCAAGTAGCTGGGATTACAGGCATGCGCCACCACACCCAGCTAATTTTGTATTTTTAGTAGAGCTAGGGTTTCTTCATGTTGGCCAGGCTGGTCTCGAACTCCCAACCTCAGCTGATCTGCCTGCCTCAACCTTCCAAAGTGCTGGGATTACAGGCGTGAGCCACCGTGCCCAGCTGACAAATAGATTTTTACCTAAACGCTCTATAATCCAGCTCTAGGCACTCTGAGCTGTATAAAAATAAAGAAAACAAGGAGGAGCAAAAGCCTAGCTTAACATCACTTTGATTCACATTTCTATAGAGTAAGGGTAGTTTAATGACCTGGTTAATGCAAATTATAAGGAATGATTTTCCACCCAAAGTCCAGGTGTAGAATCTTACAAAATCCAATACCCCATCAAAATGTGTGATGGTGAATGTCATCAGGTTAGCTTTAAGAATTGCTGAGACTAAGTGTGGTATCATTATGAGATGCCATCTGGATTAGTAGAAAACTGACATGCCACAGAGAAGCCAGCTCTGCACATCTCCGGATGCGCAGGTTATGGTGAAACCACCACTCAGGACAGAACAGCAGAACCAGTTATCCGTTCATCCTGTTCTTAAACACTACACTGACCCAATCAGGGTGGCTTATTAGAATACAGTGAAGACTGCGCTCTCTTGGTAACTAGCTACCTTCTTCATTTATTGCAGAGACTCTGGAAAACTGCAAAAAGGTTAAGCACATTTACAGAACAAAAAAGCTTAAATTAACACTTAGAGGAAAAGATAAACAGGCAGTAAACATTTGCATTACCAGGAGGAAGTATTTTTTTCACCATATCTTGTATCTGTTACTTAACTATAGTTATTGAATTTCTAAAAACTTCCCCAAAGCGATCAACATGGAGCAAAGTTCTCTCTATAAACAAAAAGAAATGAAGTGTTTGTATGCTCTGAGGAAGTAATGACTCTGCAGCACTTACAGTTCTTTTCGATTCATATAGTTAGAACAAAGAATTTTCATTGGCAGGGAGCTGGCAAATGGTAGATACAAATACCTATCCCTTCCCCCACTAAAAACACACATGCTTAGACCATTTCACTTTGTAGGCTTCTGGTTATTTGTGAGTCAGTCAAATGTAAACCACATTTGATGGGAAGAAAGTGTGTTCAGAAGAGGACCGACAGAAAAAAGTTGAAGACTCCAGGGACTAGAGTTCTCAAGAAAGTCAAAGAGAACTTGAGGTGATCATGAGAGAATAAAAACTCTGAAAAAATTACCATATGTCCCAACAGTTCCTCTCCTAGATGCCGATCCACGAGAAAAAGAAACATATGTCCACACGAAGACTTGTGCTGAAGCATTCATGGCAGCATTATGCATATTGGCCAAAAATGCAAACAACTCAAATGCCAATCAACTGAAGGACAAACAAAATGTGGTGTAGGCCGGGCGCGGTGGCTCACACCTGTAATCCCAGCACTTTGGGAGGCCGAGGCGGGTGGATCACAAGGTTAGGAGTTCGAGACCAGACTCACCAGCATGGTGAAACCCCATCTCTACTAAAAATACAAAAATTAGCCGGGTGTGGTGGTGTGCGCCTGTAATCCCAGCTACCCAGGAGTTTGAGGCAGGAGAATTGGTTGAACCCGGGAGGCGGAGGTTGCAGTGAGCCAAGATTGCGCCACTGCACTCCAGTCTGGGTGACAGAGTGAGACTCCATCTCAAAAACAAACAAACAATATGATGTAGCCATAATGGAGTACATATTCAGCCACAAAAGGAATGAGGCCCTGACACATGCTGCTACATGGACAAACCTTGCAAACGCGATGCTAAGTGAGAGAAGCCAGTCACAAAAGAGTGCACACTACATGATTCCATTTATATGAAACGTCCAGTACAAGTCAATCGACAGAAAGCAGATTTGTGGCTACCGGGGACTGGGGGTAGGAATGAGGAGTGACTGTAAATGGGTATGAGGTTTCTTTTTGTGGTGATGGAAATGTGCTAAACCTGGATTGTGGTGATGACTGCACAACTCTGTAAATACACTAAAAATCCTTCAATTGTATGCTTAATATGGGGGAATATTATGGTGTGTAAATACATCTCAACAAAACTGTAAACTAAAAAGGAACCTACGGGGCCGGGTGCGGTGACTCACGCCTGTAATTCCAGCACTTTGGGGGGCTGAGGTGGGCGGATCACCTGAGGTCAGGAGTTCGAGACCAGACTGGCCAACATGGTAAAATCCTGTCTCTACTAGAAATACAGAAATTAGCCTGGCCCCATTGGTTCCAAGTCATGACGGTCTAGGCTGATCCCATGGGGTGGGCTGCTGGGATCATGGACAAGGTCAGGAGGCCCTAACCCTGACTTCCACAGAACTGCCCTTGACACTCTGCTGGGATGTGCATTCATGTGTGCAGCTCCCACAGGGGACTGGAAGTAACTTGAGGGCTGAGGCTCTATCAGGTCTGATTCATGTGTCTGTCTCTAAGCCCTGCACATGCCCTGAGACACAATCCTGCATGGCTGGCACTCGATAATGTCCATTAGGAAAATCCAATGATGCTTTGAAAATGTCTTCCTCCATCCCCAGCAGCCTTGCGCAGGATAGTTTAGTGGATTACAGATAAGCTTTCTAGCTCTGTCTTAGAAAGTCATCCAACCTCTCCAAAGTGTAGTGGAAAAATACCATCTGCCTCCTGGGTTGCCATGGGAATTTTAACTCAATCTGATCTCACAGGAGACACCGTGACCTATTGCACAGTCGTTACCTGAGACTGAACTTCTGCAGGGCCCCAAGAACATTCTCCCTGGTGATGATATCCTTGTCCTCCTCCTTCAGCCTTCCCTCCAGCATCTGCAGCACCTTTGTGTTCTGGGCAAGGTAGAGGCGACCTGATAATACACCAGAGATGAAACAGGTGAAAGACAGAAATAATTTATCTGGTATGCTACAAAACCACTTTCCACGAAAACTTACTTTGCATATAACACAGTAGAGTTTGGGTAATTTTATGTTCTAAAAAACTTACTGGGCAGGGCGCGGTGGCTCACGCCTGTAATCCTAGCAGTTTGGGAAGCCAAGGCAGGCAGATCACCTGAGGCCAGGAGTTTGAGACCAGCCTGGCCAACATGGTGAAACCCCGTCTCTATTAAAAATACAAAAATTAGCTGGGTGTGGTGGCAGATGCCTGTAATCCCAGCTACTCGGGAGGCTGAGGCAGGAGAATTGCTAGACCCCAGGAGGCAGGTTGCAGTGAGCCTGAGATCGTGCCACCACACTCTAGCCTGAATGACGGAGCGAGACTCCATCTCAAAACAAACAAACAAACAAACAAACAAACAAACACTTACTGGTTGTGCAAGGTGGCTCACGCCTGTAACCCTAGCACTTTGGGAGGCTGAGGCAGGTAGACTGTTTGAGCCGAGGCGTTGGAGACCAGCCTGGGCAACAGGGCGTAACCTCATCTCTATAAAAACTAAGGAACATTAGCCAGGTATGATGATGCACACCTGTTGATCCCGCTAATTGGGGGGCTGAGGCGCGAGGAGTATTCCTTGAGCCCAGGTGGTTGAGGCTACAGTGAGCCGAGATCATGCCACTGTACTCCAGTCTGGTTGACAAAGTGAGACTCTCTCAAAAAAAAAAAAAAAAAAAAAAACCAAACACACACACACACACAAAACCCCCACAAAACTTATTAAAACTTATTAAAAGATATTTCTTCTAAACGTTAAACGTTGGTTTTATTCAATGAAATATCTGGTGACTAGAAAAACCACTCTTCTTGTGAGCTAAACATAATTCATTGCTGTGTTCTTGTGGGGAGCATTGTCCTTTTTTTTCCATGAAATCCTGAACCCAACAGTCAGATCTACAAAGAGAAATGAGGGGTAATGTGTGTGTTATGAGCCCTTAAGTCTTCACAACAGAGGCAGCCAAGGAATGCTTCCATACACACTCTCTGTACAAGGCCTGGAGAAGAAGCAGGAAGCCACACCTGGGACCCTGTAATAAGCCCAGAATGGTCCCTAGCCTGTTGTGGACTTCTGAATGGATATGGAAGATGTTAATTTCAGACATAAGTTTCAACAGTATTATTATATGAATGGTCCTCAGTAACACATCCTGGCTTATCATAAATGTCTGCCAAATGGATGGAAGAACGAATGAACAAATGAACAAAGTTTTGGAGTATCATATATTCATAATTTGAAAACTCCCTTTATTCACATTATAAAGAGCTCAAATAAATAAGAACTTACGGAAGATAATGGCACTTTGCAAAATCATTTTAAATTCAGTTATGGGGGCATGTTATTTTCAGAGTTTTCAAATCCTTTGATTTAAGAGGTCATAGTCTTCTGAAGGAAATGGTGCAGTGTTTATTGGAGTCTGCTTTGTTTCGCTAAGCTTATTTTGCCGTAATTGTTTCACTTATTTTGCCTTAAGTAGAAAATTATAGAAGATGCATTCATTACCTGTGATATACTTGAAAGCAATATAAAATGTTACTATGTTACAAAACCAGAAAGCTTTATAAAATAAAACCGGGAGGTTTACAAAATAAACCCCAAAAACTGTCCAAATGTGCTCTGATATAAACTAAAGCAATATGACAACAATTAATTTTCACAAAAGACCTTAGATGAATTAAACGGTAACAAACTGAGGAAGCGTCATCTCTAAGAAACTTGGGAGGAACGCTCATTTTCAAAGGAAAAAGCACATCAATATGACCTAGCTCTTATCTTTGAAGCAAAGCTGATGTCTCACCTTCTGCCAGTGACGCAAAAGCATTGA
This sequence comes from Homo sapiens, assembly GCF_000001405.40. Classification (NCBI taxonomy): domain Eukaryota; kingdom Metazoa; phylum Chordata; class Mammalia; order Primates; family Hominidae; genus Homo; species Homo sapiens. The sequence continues at coordinate 231,271,045 of NC_000002.12, read as the reverse complement.
TGAGCCTGGCCATGTACTGCCGCACCACGTCGCTCGTGGAGTGCAGCAACTGAAGCACACTCCTCTGGGGGAAAACGTCAAGAGGAAAAACAAGGTTAAGAACACGGAGAGATAAACACACGCCTCCTCTTCGGGTCTGGTAGTTCTCTTCCTCTGCCTGAATTTATTAGAGGTGAAATAAACAGACTAAAGCCAAACATTTCATCTGGAATCCTTGTTTTCCAACTGAAATTTGATGAGACTTGGCAAAAATAAGTTAGTCAGACTTCCAAATTAAATGAATTAATTACACGAAGCCCTCAGAACAGTGACTGGCGCGAGGGAAGCAGTCCTGTTTGCTGTTACCGTTGCGGCTGTTTTCCAGGTTAGAATGGCAGATCCAAGACACATGACTAATTTGGCTCCCTCTAAGCCACAGTAAAACTACAATAAATGGACTGTTAAAAAAGATAATTCCCAAGGACAGAGAGAACAGCACGAGAAACGATAACGCCACAATTCTGGAAGTGGGACTGCAGCATGGCAAGAGGCTTAGCAGGCTCAAGAAGGCCAAATCTCAAGGCAGCAACGGGCACTGTGGAATTACCCAATTTCCATTACTCACTCCTCAAAGCACTTAAGAGCTGAAGAAAAATAAAGACGAATGAATTAAAGTTGTTCAAGAAGCACTTGGATCCCACTCATGTGACTCCTGCACACCTCTCAGCACAGGGCTGGGGAGAGGGTGTTCCCTTGTGAGGGAGACACAAAGGGTCTGTGGATCTGGGACACCAGGCAGAGGAGAGCAAGGCTTGCCGGGGTTCTAGAACAAAATGGAGAGGGGGGTTAGTGTCTAAATGCAGAATGAATGTGGAACAGAGGGCCACCCCAAAACTTGGCTCCCAGGACCCTGGCAACCAGACCTTTGCCCTCTAGGCCTGAGATTAGAAGACTATTCTCACAGTGAAATGACCAGCCCACGGGGAAAGAATTAGAGACCGTGAAATCAGAGGTTCCCAGCAAACGGCCCACCCAGATCCCCCTGGGTGGAACTATCCATCGACAGGCCCCACCATCACACTCAATGGCTTTGTGGTCCCCTTCACTCCAAATCTCTCATTAGGAGATCACCAAGGACTAGCAGACATCTGAGAAAAGTTTCTACCAGGAGGCCAAAACAAATAGGGGGGGAGGGTGGGGGCGGGGCTTGGAGTAAATGAGACCGTGCAGGGAGAAGAAAACTAAAAATTAAATAAAAATTCATCAATAATATCCTCAAAGATATAAGAAACTGTATTATATCCATGAAACAAGAGAATGCTATCAAAAAGGAAATAAAAGTGTCAACAGAAGGGTCAGAAAATAAAGATGAAGACATCTGCTAGGGAGGCTGGGCAGGGTGGCTCATGCCTATAATCCCAGGACTTTGGGAGGCCAAGGTGGGCAGAGAGGTCAGGGGTTTGAGACCAGCCTGGCCAACATGGTGAAACCCCGTCTCTACAAAAATACAAAAATTAGCCAGGCGTGGTGGCACACACCTGTAATCCCAGCTACTCGGGAGGCTGAGGCAGGAGGATTGCTTGAACCCAGGAGGCAGAGGCTGCAGTGAGCTGAGATCATGCCAGGGCAGCAGAGTGAGACTGTCTCAAAAAAAAAAAAAAAAAAAAAGAAGAAGAAAAGAAATCTCCTAAAGAGTGGAACAAAAAGTAGAAAAGATGAGAGAAAACTATAATAGAAAACCAGTTCAGGAGGTTCAACATTCAGAGAGAGAACACAGAAAACAGAGGGAAGAAACCATCAACAAAATAACTCAAGACCAGAATGAAAGTTGTCAGACTGAAAGGGCCCACAAAGTGCTCAATAAAAGGGATTAAAATATACCTCATGAAGGACGTCAATGGGAAATTGGGAAGATTCAATATGCTTCTAGGGAGAGAAACACAGGTCACATACAAAAGATAAAGAATTGGAATGGCTTTGGATTTCTTTTTTTAAATTTTTTGAGTCAAGCTCTCACTTTGTTGCCCAGGATGAAGTGCAGTGGTGTGATCACAGCTCACAGCCTCAACCTCTTGGGCTCAAGCAATCCTCTCGCCTCAGCCTTCTGAGTTAGCTGGGACTACAGGTGCACGCCAACATGCCTGGTTAATTTAAAAGAATTTTTTTTTTTCTTAGAGAATGGGGTCTATGTTGCTCAGGCTGCTCACAAACTCCTGGGCTCAAGCGATCCTCCTGCCTTGGCCTCCCAAAGTGCTAGAATTATGGGCATGAGCCACTGTGCCCAGCTGGCTTTGGATTTCTGTACAGCAAAACTGGAACCTAAAAGACAATGGAGCAATGTCTTCAAAATTCTGAAGGAAAATTATTTACAATCCAGGATTCTATACGAAGAATGAAGACATTTCTTGACCATACATGATCTCAAAAAAATTTACTTCCTGTGTACTTTTTCTCTAGACGTTATTAACTAAAGGATGTGTTCCACCAACCGAGAGAACAAGTCAAGAAATAAGATAATATGGGACACTGGAAACAGAGATCCAATTCAGGAGAGAGGTGAAAGGAATCAATAAAAGTTTGGTGAAGAGACTCCTGGACAGCAGCTATGCACCAGAATGTTTTCCAGACTAAACCCAGCTAATTCAAGAGGGCAACATGTCAAAGGCTGTCGTCCCCAAGATGCCTATTACCATTACACCCATTTAGGTTGATTTTTTGCTGAAGTATAGCATCTACACAGGGCATTGCACAGATCACATGTACAGCCTGATGAGTGTTCACAAAGCGAACATGTGGCTAACTAGTAACCAGATAAAGAAACAGAACATGACCATAGTCCCAGATGCCCTTCCAGAACCCCATTCCAAACCAAGGGTGACTTCTCTCCTGGCTTCTAACATCATAGATTCATGTTACTTGGCTCCTCCTTAAATTTTTTAATAAATGAAACCATATATTATATATTCTCTTATGTTTGACTTTTTCATTCAACAATATGTCTGTGATATTCACCCAGGGTCTCTGCTGTGTTCCTTCTCATTGCTCAAGGTATCCCATTTTACAAATACATCACAGGTATTCATTCTACTGCTGATGGACATTTGGGTTGCAGCCAGTGTTTTGGTTCTAGAACTGCAGCTATGAATATTCTTGCATGTTTTTTAGTGAACATATGGGCACGTTTTGGTTGGGGCTTATCTAGGAGTGGTTTTGCTAGGACATAAGGTATTCAGTTTTAGTAAACGCTGCCCGTGTTCCAAAGTAGTGCACGAGGTCCCAATTTTTAAACAGAGCACAAAATGACTGGTGAAACGAGCCCAGACTCTTATCTGCATTTGGATAACCCTAAACAGTGCTAGTGAAGTTCTAGCTCCCCCTTCCATGCCCTGCTGTGTGGATTAGCTGCGAACAGTTTTTTACTCCCACAGAAGTGTTCTCAAGTGATCAACCCCTGAGAACTAGAAGTAGATCAAGTGAGCGTAAAGCCAAAATACACAGCAGCTCACCATTGCCCTTAGGCATAAATATTGCTGCCGGGCCGGGTGCAGTGGTTCACACCTGTAATCCCAGCACTTTGGGAGGCTGAGGCAGGCGGATTACCTGAGGTCAGGAGTTTGAGACCAGCCTGGCCAACATGGCGAAACCCCATCTCCAATAAAAATACAACAATTAGCTGGGCATGGTGACGCGCACCTGTAGTCCCAGCCACTCAGGAGGCTGAGGCGGGAGAACTGCTTGAACCCAGGAGACGGAGGTTGAAGTGAGCCGAGATCACGCCACTGCACCCCAGCCTGGGTGACAGAGCGAGACTGTCTCAAAAAATTAAAAAAAAAATAAATATTGCTGTTGGACAACTGGTACCTGGCCCACCTTTCAATTCCGCCAGACGCTCTGTGTTTCCCAGGACTCTCTCCCACTTTTGATTACCAATGTCCCCAGAGGGGATCAATAAGTGCTCAGGGAGGCTATGTCTAACTGTCATCCCAAACTTTGGTTTATGCCATCTTCTCCTAGCTAACTTCATCTAACATGGGCACAGTCCTGTTTCCTTGCAGAGCAAGGCTGATGCTTGCTACTCAGCACAAAAGCAAACACTGTATTATGCGGGATATACATAGATGGGAAAACTATAAAGAAAAGCAAGGAGCGGATTAACACAACAGTCAGGATGTGCATGCACACTTCACAGCAGCACTATCCACAGTAGCTTCTACTGACGGAGGAAGAGATAGATACGCAAAATATGGTCCACCCATATGATGAAATGTTAGCCTTAAAAAGGAAAGAAATTCTGACATATGCTACGTGGATGAACCTGAGGACATTAGCTAAGTGAAATAAGCCAGTCACAAAAAGAAAAATACTGTACAATTCTACTTATATGAGGTATTTGGAGTAGTCACAATCATAGAGACAGATAGTAGAATGGGAATTTGCCAGGGGCCTGGAGTAGGGGGAAATGGAGAATTATTGCTTAATGGGTACAGAGTTTCAGTTTTACTAGATGAAAAAAGTTATTTATGGAGATGGATGGCACATGATGGTTGCACATTATGAATGTGTTTAATACCACTGAACTGTACACCTAAAAATGGGTAAGATGCTTAGAGATATGAAGAGAGATATTTATGAAGTCTAGAAACTAAGAATTCAGCTAAAAATGAAAAATTCAGTTCTCTACAATTTCATTAAATTTGGCTCCATTCAAGTTTTTGGTCTCAAGCTGTAATTCTCAACGCATCCTGGACCAGCAGTATTAGCATCACTGGAAAACTTGTTGGAAATGCAAATCCTTGGGCCCCACCATAGACCTATTGAATGGAAACTGTTGGTGGGACCCAGTGATCTGTTTTAATGAGACCTCCAGGAGATAACGATGCATGTTAAACTTTGAGAACCACTATGGGAGAGGAATGAACCAACGAATTCAATTTCCTGTCTGTACAGGTCAGTTTACCTTGGTGCCATAGTGACACAGCATCCATGTTGGACAAGGAGTCTTTCTGCCCTGCAGATTCTCTGACATCTTAAGAGAACTTCAACTCATTTCTTCTTTTTTTTTTTTTTTTTAGATGGCGTCTCAGTCTGCTGCCCAGGCTAGAGTCCAGTGGCGCAATCTCAGCTTACTGCAACCCCAGTCTCCCGGGTTCAAGCACTCAGCTTCCCAAGTAGCTGGGATTACAGGTGCACACCACCATACATGGCTAATTTTTGCATCTTTAGTAGAGACAGGGTTTCACCATGTTGGCCAGGCTGGTCTCAAACACCTGACCTCAAGTGATCTGCCCACCTCAGGCCTCCCAAAGTGCTGGGATTACAGGCATGAACCACCACACCTGGCCTATTTCTTCTTTTTTTTTTTTAGAAAAAAAGTTTTATTTCAAGTTTCTGGGTTATAGGTGGTTCTTAATTACAGGGATAAGTTATTTAGTGGTGACTTCTGAGACTTCAGTGCACCCAGTGGATACAGTGAACACTGTCACCTGTGCAAGGTCCATTATAAAATTTTTGTTTGCATCCTCATATCTTAGCTCCTACTTACAAGTGAGAACATATGATATTTGATTTTCCATTCCTGAGTTACCCCACTTAGAATAAGGCCTCCAGCTCCATCCAAATTGCAGCAAAAGACATTATTTCATTCCTTTTTATGGCTGAGTGGTATCTCATGTTGTATATATATTACATTTTCTTTATCCACTCTTTGGTTGATGGGCACTTAGGTTGGTTCCAAATCTTTGTAACTGCAAACTGAAAACGTGTGTGTGCATGTGTCTTTTTCATATAATGACTTCTTTTCCTTTGGGTGGATGGCCACTAGTGGGACTGTTGGACCAAATGGTAGTTCTACATTGAGTTCTTTAAGGAATCTCCGTACTGTTTTCCATAGTGGTTGTACTAATTTACATTGCCACCAGCAGTGTAAAAGGGTTCAAGCGTTCAGCTCATTTCTTCTTCTTTTTTTTTTTTGAGACGCAGTCTCACTCTGTCGCCAGGCTAGAATGCAGTGGTGCCATCTCTGCTCACTGCAACCTCCGTCTCCCGGGTTCAAGCGATTCTCCTGCCTCAGCCTCCTGGGTAGCTGGGATTACAGGTGCGTGCCACCACGTCTGGCTAATTTTTTAGCAGAGACAGGGTTTCACCATGTTGGCCAGGCTGGTCTTGATCTCCTAACCTCCTGATCCACCCGCCTCGGCCTACCAAAGTGCTGCAATTATAGGCATGAGCCACTGTGCCCAGCAGCTCATTTCTTCTTAAAAAAATAAACCAGGCTGGGCACAGTGGCTCAGGCCTGTAATCCCAGCACTTCGGGAGGCTGAGGCGGGCGGATCACCCGAGGTCAGGAGTTCGAGACCAGCCTGACCAACATGGAGAAATCCCATCTCTACTAAAAATACAAAATTAGCTGGGCGTGATGGCGCATGCCTGTAATCCCAGCTACTTGGGAGGCTGAAGCAAGAGAATCGCTCGAACCCAGGAGGTGGAGGTCGCAGTGAGCCGAGATCGTGCCACTGCACTCCAGCCTGGGCGACTAGAGTGAAACCCCATCTCAAAATAAATAAATGAATAAATAAATAAATAAACCACAGCTGGGCACAGTGGCTCACGCCTGTAATCCCAGCACTTTGGGAGGCTGAGGTAGGTGGATCATTTGAGGTCAGGAGTTCGAGACTAGCCTGGCCAACACAGTGAAATCCCGTCTCTACTAAAAATAAAAAAATTAGCTGGGTGTGGTGGCGGGCGCCTGTAATCCCAGCTACTTGGGAGGCTGAGGCAGGAGAATTGCTTGAACCCAGGAGGTAGAGGTTGCAGTGAGCTGAGATTGCACCACTGCACTCCAACCTGGGCGACAAGAGAGACTCCATCTCAAAAAATATATATAAGTAAACCATAGCAACTACATATAATGACTTGAGGAAGAAATTACTCTCTTCAATGGCTATAGAGGTCACTGCCTTTTTGACAAAAATCACAGATGACAAAACCCAACACACCTTTCATCAGAGGACACATTTTCATTTTATACATAATCAAGAAAGAAAAAAACCCCTGCCAATTAAACTGTAAAATGCCATTGACTGTCAGATACACCCTAATAGCAAAGATGTTAAAATGGGGGGAAAAAGTGTATCTTCGACTCAATGAAATAATGTTAGAAATAATCAGTATTGACTTTACTCTTTAATTTGAGTTTGGAAGTTATAACAATACATTATTCAGCTGCTTCATGCCTTGTAGGCTGGATTCAATGCCATTATAAATCCAAACAGGAAAAAAAAGCAAGAAAATAAGTCAAGAATATGAGAGACTATTTTCAAACTTAACTCATTCATGAGAACATTAAGACTACATTCACAGAGTAAACTGGCAACTCAAAACTCAGATTGTATTGCCTGTATGCACAACAGATGAATGTGTAACTCACTTTCCCACGGTCTGTTGCTATGGTTTCAATGTCCCCACCAAAACTCATATCGACATTTAATTGCCAATGTAGTAGTACAGGGAGGTGGGACCTTTAAGAGGATATTAGGCATTAATGGATTAATGCCATTATTGCCGGAGTGGGTTAGTTATTGTGCGAGTAGGCTCCTGATAAAAAGACAGCTTCGACCCCCATTCTCTGACTTGCACGCTCACTTCTGCCTTCTGCCTTTTGCTTTGGGATGACTCTTGCCAGATGCTGGCGCCATGCTCTTGGACTTCCTAGACTCCAGAACTATGAGCACAATACCCTTGGATTGTTTATAAATTACCCTATCTGTGGTATTCTGTTACAGCAGCAGGAAATGGCCTAAGACAGCTGTTTAATCGGTGAGTGTCCAGAGCATTTGATACTCCACTCAGTGCACACGTTGTGAAGTTTAACAATAGCTTTACATTTTTACAGCACTCTGGATAAAAATTCAACTGAAATAATAAAATGTAGTACACTCTTAACACGTGCCAAATTCAAAATCCTGATCCTCCTCCTGTCCAGTGAAGTTTGGTGCAGATACAGGTAGGAGGGGCAAGGACAGAAGAGAAAGACCATGTAGTGACTACTTGGTACCAGGCCTGGGGCTTAAGGACTTCCCCCACCTGACTGTATGTAATCATCCCAACGACCTCCCGAGGCAGGCGCGGCTCCTTGCCCAGATGAGGAGGTGCCTGAGACTGAGTAACTTGCTTACGGTGACCTGGCTAATGAGTGGTAGAGCAGAGGTTTGAAAGCCAGTTTATTTTACCCCAAGTCTCATACTTTTCCCACAGGATCAGTAGACCTATCTGGCCCAAAACTATAAGTAAAGTACTGTGTTAAAGAAATTTTTAGTCAGGCCCAGATGTAAACAACCTGAATTTGCTTACCTACCTTGTCCCTCTGAAGTCATACTCAGTTTTCAGGACTCATGGTAAGCAGTGAGGTGAGGTAAAGAGTAGGGAATTTGAGAAAAGGAAAAACGGCAGAAAAGAGCTCCAGAGATGATGAATCAGGCAGTTCTAACTTGTTTAGAACTCTTCACTAGAAGCAAAAAGTAAGCCAATGCCCAGAACCTCATGAGCTCAAGGCTGACATACAGTTACGAAGCTGAAAATGTGCAGAGAAATTATAAGCTTCCCCCATCTGCTAAGATCATTCCCTAGAATTGAAGGCCCTGGCTGGGATCTGGCCCCACCTCTTACCAACCTGGTTGTGGCTATAACAGTCCAAGAGGTCATTGCTGATGTAGGCTTGCAGAACGGTCTCCCTCTGCTCTCCAGGATGGGATGTGGTCAAGCGCTGGAGCAAAGAAAAACAAAAGTAGTGAGACCTAAGTCTTATCATGGAGAAAAGTTTCTCATAGCAGGTGTGTTTTAGATGGCAGTATCAGTACCTACACATTTAACCAAACAAAATAAGTAATATCCAGCTTGGGGAGTGGTGGCAAGTTAACCAGCCAACCAAAACGAGAACCTATGATGCGGGCCGGGCACGGTGGCTCACACCTGTAATCCCAGCAATTTGGGAGGCCGAGGCAGGTGGATCACGAGGTCAAGAGATCAAGACCATCCTGGCTAACATGGTGAAACCCTGTCTCTACTAAAAATACAAAAAAATTAGCCGGGTGTGGTGCGGGCGCCTGTAGACCCAGCTACTCGGGAGGCTGAGGCAGGAGAATGGCGTGAACCCAGGAGTCGGAGGTTGCAGTGAGCCGAGATCGCGCCACTGCACTCCAGCCTGGGCGACAGAGCAAGACTCGGTCTCAAAAAAAAAAAAAGAACCTGTGATGTCCTAATGGGTGACACAGGGAGCCAACTTATACATGTGAACTCTCCAGAGAAGTGAGGCAGCAAAATGCTCAGACTGTAAGTGTGCAGATAGGGAAGAGCTCATCCATGCCCAGAGAAGCATTTCTTATATAAAGGGGCTCAGGAGCTGGTCCCTGCAGGATGGGCAGCCTATTAACCAGCACAGGGGAGCATGAGCACAGTGGGGGATAGGGAAGTGAGGTCTAGCTCAGGAAAGTATAATACAGGGCACAGTGGAGTGGGCTCAGTGGGAGGGGCCCAGGGCTGACTGTAGAGCACTCTGAATGCATGCCCTGCCAACAAATTCACTCTATCCTATCCTATTGGGAATGACAGAGTGATACAGTGCATGTGCGCTTGTGTGCACGTGTGTGTGCGTGCATGCATGAGTGTAGAGGTAGCTGGCTAGAATTTTGTAGATTTTAGAAAGCCATAAGTCTGTCATGTTGCTACAAGTAAAAATTTACGCAATGTCCACAGGGCTAGAAGAAAATTTTCGTGTGGAGAGCATGTATAACGGGTATGTGCGTGTGCACATCGGTGTGTACAGGTGTGAGGTGGGATATGAAAAAGCATGTAACAGAGTGAGCAAATATCCTTGCTTTTTCAGGAAAATCCTACTAGATAAAAATCCTGAGGCTGCAAGCCCTGCTTCTAGCCAAAGAGAAGCTAGATGTGCAAGGAATATGCTAGTTCTTAGCGTGGGCAAGAGCGCAGGCCAGAGCATCAGACGCCCTGGGCTGGAAGGAGAGCCGGGGAGGCCTCCAGAGCAGGCACTGCCAACAGATGTGATGACCATGGCCAGGGTGTGCCTGGAATGTCACACTGGGGTGCTGCTACCCTTCCGTTGAGTTCACTGAGGTTGAAGCAGGGGCAAAAAGCCGGGTGGGGGCACTGGAGGGGGACACAGACAAAAACATTAGAAACCTGTTCACTTTTCCTGGTTATTCTGTGAAGATGTCACCCTCTCAGCAAAGGAATACCCTGTCTCAGCAAGAGGCTCAGGAGTAGCACGGACTGAGAGGAAGTGCAGCGTCAGTAAACCAAGAGCCGCATAAAAGATGAGTTTGAGAGCTTGAGCAGAGAGAGGCAATGGCCAGGGAGGAAACGGCCACCGTGGATGACTCATGCTGCCCCACCCACTCTAGTCCTGACCCAAACAAAACCAGAGCAGACACCACTGCTTGTCCACAGGACTCTTCCTGTGGATCCTGGATACGTCGTCCGAGTCCTCAAGACGTACTTCAGGAAGCACTACCATAGAAGCATGCAAGTGAGAACTGTTTCTATCCACAGATGGGAAATTGCTAAGGATCCTGATGCCAAGACACCTTGAAATTTGGGTGTCCATGAAGGTGTCTGATGCTAATGAATTAGAATGGACTGTTCAGTTAAAGAACTGCTGGCTCAACCACTGTTGGCTTGAGTCAGCAGTTCTCAGTGTGGTCCAGGGAACCCTAAGAGGTCCCCCAAACCCTTTAGCAGGTCTGCAAGGTCACAATTTTCATAATACTAAGATGTGACAATGCCTTTTTTATGATCAATCTCTGGGAGGCTATATGAAGTGTGACACTGACAATCAAACACAAAGCAGATATGAGAATCCAGCTGTCTTCCATCAAGCCAGACATTAAAGACAACTGCAGAACAATGCTGCTCTTCTCACAATTTTATTGTTGTTTGGAAAGTAGTATTTGTCGCAAAAATGTTATTTATGTTAACATGTCATTTATTATTGCTCATTTTAAATGAATTAATAAACATATATTTCAAATCTTCAGGGTTTTGTTTTGTTTTGTTTGAGATGGGGTCTCACTCTGTCACCGAGGCTGGAGTGCAGTGGTGTGATCTTGGCTCACTGCAACCTCTGCCTCCCAGGTTCAAGCAATTCTCCTGCCTCAGTCTCCTGAGTAGCTGGGACTACAGGCGCCTGCCCTCATGCCTGGCTAATTTTTTTTGTATTTTTAGTAGAGATGGGGTTTTGCCATGTTGGCCAGGATGGTCTTGAACTCCTGACCTCAGGTGATCCACCTGCCTCGGCCTGCCAGTGTGCTGGGATTACAGGCATGAGCCACCATGCCCAGCCAAATCCTCTCAGTTTTAATTTCAAATGCTGTAAATATTGGCAGGTAGAATTCACGTAAATGAAAGCTCTCTGAGGTCCTCAGTCATTGTTGAGAGTGGAAAGGGTCTGACACGAAAAAGCTTGAGAACCAGTTGTTGACTTCAACTGCACTCAGTCTGAAGACCAGGCAGAAAAGTAGCGATGGGGACCAGGACACTTTCCTTAGGCCCTGTGAACAGGAGTTCTTTCGTTGGTGCCTGTCCAGCGTGGCTGCATGGCAGTGGCTGAATACAGAACCTCTGTGGGACTGTGGGTAACCCTGACTCCACGCACTCACACAAGCAGAGTGGGGCTCATCACCAGGAAAGGGCTACACACAGGTGCAGTCTCTTGGGCCTTGAAATTCATTTATCTAACTCATTACATCACAATTGCCATAATATAGGAGTTTCTAAAAGGAGGCCCAGGCTATCTTCAGAAGTGGCTTTTGACTTCCGTTCTTGGTGTCAGCAGACAGCGGGGAAGAAAGATTTCTGGAAGATGGGTTAAAAGATATAAGCAAGGTAGCCAGCCAAGAAAACCAGCACTGGTTTGGTTTTGTTTTCTAACTTTAAGACAAAGGTACCTACCCAGCGCAGAGCCTGCAACAAGAAGGCTTTCAAGCGGTCACTCCCCAAAATCAAATCCTTCTTCAGTTTCTCATAATCCAAGGAGGGCAGTAATGGGACATCCTTCAATTTCCTACTCAGCAACACAAGTTCAAAGAGAAAGAAAAGGGCAAAAGGGCATGTTTATTACACCTCCTGAGCATTATGACACCCAAGCTAGAGCCTGCTGTTCCCATGGGCTCCCAGCATGACCTCCCGGCTTCCACTTGGAGGGCGGGCTGGGTTCTAGGCTCCTACCTCAGCTTCAACCAGCTCAGCTCTGCCTATTCTGTTGGATGGACTTAGGTTCTGTTTAACATTTTTCCTAAAACAAGGAGTCTTTGCCTGAACAGATTTAGAAACCCCTACATTCACCTTCAGCCAGACCTCCCTAGCATAGGGAAGAAATCACCTTGAGGGCATCATGACTTTCCACTGAAGTTCTGTTTAGAATTTTGGACATAATTCAAAGAAAATTAGCATCAGCAGGCCCCAAGAGTTCTACCTAAACACCTGAAGCCACTGTTCCTCTCAAGCCTGAGCTACTGGACCGGGGGAATATGAACAACAGTCAGGAAACAAGTGTGAAGAGTAAGCAGTCGGGGGCCGGGCGTGGTGGCTCAGGCCTGTAATCCCAGCACTTTGGGAGGCCTGTGCGGGTGGATCACCTAAGGTCAGGAGTTCGAGACCAGCCTGGCCAACATGGTGAAACCCCGTCTCTACTAAAAACACAAAATTAGCCGGGCATAGTGACACGCGCCTGTAGTCCCAGCTACTCGGGAGGCTGAGACAGGAGAATCGCTTGAACCCAGGAGGCAGAGGCTGCAGTGAGCCGAGATCGCACCACTCCGGTCTAGGCAAGACACAGCAAGACTCCGTCTCAAAGAAAAGAAAAAAAAGAAAAAAAGAGTAATTAGGTGGGTGGCTTAGCCCTCCAAGGAGGTAGAAGGTGTGGTCAGGAAGCAGCATGGGAACATAGGCAGGAGATGGGTTGTAGGACAATTTGCAGACCCTCCTCAGGGAGACTCCAAAGACCTCTGGGGAGCCAGGTTTCAGTGAGGAGAGACCTTGGATTGGAGATCCACACAGCTCAGACTGCCCTGCCACCCACCTTCGGTCAGCCAGAAACAAAAGGAATCACCTCAGCTTCCTTGTCGCTAAAACAAGCGTCTTCACGTTTTGTTTTATTGTTGTTTTATTGTAGAAAAGATTAGAGGGCATAGAAAAACTGGTGAGACTAAATGAGGTTTGCAGTCTAGTTCACAGTACTGTATCAATGATAGTTTCCTAATTTTGGTGTAATACTACAGTATTATGCCAAATGCTAAGTGTTGTATACGTATTAACTAATTTTGATCCTCACAATAATCCTATAATAGAATTACTATGATTCTCCTCATTTTGTAAGTGAGGAAACTGAGGCACAGAGAAATTAAACAAGTAATCCCCAGTCACAGGGAGGGTAGCAGGGGTGGGCTTTTAACCCTAGCAGTCTGTGCAGTGATACTGCTGCCAAAGTGGTAGGAGAGAATAAAGCGTGGGGTCAAGGTCAGACTCAGGCAGGGCTGAGGGAGGAGGAAGGCTGTGGGCATCTCAGGTGTGTGAGGAATCACACAGCACCCGTCTTCCCCTCCTCTCCCGCAAAGCTGGCTCAGAGGGTCCCAGAAGCCACCCTGGTCCTCATGCCCAAGTCAAAGGTTCTCAACTTCCTTGCCACCACAGCATCAGACACTCGTAAGGGGGACAGCCCAACTCATCAGGACAGGAGTGCTCAGGCATACACAGGGCTGCCCATGGCCTTGATCACAGTGTGAACCAGCAGACAACATAAATTCAGACAGTGCAACACTCTGTGGATTGCACTATGATAGCAGATTAGATTCACTTCTATACAATACCATATGAACAATTCAACAGGTTTTTTTGTTTGAGGCTTCCTTACCAAAAGAATAGAATTAACAATATAAGATGGCCAGGCGCGGTGGCTCACGCCTATATTCCCAGCACTCTGGGAGGCCAAAGGGGGTGGATCACTTGCGGTTGGGTGTTCAAGACCAGCCTGACCAACATGGAGAAAACCCGTCTTTATTAAAAATACAAAATTAGCCGGGCGTGGTGGCGTATGCCTGTAATCGGGAGACTGAGGCAGGACAATCGCTTGAACCCAGGAGGCGGAGGTTCTGGTGAGCTGAGATTGCACCACTGTACTCCAGCCTGGGCAACAAGAGCGAAACTCTGTCTCAAAAAAACAAACAAACAAAAAAACCACACAGGCAATAAAAAATAATTCTAGTTTAACAACATTACTTATAAGTACTCGTATTTCCTTTAATATTCACATGTAGCTCTAGCTCAAAGGCATTCCTCTAACCTAGGCTGCTAAGTGTTTATTAAAGACACTTTGAATTCCCGTTTTACACATTGCTGTTCTCCTTAATAAAAATTCCTAAGAGCAGTTACTTACACGGGTGCCAAGGAGGCTCGTAACATGGTGGATGCCTGGGGGGAAGAGGACAGAAGAAAACAGATGGTGTTAAACACTGATAGCAATGCACGGATCCCAAATCACCCTAATAGCATGGAATCAACAGATGTGCAAGTTAGGTTTTTTGGGTTTTTTTTTTTGGTTTTTTTTTTTAACTTGAAACACAAACGCTTTATTTAAAGGAGCATCTCAATTCCGTGTGGCGGACAAAAAAAAAGGAGCAGACTGTGACAGACCATTCCCATCGGCCAAGTGGTCGAACCCGACATCCAAGACCCAGCGAGCAAGCAAGCTCAGCGCAACCTCCGGGCTTCTCGCTCTGACTCCAAAAGGGTGAGCACGTCGCCCTCGCGCACGGGGCCTTTTACATTGCGGATGATGGATCGGCTCGTGTCGTCCATGAATTCCACGCGCACCTGCGTGCACTGTCCCTGAGAGCCGGTCCTGCCCAGGACCTTGGTGACCCTGGCCAGCTTGATAGGCTGCACACGGCTGGTGTCCATGATGGCGGCGCGGCGGCGGTCTGGCGGAGAGGCGGTTTTTTTGTTTTTGTTTTTTTTGAGACTGAGTCTTGCTCTGTCACCCAGGCTGGAGAGCAGTGGCGCAATCTTGGCTCACCGCAACCTCCGCCTACCGGGTTCACGCCATTCTCCTGCCTCAGCCTCCTGAGTAGCTGGGATTACAGGCACCTGCCACCATGCTCAGCTAATTTTGTTTAGTATTTTTAGTAGAAACGGGGTTTCACCGTGTTAGCCAGGATGGTCTCAATCTCCTGACCTCGTGATCCGCCCACCTCGGCCTCCCAAAGTGTTGGGATTACAGGCGTGAGCCACTGCGCCTGGCCCAGATGTGCAAAGTTTTAATCCACCAGGATTCACCAACCAAAGTCACATACGATGTAAAAATCAACCCAAACTAAAGTTACACACCACTAATCCAGCTCACAGCCTACCCAGCCCTGGTTTGATGTTACACCACTCCAAGAAAAACTCTAGAGGCTGCTCTGCCTACGGAGTAACCATTCTTTGATTCCTTTATTTTCTTTAGAAAAAAAACAAAAACAACCAAACAAAAAAAAATCCTCTATGGAAAACGATGGGTTCTCCCTGACCAAACTCCCAGGGGCATTTCAAACTGCCTAGTTAAATACATTGTGAAGAACAAAAGCAATATGAATCATTATATTATTCTGGTTTTTTTCTTTATTAAGATTTTCTCTTCAAGTATAAAAATGTGCACTTTGTACCAAGTCAAACATTTTCTACACGTGTTTAAAAAACATTAACAACCCCTCTTCCACCCCACTCTCTTTTAATCCTGATCCTGTCCATAGGCAAAATCATCACCTACTTTACGGAGATTCTTGTCCCATTTATTTTGTGTGTGTGTGTGTGTGTGTGTGTGTGTGTGTGTGTGTGTTTCTTTTTGCCACTACAGGTAGTGCTGTATTATGTACTAAAATACATCTGAGAAACATATAAGCAGATACAGTGTGTAGTGCTTGTTTGAACTGACTCAAATAAACCAACTGTAAAAAGATATTTTGAGAAAATAAGGAAAATCTTGAATATGGAGTGGACTGGTATTAGATACTAAGGAATTAGTGTTAACTGTATTTGGTGTTGTGGCTATGTGCTTGTATATTAAAGCCTCTGATCAGTTAGAAATGTATATTGAATGATTTACAGGTGACATGACATGTTTGGAATTGGCTTTTAAAGAACTCCAGGGTGGGGGCAGGGAATAAGTAGAGGAGAAGAAAGCAAGCAAGATTAGTGAAATGCCATTTATTGCTGAAGCTGGGTGATGGGCACTTGGGGATCCATTTTATGATTCTCCCCTGTGTGCATGAAATTACAGAAGCCTTGTTAAAAATCTTATTGTCAGTTAATGATACTTAAATTTTTTTCAATTTTTTTCAATTTTTTTCAATTTTTTTTTTTTTTATAGATAGGGTCTCACTATATTGCCCAGACTGGTCTTGAACTCCTGGGCTCAAGCAATCCTCCTGCCTCAGCCTCCAGAGTAGCTGGGATTACGGGTGTGCGCCACCATGCTTGTACTTACTGATATTTTGTTTTATGAGCTAAGCTAGACTTCCAAAATCTAGATCAAAGGGTATGTGATTTTCAATTCTGATAAACATTGCCAGACACCCCGCACTGAAGGAAAGCTTTCCTTTTTCGTTATCAGTACTGGAGCCTATCACTCTAAAACTTCCATCAATTCGAAGGGTAGAAAAGAGTTTACTTTCTTAAACTTTAGTGATATTGGCCATTATTTTTCATAGACATTACCTGCTTTTTGACTTTGCCTTCATGCCTTATGTGATACCAGATTGTTTTCATGGATTTCAGTCTTGCTTAAGAAGGTCTACCCTACCTCAAGATGATACACACATTCTCTCAATTCTTCTAACATTTTCATAGCTTTATTTTTTACATTTAGAGATTTCATCCTTCTGGAATTCATGCTACTGTATTTTCCTCTGTGGTGTGAATGAGGCATGCAACTTTGTTTTGTTGTTCCCCGAGAGCCAGCTGTGCTGCGTCATGTAAGTCCCACCCAGGCCATCCAACATCACCTCAAAATGCTTCCATCAGTAAGTCTTGCTTCCTCCCTATCTTTTTCTTCACCTCCTTTTTGTTCTTCCTTTTTAAATTAGAATGTGAACACTAAGGTGGAAGGAACATCATCTTCAGGCCCCAGAGCTCCCTACAGCCTGACACCAGCTGCTTTACACACTTCCTAGCCCTGACAGCATCTGACTCCGTGACCCATGAAATAAACCACCCCTTTCCTACCTCTGTTGTCTGCTAGGTATACATCTATCCTTAGGTTTGTTTCTGGACTCTGCAGCCCCCTGCTACTCAAAGTGTGCTCCTCAGACAAGCAGCATCATCCAGCTCTCATTGGAAATGCAGAATTTTGGGTCCCATCCCAGACTTCCTGAACCAGAACCTGCACTTCAGCCAGGTCCCCAGCGGACATGCCTGCACAATAAACTTGGAGAAGCCCAACTCTGGTCCATAACATTTTTTTTTCTTTTTTTTGAGACACAGTCTCACTCTGTCTCCCAGGCTGGAGTACAGTGGCATGACCTCAGCTCACTGCAACCTCCGCCTACTGGGTTCAACCCAGCCAAACCGCGCCCAGCCAAACACCACTTTTACATGGCTCAGATCAGCCAGGCACAGTGGCCCCGGCCTGTAAACCCAGCACTTTGGGAGGCCGAGGCAGGCAAATCACTTGAGGTCAGGAGTTCAAGACCAGCCTGGCCAACATGGTGACACTCCATCTCTACTAAAAATACAAAAAATTAGCTGGGCGTGGTGGCACAAACCTGTAGTCCCAGCTACTCAGGAGGCTGAGGCAGGAGAATCGCTTGAACACAGGAGACTGAGCTGCGATCACACCACTGCACTCCAGCCTGGGTGACAGACCAAGACTCCATCTCAAAACACAAAAACAAAAACAAAAACAAAAACAAAAAACAATGAAAATAAAAACTAAAATTAAAAAAGTGGCTCAGACCATGCATGTATGTTTTTATACTTTTTAACCCTTGATTGTTTTAATAAAGAAATTACCTATTCCTGTTGTTGGCTTAAATAGTGAGTTTAGAAAATAAGTTTGAAATGTCATCTAAATTATTCATCTAGCTGGGCATAGCCGTTCACGCCTGTACTCCCAACACTTTGGGAGGCTGAGGCAGGAGGATCACTTGAGCCCAGGAGTTTGAGACCAGCCAGAGCAACATGATGAAACCCTATCTCTACAAAAAAAAAAAAAAAAATTAGGGGGTTGTGATGGCACGTGCCTGTGGTCCCAGCTACTCAAGAGGCTGAGGTGGGAGGATTGCTTGAGCCTGGGAGGTTGAGGCTGCAGTGAGCTAAGATCACACCATTGCACTCCAGCCTGGGCAACAGAGTGAGACCCTGTATCAAAAAAGAAAAAAATTATTCACCTAACACCTTACAGAGACCAAGAAGCTAAGATAACAAGTCAGACGGGTCAAGTAAGGACATGGCCATACTAAAATATTAGCATGGCTGGGAGCGGTGGCTCATGCCTGTAATCCCAGTACTTTGGGAGGCCGAGGTGGGTGGATCACTTGAGGTCAGGAGTTCGAGACCAGCCTGACCAACATGGTGAAACCCCGTCTCCACTAAAAGTACAAAAATTAGCTGGGCATGGTGGCGGGCGCCTGTAATCCCAGCTACTTGGGAGGCTGCGGAAGGAGAATTGCTTGAATCAGTGAGGCAGAGGTTGCAGTGAGCCGAGATCGTGCCATTGCATTCCAGCCTGGGTGACAAGAGCAAAGCTCTGTCTCAAAAATAAATAAAATATTACCATAATATATAAAGAAAAATACTTGATAATTAGTGATATTGGCTGGTTATTTCCACAAATGAAATTTATCAACATTCTCCTTTTTCCGTAGCCAAAAAACGTTTTCTACCTTTTAAAACACTCTTTTGCTAAACTCTCTATCATTCTATTTGCCCTGTGAAGAAACTGGTTGAAAAGCAGTAATAATTGGCCCTTTCATGAGTACAGCCAGTCTGATAAACATTATTACAACTTTAGTATCTAATAAAATAAACAAAGCTGGAGATGGCTGTAGAAGGAGTGGCTCAGCATGCTCTCAATGAGAGAAGGCCAGCCAGGCAACACAGTGAGACTCATCTCAACAAAAAGTAAAAATTAGCCAGGTGTGGTGGTGCACACCTGTAGTCCCAGCTACTCGGGAGGCTGAGGTGGAAGGATCACCTGAGCCCAGGAGGTTGAGGCTGCAGTGAGCTATGATTGTACCACTGCGGTGCAGCCTTGGTGACAGAGCAAGACCCTGTCTCAAAAAAAAATAATAAAATAAGGAGAGAAGGCTGCAGTATTTCATGCATTTGGCAAGCAAAGCATACCTACTGACTGCCCCCATCAGCCAGGTCTCTGCTATGCGCTAGTGATACGCAGTGAAGAAAGCAAATGCCCTTCTCAGAGCACTCACAATCCAATGAGGAGGATAAATGACCGAATAACTCCCCACGCCTCAGTTTCCTCATCTGCATAATGGTGGCACCAGCAGTACCTACCTCACAGGATTGTTAAGGAATTAAATTAGTTAAGAGTGGCCAGGCCGGGTGCAGTGGCTCACATCTGTCATCCCAGCACTTTGGGAGGCTGAGGCAGGTGAATCACAAGGTCAGGTGTTTGAGACTAGCCTGGCGAATATGGTGAAACCCCATCTCTACTAAAAATACAAAAATTAGCCAGGTGTGGTGGCGGGCACCTGTAGTCCCAGCTACTTGGGAGGCCGAGGCAGGAGAATCGCTTGAATCCGGGAGGCGGAGGTTGCAGTGAGCCAAGATTGCACCACTGCACTCCAGCCTGGGTGACAGAGCCAGACTCCATCTCAAAAAAAAAGGAAAAGAAACAGAAAAAGAAAAGAAAAAAGTGGCCTCTTCACTCTCTACATCTCCCAAAGTATCAGGTCCTACTGATTCCATCCCACAGCTGCTACCTTCTCTCCAATCCCCATGCCAGGGGCTCCATTCAGGACTTCTTCTCTCCTCTGAACTACCACCTTAGCTTAATAAGGATGTACTCACTGACATTTACTGAGGGCTCACTAGTCACCAGGCATGCCACTGTAGGAACTTTACACATATTAACTCATTTCATGCACTGCCATTTCCACTTTCAGATCAGCAAACACAGGGACTGAGCAACTTCCCCTAGAACAAGAATCTAATCAGGCAGTCGGGTCCCAAAGTCCACATTTGCTCTGCCCACTCCCCTGCTTCAGGTCTCTCCTCCAGCCCTCCTTCCACACTCAACACAGGGGTCTTTGTAAAAATCGCATCTGCTCAGCCTCAACCCAGGCCCCCGCAAGGCTTTAGTCACCAGCTCCTCTCCCTGGCAGCCCCTCACTCTCTTCGGCCTCCTTCACCCCCCATCCTCCAAGATAGCTCCGATCTTCCCTGGCCTTCCATGCTCTCAGGGACCATTTCCAGCATCACCGTCTACCCTCCCCTCTGGGAGCATGGGCCGGCACTGATTTTCCTCAGCATCCCCTGCGTTCTCTGCAGTGTGAGTGGCAGCATTTTCCACACTGTGCACTAGCCATGTTTCCTTTCCCTCTAGTGCTTCTCAGCTGGGAGTGGTTTTGCCCATAGGGGATATGTGGCAATGTCTGGAGACATTTTGGGTTGTTAATAGCGGGAGTAGTGCTACTGGCATCTAATGGAGGACGGCCAAGAATGCTGCTAACCAACCTACAGTGCAACAGACAGCCCTACAACAAAGACATCAACAATCACAAGCCCCAAACCATCCAACACAGTCAGAATCACCAATCACCAGTCAGAAAAATTTCCCTCACTGAGCTAACAATGGGTTCTGAACACGGGGTGGACTCCACCTGCTACGGAGGCTCTGACTCCAGCCCACTCCAGCCCAAGTGAGTGCTGTCTCATTTCTAGGATTTCAGGCTGAGAGCTCAGGGAAAGGCCTGGCAGGCCTGGGGCATCAGAAAAAGGACTGTGCTCCCAATCACAGTGGACCTGCAAATGCACGTGGTGGTCTCCCTCCCGTGGAGGTGTGCACGGGTGGGCGGTGGTCTCCCTCCCGTGGAGGTGTGCACGGGTGGGCGGTGGTCTCCCTCCCGTGGAGGTGTGCACGGGTGGGCGGTGGTCTCCCTCCCGTGGAGGTGTGCACGGGTGGGCGGTGGTCTCCCTCCCGTGGAGGTGTGCACGGGTGGGCGGTGGTCTCCCTCCCGTGGAGGTGTGCACGGGTGGGTGGTATGCTCCCATCTGAAGATGTCTGGGTCAAATGCAGGCGCAACCCTTTTTAGGATGCAGGTGAAGAACAGTGGAACAACTAATGTAGTAACCCATCAATTATTCACTGAGCACTTGCCCCGTGCCAGGCTCCCTTCTAGGTTCTCTGGAACCTTTGGGTAGGAAAAATAAATGCCTACCTAAGCCAAGCTGAAACAGCTGCATTTCTGCCCCCATCCATCCCTTCTCAGCCCCAGGAAGACCTGGGGCCTGCCTCCCAGAGCAGCTGCTCTCCCTAGCTGGTGTCAGGATGTGGGGAGGTGGGCAGTGGGGCCACACCAAGCCTGGGACAGCTCTTGGTGACTAGCAGGATGGGGACTTTCTAAGACAAACCAGCAGGAGGTGTAAGGTAAGGAAAGTGTTCCTGGGTCCGATCTAACTGGAGACTGACTGGACTCAGCAGGGGTAGCAGTTCTCCCGCGGGACTTCTCGGGAGTCTCCTGTGTACTGCTGTGCTGGGAATCTCACTGGATGGCAGTTCACAAGCTTATTAACTCCCAGGCTGTTTGGCTGTGGGGCAGGGAAATCCTGCGGGATGGGCATTTGCGGGCACAGGCTTTGGAAAACGCTGCTCTAAGTAGAGACAGCAGCAGGATGGGGCAGGGGTGCGCGGGCCAGTGAGGGGCAGAAAGTAAGTTTGGGGGCCAGACCCCAGGAGAGGCTACCAGTGAGCCCCTGAAGATGAGGCCATTTCTGCCAACCCCTTCTTCTCTCCCTACTCACCTGGACTAACAGAGCACTGTGGCTGGGCAGGCTGTGCAGGATGCACGTGGGTAAGGAATGTAGGGCCCCTTGAACTCAACAGAGGTTCAAATGCCCACAATGGAACCCTTGAGGCAATATCTCAGCCAGGGGACTGGGCAGGCGATGGAGGCCCAAGCCAGAGGCACATCCCCATCAGATGCGGAAGGGGCTGCTATGGCCAGCTTTTTTTTTTTTTTTTTTTTTTTTTTTGAGACAGAACCTCGTTCTGTTGCCCAGGCTGGAATGCAGCAGCATGATCTCGGCTAACTGCAACCTCCGCCTCCCGGGTTCAAGCGATTCTTCTGCCTCAGCCTCCTGAGTAGCTAGGATTATAGGTGTGCGCCACCACGCCTGGCTAATTTTTGTATTTTTAGTAGAGACGGGGTTTCACCATGTTGGTCAGGCTGGTCTCGAACTCCTGACCTCATGATCCGCCCGCCTCGGCCTCCCAAAGGCTGGGATTACACGTGTAAGCCACCACGTCCGGCCCTGCCAGCTTTTTAACGAGAAGGGGCACTTGCACGTTAAAAGAGATGAAAACCACTTCACCCTAAGGTGATAACGGTGTTGAGCAAGATAGTAATATGATCGGATGCCTGTAAGACACCTGAGTCCTTCCTGGAACATGAAGGGTACAAATAAACAAGACACAACCAGAAAGGCCACTTCAGATCCCATGTGACAAATAATCAGTAAGGTAAGAGCTTTAAGACCAGTTAGGAAATGTGACATTAAGCCAAGAGGGAACTATGGAGAGCCTGAACAAACACAAAAACAACAGCAATGTGGGCAGGGAGGGAGGAAGCTCTTGCAGATCCCATTACCAGGCAAAGGACAGAGAAAAACCTCAGACGCTTCCCAGGTGTTCCCTGGAGTGTCTTTCACTGAGACAGGAAATTCAGGAGGGGAGACCACCTGTGTGGAGGAAAAGTTGAGCCCGATTTGGACACAAATCTGGTGAAGCTGTCAGGCATTCATGGGGAGGCCAGAAGTCTGGGTTTGGAGCTCGAGAAAGGTCTCAGCTGATGGCTGGTCACAGCTCTAACTCACTGGTTGAGATATTAATACAAAGGTGCTTTATTTTTTGAGACAGAGTCTTGCTCTGTTGCCCAGGCTGGAGTGCAATGGCGTGATCTCAGTTCACTGCAACCTCTGCCTCCCAGGTTCAAGTGATTCTCGTGCCTCAGTCTCCCAAGTAGCTGGGATTACAGGTGTGTGCCACCACGCTCGGCTAATTTTTGTATTTTTAGTAGAGACGGGGTTTTGTCATGCTGGCCAGGCTGGTCTCAAACTCCTGACCTCAAGTAATCTGCCTGCCTCGGCCTCCCAAAGTGCTGGGATTACAGGCGTGAGCCACTGCACCCGGCCTACAAAGGTGTTAAACCCTCTCATCACCAGGTTGGTCTGGGTATGCAACAGGCATTGGTATACGAGGTATAGCAGGGTCAGGGGTGCTGGTTGGGAGACTCCTCAATACACAGGGCATTGCACCAAGGAAGATGGCCTGGACACATGGCAGCAATGTGGGGAAAGCGTAGGCATTTGCCAAGATGTAAGAAAATCACACTGGGGAGAAGGCAAGGGCTGAAGATGCTGAGCTTCAAGCCAGAGCCACAAGCCACATAGCAGGAAGCTGCTGACAAAGATGGCTGAGGTGGAAGCAGGTGCCTTATAAGAGCCACATGTCCTGGGTCTTTTTACATTTAATGCTATAGTCTCTATCACAAAATCAAAACCATTTTAATGCAAATTAAAATCAAAAGGTTGGGCATGTTGGCTCACGCTTATAATCCCAGCACTTTGGGAGGCCGAGGCAGGTGGATCACGAGGTCAAGAGATCGAGACCATCCTGGCTAACACGGTGAAACCTCGTCTCTACTAAAAATACAAAAAATTAGCAGGGCATGGTGGCGGGAGCCTGTAGTCCCAGCTACTCGGGAGGCTGAGGCAGGAGAATGGCATGAACCCGGGAGGCGGAGCTGGCAGTGAGCCAAGACCGTGCCACTGCACTCCAGCCTGGTGATGGAGCGAGACTCGGTCTTAAAAAAAAAAAAAAATTAGCCAAGTGTGGTGACATGTATCTGTAGTCCCAGCTGCTTGGGAGACTGAGGTGGGAGGAGCACCTGAGCCCAGGAGGTCGAAGCTGCAGTGAGCCTGGGCGACAAAGCAAGGCCTTGTCTCAAAAACAAAAACAAAAAAAGCTCTGTATGTGTTCGTGGGAATGTAAATTAGCCACTGTGAAAAGCAGTTTGGAGGTTTCTCAAGAACTTCAAACAGAACTACCATTTGACCCAGCAATTCTATACTGAAAGGAAAATAAATCGTTCTACCAAAAAGACACACGTACTCATATGTTCATGGCAGCACTATTCACAATAGCAAAGACATGGAATCAATCCGGGTGCCCATCAGCAGTGAACTGGATAAGGAAAATGTGGTACACATATACAATGGAATACTACGAAACCATAAAAAAGAACAAAAGCATGTCCTTTGTAGCAACATGGATGCAGCTGGAGGCCATCATCCTAAGCAAATTAACACAGGAAAAGAAAACCTAACACCACACGCTCTTACTTCTAAGTGGAAGCTAAACACTGAGCACTCAAGGACACAAAGATCAGAATAACAGATACTGGGAACTATTGGCGGGGGAGGGTAGGAGGGGCAAGGTTTGAAAAACTAACTCTCAGGATTATGCTCACTACCTGGGTGATGAGATCATCTGTATGCCAAATCCCAGTGACATGTAATTTACTCATGTAACAAACCTGCACATGTACCTGCTGAGCCTAAAATAAAAGCCAAATAAATAAAGTGTTTTGACTTTTATTTCCAATGGGGCCTTATCTGGAGTTGTTGAAGAAAAAGAGCATTAATTCTCAAATGGGCATCTTTCTAAATAAGGATGCATTTAAATGGAAACCTCCCCATCCAAGGAATCCAGAAACCCAGAGGTGCCACTAGGTCAGACTTGGGACTCATCCAGGGGGCAGGAGCTCGAATTTCTACCTTAGGAGTTGGCACCAGATTCTGTCTCCTGGTCAGCCTGCCTTCTACCCACTCCTGCTCTTAGGGCAGAGGCTTGGTGTGGGTGGAACAGGCTTGGTGTGGGTGGAACAGCCCCCTCTCGTGGCATACCTTTTCTCCAGTGTCTCTGCATTCACATTTGCCCAGGGGGAACAGGGGGTGAAGAAGAGAAAGACCAACCAAGGCACTTTCAACTGCTCTTGGCAGGGAAAATGCATACTACACCATTACAAACAGCAGAAAACAGAAAAGCCACCTAAATGTCTGATAGAGGAATGCCGTTCTCAAATTAGAACTCTAGAAGATAAAGAAAATATACACACAAGTAAAAGTTAATGATATATACTTCAAGGCTCTAGAAGGACGCATATGAAACACAGGCAACAGGTTCCCACGGGAGGGCAGGATGCGCTGAGCGAAGGGAGGGGATGGGTTTTCCTTCATTTACAGATAAAATGGTATACTTTCTAGCTAACATATTTGTGTAACGCTAGCCCTAACCCTAACACTAACCCCTTCTGCCCAGGGCTGACTTTCAATAGATCACAGCCAGGGAGCTGCTCTGCCATGGGTGAAACCCCGACAGCAGACTGTCATCCAGGAACAGCCTAGCACTGCGTTCCCTGCAAACGAACACACCCGCGTGACTTGCGTAATCTTAGAAAACAAAAAACTCAGCCTCTTGTGCCCTGAGGGATAACTTTCTCCCTTACTTCTTATCACTAAGTTGATGATAATATAAAATCTGATTTCTCCCATATCCCAGCAAGCCACAGGCTCTGATAAGGTAAGGACTACAGAAAGACAAATGGGTGGGAGCAGCAATACGCGGAGTCAAACTAAAAAGGCCACCTGGGACAGCTCTCGCCTCAAAGAAATGAATACCGTCCTTATAAACCCTCTGGGAGTGCCTAGACACCTGTGCCAGCTTCGATAACACGGGCAGCTTTCTGAACACAGCTACCTGGGTGTGAACTAGGTGAGGGCAGAACCTCACTTCTTTCCTCTTGTGGTGTTTCTACCGTGAGCTGCTCTGTCAGTGGGAGACTTCCTCTCCAGAGAGGCGGTGACTAACAGGACTTGTGAGGCTGGGGGCAGACCTGGGCATCACTGCCCTGCCTGTCCTCTTCTGCTTTGGGCAGAGCCCACCAGAGAAGACGTGTCAACTCCGCTCCTCCATGCCGCCCTCATGGTGGCCACAGCAATGGCAGCGGGCTAGGCTTGGCCAGAGCTGTCCAGGGCTGTGCAAGAATGCTTCCGTAATTCCCAGGCACAAGAGTAGGACCCCACCTGCCTGCAAACAAAATCCACATTCTCAGCCAGGTGTGGTGGCTCACACCTGTAATCCCAGCATTTTGGGAGGCCAAAGTGGGAGGACTGCTTGAGCCCAGGAGTTTGAGACCAGCCTGGGCAACATAGTGAGACCTCATCTCTACAAAAATAAAAAATAAAAATTAGCTGGGCATGGTGGTGCAGGCCCATAGTCCCAGCTATTCAGGAAGCTGAGGTGGGAGGACCACTTGATCCCAGGAGGTCAAGGCAGCAGAGGCCCTGATCGTGCCAATGCACTCCAGCCTGGGTAACAGAGCGAGACCCTGTCTCAAAAAAAAAAAAAAAAAAAAGATCCACATTCTCCAATATAAGCTTTGTCAGTACCAACAGTGATATTTTCAGCTCCTTTTTCCTTTACTCTTTTGTCCTATTTTTCAACCAGTTCAGAACTCAGGGGGAAAGAAGGGCTCGATTTAATGGGCCCTTTTGAATTTTTAACAGTGAGTAAGTTGGTAGAAGCCCAGATTCTTGTTAACTGCCAGATATAAAAACCAGTATCAAGTGTACCAAACTTTATAGACATCAACGGTTTTGTGAAAGGGCCCAGCCCAAGCTCCTTTACAGAATGTAATTAGCAGTAACACTCAAGCTCAACAGAGCACCTGACGGCGAGCTGACCCAAGACCGCTCTATGAAGGACGCTGATCTGTGCCACGTACTTATTTTGAAATTGATGGCCTTCTGTTGGGCCCTAGAGTAGAATTTATCCCTTTAAAAAAATCAGCAAAAAAGCAAGCAATCTTCTTCTCCTTCCAAATCCTAAATCCTATCAGTCCAGTCACTGGACATTGCATCTAAACTGTTTCTTAATTTCCTTCTTCACACATTGTAAATCTGAACTCGAGACACATATCATAAATCAACTTTATATATGCATGTCTAGTCAACAACAATACTCTCTTATACTTTGACAATGACCCCCCATACGCTTTTTATCATCTTGTTAAAGAAATCGGCTAGAAACAGTAAAAGGCTTTTGCAGCTTTTATTGCGTGTTCCTAAGCCAATGATTCAGTAGAAGGAGAATGGTTATCACTAAGCTAAACATAACTCATCCTCCCTCCTCTGGTTTCCAGTGGTTAGACAAAGTCTGTATTTTGCTGCTAACATAACAGTCGGGGTGGTAGGACTGTCTCCTGACAGATGGTATTGATAACTTCTTGTGGGATAACCAGCTGTGTTGTACCCCTGCTCCTTTTTAAACCGTGCTTAATAACATGTCATCAGTTTTTTCTTTCTTTTGAGACAGGCTCTCACTCTGTCACCCAGGCTGGAGTGCAGTGGTGCGATCTCCTCTTGCTGTAGCCTCAACCTCCTGGGCTCAAGTGATCCTCCCACCTCAGGCTCCTGAGTAGCTGGGGCTACAGCCACGCACCACCAAGCCCAACTAATTTTTTTTTTTTTTTTTGAGACGGAGTCTTGCTCTGTCACCCAGGCTGGAGTGCAGTGGCGTGATCTCAGCTCACTGCAAGCTCCGCCTCCCGGGTTCATGCCATTCTTCTGCCTCAGCCTCCCAAGTAGCTGGGACTACAGGTGCCCGCAACCATGCCCAGCTAATTTTTTTGTATTTTTAGTAGAGACAGGGTTTCACCATGTTAGCCAGGATGGTCTCGATCTCCTGACCTTGTCATCTGCCCGCCTCGGCCTCCCAAAGTGCTGGGATTACAGGCGTGAGCCACCACGCCTGGCCTAATTTTTGTATTTTTTGTGGAGATGGGTTTTCACCATGTTGCCCAGACTGGCCTCGAACTCCTGGGCTCAAGCAATCTGCCTGCCTTGGACTACCAGTGTTGGGATTACAGGTGTGCGCCACCATGCCTGACCAACATCAGTTTTAAATAAACTGGATACATCACTCCTCCTATAGAAGATGGGAATGTAAGGATGGCTGGTATATATAAGATATAATGGGATTTTATAAACTGAACCTAGAAAACACTAAGTCTTTGATGAATTAACAAATAAATGGGAAGGAGGAAGAAAGGAGTGCTCCTAGTAGACAGACCCTGTCATGCTAATTGCTATGAGAAAGCCACAGTTTTGGTAAGCACACTCTGCTTCCTAACTGTCCGAATGTTAACTGGACAGTGGACAGAGGGTCAGCCATATTCTCGGGGATGTGGCTTCAAGTCCTTCTTCTGAGGGGCTCATGAGGAAGTTACTTTTCTAAGACTTGCATATCCAATGGTGACTTTACTGACCTTTTAAAAATGGCTGATTCTCTAAGATTTTGGCACACTAAAATCACTGTGGCCATGTCCCAAAGACTCCGCTTCTACCATCTGTCTGTCCACGTGTGTGGAACAGCTGACAGCCAGCCATTCTGAGATATTTGTTAGGCTGAGAGGAAGTGGTCAAGGCCGCCTGCTCTTCAGCACATGACTACGTGCCTTCTATGAAGATCCATACAAACTGCTGACCCAAGAGATTATCCCGGGTCTTAGCACCAGGAATAACTGTGTGAAGCAGTTGTCTGACCATCCAGTTTAAAAAAAAAAAAAAAAGCATTTGAACTTGTTTTTAAATTACATAAGTAACACACCTACTTGGAAGAAGCCTGAAGGGTAGAAAACTTTAGCAGCACTGAAATGGTCTATTTCAGCCACATGTGGCGGACTTGTGGGTGTTTGTTTTATTGTCATGGTTCCTAGCCTGCATATGCAGCACATATGTTGTTTTGGATGCAGGAAATATTACATAATAAAAGTTATGTAACTGCCCTCTCCTGCTTTATAAGCACTGGGAATCATGTAACTGCTCCTGTTTCCCTTTTTGCACAGACTGCTGGAAAGCTCAGAGCCCAGTCTGCAGCCTGCCTCTCCGGAGAGGCAGCTCACAGCATATGCATTTTTTGTACCAGCCTTAGCCCTTGCTGACTTTTATTTTTTCCACCCTTATTTTCCCTTAACCACAACTGCTTTACTTATTTTTATTTTCTACCTTCTCGTTTCTCATATTTATGTTTTCTCATATTATAATAAACTTCTTCAAATCTACTTGAGAATTAGGTAGGGTATAAATTTTCTTTTAAATACTAAAAGAAAGGCTTCTGTTTATTAAGACTCTAATACTATATTAATGTGCAAACCCTCACTTAAAAGCTGTGGCTCTGACCCACAGGGCTGTCTCAGGATCACACAGGAGCCTCATTCCAAATCTATACAGCTGGCTTCACAGGGCTTCACCCACGCAGCCTGTGAATGGGGCAGCAGGTTGGTGTGAGCTCCTGGCCCGTGGGTTCCTGTACTTTGAAGACTTTGAGAGACAACAGTGTCTCTCCTGGTTAAGAATGCCTGCCTCAAAACCATGGGCCTTCAGGTGTGCTAGTCTAAGGAGGACACACGATCACCGACGTCGTATTTGGCCTAGGTGATTCAGGGATGCATAACCCGAATCTAATTATAAGGAAATATCAAACACAAAAGGAGAAATGTTCTATTTTTTTTTTTTTTTTTTGAGACTAAGTCTTGCTCTTGTCCCCCAGGCTGGAGTGCAATGGCACAATCTCAGCTCACTGCAACCTCTGCCTCCCGGGTTCAAGCGATTCTCCTGCCTCAGCCTCCCAAGTAGCTGGGACTACAGGTGCCCACCACCACGCTTGGCTAATTTTTGTATGTTTAGTAGAGATGGGGTTTCACCATGTTGGCCAGGCTGGTCTGGAACTCCTGACCTCGTGATCCACCCGCCTTGGCCTCCCAAAGTGCTGGAATATTACAGGTGTGAGCCACCGCACCCAGCAAAATGTTCTATTTTTTTTAAAGGGGGAAAATTATATTCTTCTAACATGTTAATGTCATGTAACTCAAAGAAAGGCTGAGGAAATGTTCAAGATTAGAAGAGGCTAAGAGCTGTGCCAACTCAATGTGACAATTGACCCTAGATGACCAGAGGACGGGAAATGCAGTGAAGGACATTATTGACTCAACTACCAAAATTGGAAAATGGACGGTAGATAAGAAGGCTGTATCAATGTTAAATTTACTGAAGTTGGTAACTGTATAGTTATATGAGAGAATATTCCTAACCTTAAGAAATACACACTGAAGTATTTAGGAGTAAAGAGTCATAATATATATAATTTATCCTCAAATAGTTCAGAAAACAGATTTTGTGCATATGTGTGCGTGTTCACTTGTGTGTAGAGACACAACAAAGGAAGGGGCCAATGCTAGCAGCGGGTGACTCTGGGTGAAGGGTATACCAATGTCCTTTGTGCTACTTTTGCAGTTTTGCAATTATTCCAAGTAAAAAGTTAGGGGGAAAAAAAGTGTCCCTGCTTTAGACCACACAATTTCCACTATGGCAGTGCTTTTAAAAAAGGAGAATAAAGTTTCCATCCACTCCTACTGATCCCCAACCCTGGGAACCCCCACTGAGTGGCTGCAACTGGTAGGCAGAACACGCCTCTCTCCTCACCCTCCCTAGGAGGCCAGCTTTCAGCTGTACCCTCTTCAAAAACAGATTTATTTTCCTTCTAGGAGTTTCTAGACTTCAAAAGCCAGCTTAAATGCAGCCTCTTGCATGTTATTTTTTCATGCTATTTTTAAAGTTACATTCTTTTTAAATTTGGGGGGATAGACCACGGGCACCCTGCCCTGAGCGCAGAGCCTCACCGTCCCAGGCCTCGTGAAGTCCACACTATGCGCCAGGCTCTGCCGCATCTGGTTACTGAACAGGCGGACACAGACGCTCTGGAGGTACTCAGGGGTGATCTGCAAGGAGGATACAAAGACATCTGGTGATGGCATGAAACTCACTGAGGGACACCTGAGGCACGCTGGCAATTGTTAGAGTGGTCTCTCAACAGCTTTCTGTAAGGCATGATGATGAGGTATGTAAGCCAGAAAAATAATCATTTGCTTTAACATCAGAGCTCTTGGGAGGAGTGAAAGTACCGGCCCTGACAGAACAAGGTGCTAACACACTGCAGGTGTGCTCATGAGACATCAGACTGCAAATTAACTGACTCCACTTCAGCTATCTCCACTGTCATGTAGAATAAACAGATCCTAAACCACTTTGGTAAATTCATGTAACAAAGTCACTGGACAACCATAATGTGGGGGAAAGAGAGCCAAGCTTCAGAACTGAAGATCAGGGCTCAAGTCCTGGACTCGAGAAGACCAACAGCTCTGCCTCTCGCTTTCCACACCTTTATTGTAACAGCCACAGTGAGCAGGTAAATGAGGTCACAGATATGCCTAGCACATGACAGGTGGCTTGGCCAGTGCTTGCTGAATGAGTGATGGAAACGCTTTTAATCAACTATCCAGTGCTCGACAACGTGCGGCTGAGCTGCTGTCGCCATCAACGCTGCTGGATCCTGCATTCTCCTTTAGCATCTCTTGTGCCTCTCTCACCAGCTACGAGAATTCAGGATTGACATACAACATCGAAAGTGGTCATCTTGGAGTTTTTTTCATCTATTTTCTTTTTAAAAAAATAATGTATGCTCATTTCAATGTACAAGTACCACAACCTCTCCTGAATCCCACCCTTCCCCCACAAACCAATCCCTGCGGATAATGACTATTAAAAAGTGTACACCCTTCCACACTTTTTTCTAGGCATGATAATTGAAAATAGTCTCCTCTTCCGCAGCTTCATGATTCCACCTGGGGGAACTTCCATATGGCAGTAGAAGCGGCTGCTCTCCCACCCCTTGCTCATCCACTTGCATGGGAGGAAGGCCATCCCCCAGGACTGCGTGGGAAGCAGGGCTACTCCACCCCTGGGGAGCTGGAAAGGGCTGGGCCCTTTTCTCTCCTCCTGGGCCTCCTGCCTATCTGCTACAAACTTCTGGTCTGCTTCAGCCACATAAAAGGCTCTGTCCATCCTGTGGCAGAGGTCTGTCACCCTTTGTTACATAGCTACATGTGAAGTGACTCAGAGAAAAAGGAACCCCATCCCAGGGCTAGACCTCCTATATTATCCTGAGTCCATTCCTTCTGAATTCCTATAGTAAATTTCTATAGTATTAAAATTTCAACATTCATTTTTCAGGCCTGGCATAGTGGCTCATGCCTGTAATCCCAGCACTTTGGGAGACTGAGGCAGGCGGATCACTTGAGCTCAGGAGTTTGAGACTTGCCTGGGTAACATAGTGAAATACCATCTCTAATAAAAATAAAATAAAAATTAGCCAGGCATGGTGGCACACACCTGTAGTCCTAGCTACTCAGAAGGCTGAGGTGAAAGGATGGCTTGAGCCTGGGAGGCCGAGGCTGCAGTGAGCTGAGATTGCACCACTGCACTCCAGCTAGACAACAGAGTGAGACCCTGTCTCAAACAAACGAACAAAAAAACATACCTTTTTCATCTTGTATTTTTAACCTTTCTTTCTATACTTATTCCTTCCCTACAACTAGAAACATGTTCACATATATTTCATATTAAAAACATACCTTTCCCGTCTTCTACCCTAGATTTTCTTCTTCTTCTTTTTCACCCTAGATCCTTATCTATCAATCACCCTCTCAACAGCTTCTCTTTACAGCCAAGGTCCTTGAAAGAACCGCTTGCATTTACTGTCTCAACCCACCTTCAACTTTCAATACAATGTGACCAACTTTCCACCTGCGTTCCTCCATGGAAACTCGTGTGGCAAAGCTCACAACCAGTGAGCTTCTAAGTGTCAAAAACACTGGATACTTTTCAGGTCTCTTCTTCTGGAGTTTTCTGTGGCTTTTGAGACTTTGGATCAAACCCTCAGTTCTGAAACTGTTTCCTCCTTTAACTTCTGAAACTGCTAGCAGAACCATTTCTCTAACAAGCCAATCTGATCATGTCACTTTCTTGCTTAAAACAGGAGAATGAGGAAAGAAAATGGATGACTGACCAAAAAAAAAAAAAAAAAAAAAAAAAAAAAAAAAATATATATATATATATATATATATATATACATATAGCCAAGAACAATACATGAAAATATACTCAGCCTCATACATAATTAAAGAAATCTAAATTAAAATATGCAGAATGCCAAGTTTTACTTACCAAACTGACAAAGATTTCAAAGTTTAGTCCTATTTGGTGTTGCCGTGTGTGGAGAAATAGGCACTCTCATACACTACTGGGGGAGTAGACATTGTTGATATTTTAGGACGAATAATTTAGCAACCTCTATCAAAATGCTCATGCCCATACCTTTGCCCTAGCAATTCCACTTTTAGAATTTTATCAAGATGTACAGTATTCACAAGGATGTTCACTGCAACATTTTTTTGTTATAGCAAACAAAAAAACAAAAAATCTAAATGTTCATCACCAGAGATCTGATAATGATTCACCCTTATAATGCAATTGTGTATAAGAATTAAAAAGAATGAGGTGGATCTGGTCATATGGAAAGATCTCC
The DNA here is from genome assembly GCF_000001405.40 of Homo sapiens. NCBI lineage: Eukaryota > Metazoa > Chordata > Mammalia > Primates > Hominidae > Homo > Homo sapiens. Next base: position 231,237,297 of record NC_000002.12, on the reverse strand, counting down.
AAGATATATCGAAAGAGAAATACCAAGTTTCAGAAGAGTAATGCATCATATGATCCCAACTAAGGGTACAAATGCTGTACGCATGTGTGTACACACACACACACACACACACACACACACACGCATACGCAGAGAAATGTTCTAAAATAATACACAAGACAATGTCAGTCTTGAACATCAATAAGGAAATGAATCTACAGCATTGTGGTGAAGGAGCTTTTGCTCCTTACTACACGCTTCTCTGAACTGTTTCAATCTTTTACCAAAACAACGCGGTTCTTTTACATTAGAAAGGCTAGTAAAGAGTCCAGCTTTCCTCCTCTGACCCATCTTTTTTTAAATTAAATTAAATTTATTTATTTGAGACACAGTTTCACGCTGTTGCCCAGGCTGGAGTACAATCTTGGCTCACTGCAACCTCTGCCAGCCGGGTTCAAGAGTTCCTCCCGCCTCAGCCTCCCGAGTAGCTGGGATTACAGATGTCCTCCACTACACCTGGCAAATTTCTGTATTTTTAGTAGAGACGGGGTTTCGCCATGTTGGCCGGGGCTCTGGTCTTGAACTCCTGACCTCAGATGATCTGCCCACCTCAGCCTCCCAAAGTGCTGAGATTACAGGTGTGAGACACCATGCCTGGCTAATTTTATTTTTAATTGTATATTTTTAGTGACAGAGGTCTCACCATATTGCCCAGAGTAGTTTCAAACTTCTGGCCTCAAGTGATCCTCCCGCCTTAGCCTTCCAAAGTGCTGGGATTACAGGCGTGAGCCACTGTGCCTGGCCTGAATTATTTTTTATAACTGCAGTGTGAATCTACAGTTACTTCAATTTTTAAAAAATCTGTATGTCCACAAATAGATTTTATTGTACTTTATAGAGTCAGGAATGAGATAAAGATGCCCATGATGACATTATTCAACACTATCCCATAGGCCATAGCCAATGTACTAAGAAAAAAAAGTTAAGATAAATTTTAAAAGCAAAACACAAATATTATTTGATGTAACATGACTGTCAATCTAGAACACAGAAGAATAAATCAAAAAACCCAAGATTAATGGGATTCAGAAAGGTAGCTGGATACAAAACCAATATTAGAAAATCAGTGGCTTCCCTATATGACAGCAGGGCACGTGCCCCTCATTTTTTTGCTAGCACATATTTTTCTGTTGCCAGACAATTTATCCTTTGCTAATATTAATAAGGTAGAGGCTGGGTGTGATGGCTCACACCTGTAATCCCCAGGACTTTGGGACGCCAAGGTGGGAGGATCACTTGAGCCCAGGTGTTCAAAATCAGCCTGGGCAACAAAGCAAGACCCCGTCTCAATATTTGAAAAATATATTTTTTAAAAAGGGCCAGGCGCAGTGGCTCACATTTGTAATACCAGCACTTTGGGAGGCCAAGGCTGGCGGATCACCTGAGGTCAGGAGTTCGAGACCAGCCTGACCAACATGGAGAAACCCTGTCTCTACTAAAAATGCAAAATTAACTGGGTGTGGTGGCACATGCCTGTAATCCCAGCTACTCGGGAGGCTGAGGCAGGAGAATCACTTGAATCTGGGAGGCGGAGGTTGCAGTGAGCCGAGATCACGCCATTGCACTCCAACCTGGGCAACAAGAGCAAAACTCCATCTCAAAAACAAACAAACAAAAAAGAATAAAGTAGAGAAATAAAGATATGGCAGACAGTATGTTAAGAAAAATGGGTAAAACACTGCAAGCAGCTTGATAAAAACAGTAAAAAATATCAGCTTTATCTCCTTCATGCATGTTGGCTTTTGGAAATAGAGCAGCAGGCGCCACTGGCTTGGAATGGAGAGAGGCAGGCTCCACCTGCCATATCAACATAGTCCATGCCTATAAGCCTTCTTCATTGCCAAACAGACATACACACAATTAGGGATCTTCCTTACCATCTTGCCGCTGACTGTGGCCTCTAGAGAATCCACCAGCTCTGCTGTGACTCCAATGAGATTGTGGTAGTCGGCCTGGATCTTATTGTACCGTTTGAGGTATGTCACTGACCTACGTTCAGCTTCAACCAGCTGCTGGTGGAGCTGCTGCAAGATTTCTAGGAAGACAGTTAAAACAAACAACATCAATAAAAATCCACAATATGAAAAATAATTGTATTCTTCTCAAAGAACTACCATACTTATTGCCAGAATGTTTTCTTGTAACAATAAACTGGACACTACTTGTGTTTCACACTTACTTCTATTTTATGCCACATTTATTTACATAGTGCTTTGTAACCACACTGACTTAAAATTTCCTTTTCAGGAAGTTCAACCCAATCCTCACTGGGCTTCCTAAGAAAATCTATTCCCTTGACTGAACCTCATGCAATTTCTTTTAGTTCTTCTAGGTCTAAGAAAATAAACATGTCTAGGGCTGGTGGTGGCTCACGCCTGTAATCCCAACACTTTGGGAGGCCGAGGCGGGCAGATCACTTGAGGCCAGGAGTTGGAGACCAGCCTGGGCAACATGGTAAAATCCCATCTCTACTAAAAAAATACAAAAATTTGCCAGGCATGGTGGTGCTCGCCTATAATCCCAGCTACTCAGGAGGCTGAGGCACAAGAATCGCTTGAACCTGGGAGGCAGCAGTTGCAGTGAGCCAAGATCGCGCCACTGTCCTCCAGCCTGGGCAACTGGGCAACAGAGTGAGACTCTGTCTCAAAAAAAAAGAATGTTTTATTCTATACTGAGCTCATAAAATGCCTGAATCAAACCTGTGTCTTTTTCTCTGTTTTTGTATTATGAAGTTGTCTGGGGGACAATTCATATCTGCAGGACACTTCTTTATTTTAAATAAAACTTTGGGCTGCTTGACTCCTGCTAGGAAAAACAAGAATCCAGAAGGAGAAGAGATTCCATCATTCTGCCAGTTTGATAAAGCATAAAACCACTCCCACCAGGCCTTACAGCAAGCAGCTTAGAAGGCTCTAGGATTCTTTGCTTGGAATCCCCCCGTGGGCAGCCCTAAAGACACTGAAGCCAAGCCACCCTGGTCTCGGCAGGAATAGGCAAATCCTCATCGGTGTTGGCACTTCTTTGCCCATACCACCTTCCCTCTTTCTTGAAAGTCACACTTTGGACGAAAGGAGGTAACAGTGCCCCCAAACCCAGAGTAACTCACTATTGTCCTGATCCAAGTACTGTACAATATTTGAAGTCTTCATTGTAGAACAGGTTTCAAGGATATGGAGAGATATTTTAAAATTATAAAGACCTGGGCTCAAATCCCTACTCTATTACCTTTTTGCTGGGTAACCACAGATAAAATATTTAACTCTGTAATTCTCATTTCCTAACCTATAAAATGGAGACAATAATTGCTTTGATGGGTTATTGTGAAGATTAAATTTAAAAAAAGACACTCAACATGCCTAGCACAATGGCTGACCTAGAGAAGGTTATATAGTGGTGGCTATTACTACTATTTCATTTCATGGAAAGGGGTGAAAGACTTTGTAAATACATTTCTATATAAGTGGATAACTTTTTTTTTTTTTGAGATGGAGTTTTGCTCTTGTTGCCCAGGCTGGAGTGCAATGGCGTGATCTCGGCTCACTGCAACCTCCGCCTCCCGGGTTCAAGCGATTCCCCTGACTCAGCTTCCCGAGTAGCTGGGATTACAGGCATGTGCCACCATGCCCGGCTAATTTTGTATTTTTAGTACAGACGGGGTTTCTTCATGTTGGTCAGGCTGGTCTTGAACTCCCGACCTCAGGTGATCCACCTGCCTCGGCCCCCCAAAGTGCTGGGATTACAGGTGTGAGCCACCGCACCCGGCCACAAGTAGATAACTTTTAAAAGTGGCAGAAAGGTTCCATCCTAAAGCAGTGGCATGCAAGCTCTGAAATACATCAGAATCACCCACAAATAAAGATGATCAGGCCTCACTCCCAGAGATTCTGATTTTATAGACACTGAGTGGGGTCTGAATGTCTATATAGTCAACAAACTCCTCAAATGGATCTGGTGCACACCACAGGTTTGAGATAACCTAAGTTAACCATTCTTCCTAATTTGTGTTCTAAAAACCTACATTCAAATTGTATTTCAAAAACCTTCATGTTTGATTACTGTTTATATACAGAAGTAAAATATTTTTACTATTAAAACCCAAAATATCTTCAGCTGGGTGCGGTGGCTCACGCCTGTAATCCCAGCACTTTGGGAGGCTAAGGCGGGTGGATCACCTGAGACCAGGAGTTCGAGACCAGCCTGGCCAACATGGTGAAACCCCGTCTCTACTAAAAATACAAAAACTAGCCAGGCGTGGAGGCACGCACCTGTAGTCCCAGCTACTCAGTAGGCTGAGGCAGGAGAATCGCTTGAACCCAGGAGGTGGAGGTTACAGTGAGCTGAGATCACGCCACTGCACTCCAGCCTGGGTGACAGAGTGAGACTCTGTCTCAAAAATAAATAAATAAATAATTAAAAACCCAAAATATCAATGATAATGAATTATTATTATTATTCAACATCCACAAATCTCAGTTTTGAAAGATAACTTTAAAAAGTCACCTGGCAAAGGCCGGGCGCAGTGGCTCATACCTGTAATCCCAACACTTTGGGAGGCCAAGGCAGGTGGATCACCTGAGGTCAGCAGTTCAAGACCAGTCTGGCCAACATGGTGAAACTCCATCTCCACTAAAAATATAAAATTAGCCAGGTGTGGTGGTGCATGCTTGTAATCCCAGCTACTTGGGAGGCTGACACAGGAGAATCGCTTGAACCTGGGAGGTGGAGGTTGCAGTGAGCTGAGATCATGCCATTGTACTCCAGCCAGGGCAACAAGAGCGAAACTCCGTCTCAAAAAAAAAAAAAGTCACCTGGCATGAATTTACATCCAGTACTTGACTCCCCTGAGAATGGCCCTGAAAATCATTTATCAAGATTCTCCTTAAACATTAGGGAAAGGGGGTCACTACCTTCTGCCTCTTAGAATGTGATAAATTTGGCCAGGTGCAGTGGCTCACTCCTGTAATCCCAGCACTTTGGGAGGCCGAGGCGGGTGGATCACGAGGTCAAGAGATCAAGACCACCCTGGCCAACATAGTGAAACCCCATCTCTACAAAAAATACAAAAATTAGCCGGGCGTGGTGGCGCACACCTGTAGTCCCAGCTACTCAGGAGGCTGAGGCAGCAGAATCGCTTGAACCAGGGAGGTGGAGGTTGTAGTGAGCCGAGATTGCACCACTGCACTCCAGCCTGGTGACAGAGCAAGACTCCGTCTCAAAAAAAAAAAAAAAAAAAGGAATGTGTTAAATTCGTGCTATTATTACAGTTTTTCAGCCGGGAACAGTGGCTCACGCCTGTAATCCCAGCATTTTGGGAGGCCAAGGCAGGCAGATCACCTGAGGTCGGGAGTTCGACACAAGCCTGGCCAACACGGGGAAACCCCGTCTCTACTAAACATACAAAAATTAGCAGGGCATGGTGGCGCACTCTTGTAATCCCAGCTACTTGGGAGGCTGAGGCAGGACAATTGCTTGAACCCGGGAGCAGGAGGTTGCAGTGAGCCAAGATCACGCCACTGCACTCCATGCTGGGCGACAAAGCCAGACTTCATCTCAAAAAAAAAAAATTTTTTTTTCAGGTGGGGCATGGTGGCTCACATCTATAATCCCAGCACTTTGGGAAGCCAAGGCGATTGAATTGCTTGAAGCCAGGAGTTCGAGACCAGCCTGGCCAACGTGGTGAAATCCCGTCTCTACTAAAAGTACAAAAATTAGCTGGGCATGGTGGCATGCGCCTGTAATCCCAGCTACTCAGGTGGCCGAGGCACTAGAATCGCATGAACCCAGGAGGCAGAGGTTGCAGTGAGCCAAGATCATGCCACGGCACTCCAGCCTGGGCAACAGCGCTGTCTCAAAAAAATAAATGAATACAAATAAAGTTTTTCATATATATATAGAGAGTTCAAAATTAGATAAGTTAAAACTTTCAAAGATGAAAATTCTACAGAATACTATTCATAATCCCATATTGCAGTCGTAAGTATTGGAGAACATCTATGCAAACTTTCTCAACACGGACCAAGTGGTACATGATGAATCAAGTACCAAAACCCATTAGCTAGGCTCAATGACCTCCCAAGTCACCAATGTGAATGTCCCCAAAGCAGTCCCTCCGGACTGCACAAAGGAACCCTTCCCCCCGGAAGTTCATTCTGCAATTTACTAAACATAAGAGATTATCTGTGGAACTTTTGCCTTGGGAACCCAGAATCAGAATTTATGACAATTTCAAAGTGTGGCACATCTCCGGGATAAAAGGCCTAACTGCCTGCAGCCTATTGGAAAGAGAGAAGCAGGCAATAGGGCTGAAATGTTTGTGACCATTTTCAAATACAGTCAGCACTCCATATCCATGGGTACTGCACCTGTGGATTCAACCACCTCAGGTTGAAAATATTCGGGAAAAGAAGCACCTGTACTGAACACATACAGACTTTTTTTCATATCATTTTCATGTCGTAAACAAAATGGTATAACAACAGTATACACACCATTTACACTGTATTAGGTATAGGTAATCCAGAGATGACTTAATGTATATGGGAAGATGTGTGTAGGTTGTATGCAAACACCATGCCATTTTACATAAAGGACTTGAGCATCTGTTGATTTTAGTTATCTGTGGGGGTCCTGGAAGCAATCCTTGTAGATACTGAGGGACAACTGTATACTCCTTAGGAGGAGAGGCTGCTACCCAGAGACATCACCTTGCAGATACCTTAACTAGCTACAAACAAGACCTGTCCATGACTAGAAGCTACGTGGGTGATAGCTCAAACACATCAGCTTTATTTCAGAGCATTAAACAGGACTTTCTATTTTCCCTGTCAAAAGTTTTATGAGACAAGAACAACTAAACCAAGATGCCTTGCCATGCAAGACCTCAATTTCCTCTTCTTTTTTTTTTTGAGACGGAGTCTGGCTTTGCCACCTAGACTAGTGCAGTGGTGCGATCATAGCTCGCTGCAACTCCTGGGCTCAAACCATCCTTCCATCTCAGCCTCCTGAGTAGCTGGGACTTCAGATGTACGTCGCCACGCTCGGTTAATTTTTTTTAGTTTTTATAGCAATAGGGTCTCACTATGTTGGCCAGGCTGGTCACAAACTCCTGGCCTCAAGCTATCCTCCCACTTCAGCCTCCCACAGTGCTGGGATTACGGGCATGAGCCACCACGCCTAGTGACAAGACCTCAACTTTTAATGGAGATGTCTTATTATAACCTCCATGTTATTTTAATAAAACCATCTTAGTCATGCCAGTGAAATTTATTGAGACTCTTCATATCCAAAATTACTGACATAACAGTGATGTAAATCTCTCCCCCGCCACTCAAGCTTTCTTTTTTAACTTTTCTACTTCACTTAGGGCACTGTACTTTTTTTTAAAGGGTAAATGAGATTTTAATTGGCTGCTCAAGACAAAATGATCAACTTTTAAATATGGAATTGTTTTTCTCACCCACTATGAAAAGCTAAAATTAACCTCTCTGTCTTTATAATGATATACTCTTTCCTGTTTGTATTCAGATAAAAATTACCTCCTTGCTACTTTGCTAATCCACAGATACTGGATGAAGAAAGTTATAATGTAACTTATGAATATGAGTCATTACTTTTTAAAATACTGTTTAGGGCTCCAAACTCCAGAAAAATGATCAACTGCTCATTCTGAAAGGGTTGAATCAATTCATGCTAGAAATGCCAAAAGATACTATTTCTATATCCTTTTTAAGTGACTAGGTGAAAATAATAATCCGATGTTACTACATTGTCAACCTGTTTTTATTCCACACAGCATTTCAAACGTAATTCCTTCTGAGAGAAGTTTCTGCTGCAAGTGCCTTTCCTGTCTTCTTTAAAAGCTTCTGGTAATCTCACTTAACCGTGAAAACTTCCTATCAAGATACACAGAACAATGATATCATGCAACCACTTCACTTAAAACAATGCCTGAGTCTAGAATTAAATTAAACTGGGGGCATGTCTGTGCCTTTGGTTATTACAGCCTTAGCTGCAGGATGAGGGGACAAGGGGGTGACAAATGACTGTCATGCCTGGGCCCAAAATGCGAATCTCCAATCTCCATAGCAACACCACATTACAGAGTTCACTCCGCCACAGATGCACTTTGCTTGCCAGACTCAAATCCACAGCCATTCTGCTTGGCTTCCAGAAAACTCAGTTAAAATTGACCCTAAAGAAGGCTTAAAAACTGGTCTCCTTACTGAAATTCCAACATTAAAAACCTGTAGAGAAAGACAATTCTTTTATTTGCATTCCCCTTCCCATGTTTATTTGATCTGCAAAACTGGGCCACTTATCAGATTTACATAATGCTCCCAGAAGAAAGCTATGCTCAAAAATGCAGTGTATGCTAGGGGGACATGAGCTGCAGAAACTCAGGAACCAGAGAGAGAAGTTTCTCACCACCTTCCTGCCCCCATTGCCTGGGGGTCCAAAGGCTAGTTCAGAACAGCGACCTGGCAGATTCAACTAACAACTAAGGCAGTTCTCTAGGGTCCAGAGATGCAGGGTATGGTGGTGGTTTTAAAATGCCTGTAGTCTTTGACACACCCTCCTTCCCATCAAGAAGAGGAATGTAATTTCCTTTCTCTGAAGGTGAGGGGGCCTTAGGAATTCACTTGCAAGAAACAGAATGCAGCAGAAATGACTGACTGACTTCAGAGGCTAGGTTAGAAAAAGTGATACAGCTTCCTCCTGGCTCTCTCTGGGGACATTCACCCTTGGAAACCAGGCAACATGCCTGGAGGAAGCCCAGACCACAAGGCCACGCAGGTGTTCTCGTCAAGGGCCTCTGCTGAGACCCCACGTGACAGCCAGCACCGACCACCACTCTGCGTGTGAGTGCCTTGGAGTTGGCCCCAGGCCGCTCCGCCTGACTGCACCTGAGAGACACGCTGAGGGAGAACAGCTTAACTGAGCCCACAGCTCCCAGACCATGCAGGCTCATCATCACCATTATAAGTGAATGTCATTGTTTTGTGCCACCAAGTCGGGATGGTCTGTCAGGCAGCAATGGAACAGTGGGCTGAGGTGTATTTCCAGGAGCTGCAGGGCAAGATCCAAAGTCCCAGTCCAGTTGAAGATGCCAGCTGTGTTGGATGTGAGCAAACTGGCCCGGGACGCACCGTGGCCAGGCCTGGGCCTAGGCTAGCACTGAGAGAGCGGGCCTGCAGAGCTGAGGATGCAGGCTGGGAGTCTTCCTCCACATACTGTACTGGGGGTAGGGCAACCTTGGGGAGCTCCAAGACTCAGGGTGCTCCTGCGACCCTTGGAGCAGTCCAGGTTGATCCCATGGGGCCGTATCTGTAGCCCTGCTCCTCCATGAAGGGCCAGCAGGGCCTGTCCCCTCTGAGCGACAGAAGGGTCAGCATGGCTGGCAGAACCAGTCACACACTTAGAACAGCTGAGCTGGGGATGCTTGAGGCTACCAAGAGCAAAACCAAGCATCCGAAGCCTTCTCAAAGGCTGACGCTGCCAAAGCCATCTTGAGTGACAAACCCAAACCCAAGCTCTCCCTGAGGTTGACAAACCCCATTGCTTATCTGCCAACTCCCTGGTGAGCAAACAGCTAAATAATTTACTAATTAATGCTTCCTTTCTTTAAAAGAGTTTCACTCCCTAAAAAGAAACAGGAAAAAGCAATGGCAGGGAGTTCTGAAATCCTCTCTGGCATGACTCTGCTTTGAAAGGGCAAATGTGCTGGCGCATGGAACAAGATCTCCTGTAGTCACACTCCACCTACTGGGAACTGAGGGTTATGCCATCAATACTCACCAGAGGGATGACATGCATCACAGGCCCTTTCCAGCATCATCATTTAAGCAGCTGTCAAAACGTAGTATCAAAGGCAAAACTGAGGTACAGCGCCCCAACTGGGGCCACCAACTTCATATTAACTACACTTTTTCTCACCTTACTCAAAAGTGAACAGTTCTGGTAAAAACAATTGACCATGGAAAAATAACACTTCATGCTACAAACTGAAGACTGGAATTCCTACTTGGGAATGGAAAATGCTTGATAAGAATGGGTACTCCATATGTCTTCGAAGACCCCAGTTGACTAGTTCAAGGTAAAAGTTAAATATTAAAATAATTAAAATAAATTAAATTAAAAGAACTCTATCCTTACCCATGCTGCCCTACACCTTCTAGGGAAAATGTGCTGCTGCTGCAGTTACCTCCCTTTGGGATGTTATTGGATTCTCTTCATTTCTCCAAGGCTTAGCTACCTGACATGCAAGACGAAGCTAACAATACCAGCCCTCCCGAAAATGGGCCTCAAGGAACTGCAGGTCACTATGACTGCAAAGCCTTTCATAAATATTTAGACTCTTAAAGCCAAAATCATGAATTCTCTCCATCTTTGCACCGATCTTACTACTTCAAACCTGAACTGGCAAAGTTGTTCTTAGACAAATTTAAATCTAGATGATTTACCTTTGTTACTTTGTCCATTCTCCTTCTGGGATGAAAAAGAAGTTCAGGAAAACAGGCATTCAGGGAACGGTACTTGGGGTATCGGACATCCTGTGGCCAATGTGAGAAAGCACCTCAGCATGATGAAACAGAATTCTCGGAGCCGGGAGGGCCAGCTCCAACTGTTGCTGTAAATAGCTAAGCAACTTCTCCATACTGGCCTGACCCACTCCCATTTCAGAAGAAGGCAAGTCCTCTTCTCCCCATTTCAATTATCACTGTCTGAATTCAAGTCTTGCACTATTTCAACAGCCTCCTATCCCCTTCCTATCCCCTTCCAAAGGCCTTCCCCACTGCTACCAAGCCAACTAAAAATGCAAATCTGATTTTATACATAATTCAACTCTAACTTCAATTCAAAGCTTTATCCTAAGGAAATTGATATTGAGGTGAAAACAGCATAGCACAGTATTGCTAAGACCACAGACTCTGGAGCCAGACTGCCTGGGTTCAAATCTCAGTTCCCACACGTCTGGCTGCATGACTGAAGACAGTTACTTAACATGTTTCTTTTCCCTTAATTTGTCTTAAACTTTTCCTTAGTATTTTGGTAATAGCTTTATTCACGTACTGTATAATTCACCTATTTAAAGTGTACCTTTCAGGCCAGTGTGGTGGCTCACGCCTGTAATCCCAGCAATTTGGGAGGCTGAGGCGGGTGGATTACCTGAGATCAGGAGTTTGAGACCAGCCTGGCCAACATGGCAAAACCCTGTCTCTGCTAAAAATGCAAAAATCAGCCAGGTTTGGTAGTGGGTGCCTGTAATCCCAGTTACTTGGGAGGCTGAGGCAGGAGAATCGCTTGAACCTGGGAGGCGGAGGTTGCAGTGAGCCAAGATCACGCCATTTCACTCCAGCATGGGTGACAAGAGCAAAATTCTGACTCAATCAATCAATCAATCATCAATCAATGTGTACATTTCAATGGTTTTCAGTATTTTCAGAGTTATGCAACCATCACTACAATCAATTTTAGAACATTTTCATCATCCTCCAAAAGAAACCCTGTATTCACTGGCAGTTACTCCCATTTTCCCTGCTCTCCCCAGCCCCTGGCAACCACTAATATACTTTCTGTCTCTCCAGATTTGCCTCTTTTGGACATTTTATGAATAGAGTCATATAATACCTGGTCCCTGCCACTGGCTTCTTTCAGTTAGCATAATGCTTTCAAGGATCATTCATGTTACAGCATGAATCAGTGCTTCATTCCTTTTTATGGCTGGATGATATCAAACGATATTCCATCATTTGGATAACACCACAGTTTGTTTATCCATTCATAAGATGATAGACATTTGAGTTGTTTGCATTTTTTTGGCTATTATGAATAATGTTACTATGAACATTTGTGTACAGGTTGTTTTGTGGACATATGTATGTTTCATTTCTCTTGGGTATATAGCTAGGGTATATAGCTCTTGGGTGTACAGCCTGGACCAATTCCTGGGTCATGTGGTAACTCTACGTTTAAACCTCTGAGGGAACTTAACCTGCTTTTGAAGGCTATTTAATGATATGGGAAGATGTTCTCTTCCTTTGATAAAAATGCATAGAAATATACACACACATACATGTACCTACCTTTATTACAATTTGGGTGTATGTCTGTATTAAAAACCTTTCTGTACTTTCCAAATTTTCTATAAGGAATATAGTTGATTTTATAATCAGGAAGTAAAAAGTTATTTTTTGCAAATACAACTGTTATTCTCTTACTTAAAATGCTTCAAAGGCTCCTTATTCCTTATAGGACTTGGCATAAACCTTTATGACCTAGGCCCTGCCTAGTCTCTGAGTTTGTCTATGCCAATACTCTGCTCCAGTAATATTAAATTATTTCAGTTTCCCAGGCACTGTCTCAGTGCCTTTGCACAGGCTGTTCCCTCTACCTGTAATTCCCATCCCTCCTCTGTTTGCCTCACAGACTCCTATTTTATTGTTCAAAGCTCCAGTTTGGCTAAGAGAATTACATCTTGGCCTTTTCTTTATATCCCTAAATCCTAGAACAATATTTGACTCATAGTAGAAGCTTAATGTATTGAACTGAACTACAAGTATTTTCATGTAACAAGGAAAATATTAGAATGTTATTTATAGTTACCTGCTATATTTCAGCATATGCTTCAAAGCATGTGGAACAGGATGAAAGGTGACAAGTACTTAAAAATTCTAATGCCAACAGCTAACAGTTATCAAGCACTTACTATATACTGGACTGTTTCATACAAGTTATATGTATTAACTCAATCTTCATACTCTTCCTATAAAATAGGTACTATGATCTTTTTTTATTCTTATTTTTTTGAGACAGGGTCTCACTATGTTGCCCAGGCTGAAGTTCAATGGCAGAATACACAGCTCAATGCAGCCTCAACTTCCTGGGCTCAGGTGATTCGCCCACCTGTCTCCCCCAGATAGCTGGGACTATAGTCATATGGATGCTACCATGCTCAGCTAACTTTTTGTACTTTTTGCAGAGATGGGGTTTCGCCATGTTGCCCACTCTGGGCTCAAACTCCTGGGCTCAAGTGATCCTCCCGCCTTAGCCTCCCAAAGTGCTGGGATTACAGGCGTGAGCCACGGGGCCCAGTCAGGTACTGTTTTGAGTATACTAATATATTTTTAATATAACTAATATAATTTACCATGTAAATCATTTTGATTAGATTCTTAACATATTGGCACCCATAATTATTAAGCTGAGCTACTCTGGGCACACTGCCTATGGGGTAGCCCTGTTCCACAAGGAGCAGTATCAAGAAAAAAAAAAATTAAGCTGAGAAATGCTTTTTTAAAGCGTATTCAAATAATTATAAGTCAAGTTGGAAAAGTTCTAGTTTCACTGAAAATCACTGTATATGGAACTCTAGGAAGGAAAAGGTTTGGATATGCAAACATCGTGGTATGTAGGCAAACAGAAGAATTTAAACAAAAGCCTTAAGGATATAAAGGCAGAGACGAGAGCTGTAGATCAGTCCGTTCGGCTCAGGCCAGGCTAAGGAATTTGAATACAGGCAACAGGGAAGGCTTAGGAAGCTCAAGTAGAAATGTGGCATGGAGTCCTAGTGACAAATAAAACCTCAATTAGGTCAAGAAAGTCAAATGCTTTGGAGTTAGAAAGGAAGCAGAAGGTATTACGCAGCAAAGTAGCCTAAATTTTTCATGAAATTAAACTAAACAGTGACCAATTTTACCATTCAAAACATTATGTTCTTGTTATGAAATAACTTTGGATACATTTTTATTCCAAGTAAAAGGAGATACTTGTCTTTAAAAACTAATAACCTTTGGGAAATTAGTCTTCCATGGGTTGGGTGACCTAACGTTCTGCTCTTTCTGAAACAGGCTCTATTTACACCTGTCACCCTGGTACTTTGTCCAGTTAGTGCCCCTTTTTACTTTCAAAAGTGTCCCAGTTTGAACTGGACTGTGGTGATACTGCACAGCTCTGTACGTTTGCCAAAAAGCATTAAATTGTACACTTACCATGGGTAGATTTTATGGTATGTAAATTTACACCTCAATAAAGTTATTTAAAAAGAAGTCCCAATTTGAATGACAAGTTAGATGGTCACCCGATCCATATGCCATGGCCTGAAGGGCTTAAAAGTGGTTAAGTGACATTCTGCAAAGGGACAATTATCCCAAGGAATTCTTTTACAAGAAGGTAAACTTTCTTTTCTACCAAGACAACTTCTAGCCACGTGACATCAAAATAAGACCTTGCCAAAAAGAAAGTCTCAGAGATCCAATGATATAGAAGTTGATCTCTATAGGCCCTGCCATTAATGATTCATTGACCTTGTAAATATGAAAGCAACACTATTAATTATCCCGATTTAATGAGGCAACCTCAATAAACCTAAGCCAGCGTGCAACTCTAAATAAAATCTGCTCTAAAACCATAGGTGGTCTCTATTTGCTTCAAAAGGATACATATATTGTTAAAAGCTTTGGCGTGTTGCTGGCTTTAGATATTAAAGCTAGAAACTTTATCAACTTCAACTTTAACTCTGGAGTCCAGGAATCCTAAAGAAAAAAGGGAACAAAAATACAAACATTAGATTACTAAGTACCAATAGCATCATCAAGTTGAGGTCATTAGGCTAAAAAACCCTGCACAGTGATTGAAACCAAAACCAAAATGCCAGTGACGTGAGGCTGTGAAAAACAGGTCTTAGGACATCTGACCAACTCATTTACAGAAGATTCAAGTGCCCACAGTAGGAAGAAAAAATAGAGTTCTTTCATAAACAGGGAAAAAATAACCCTGAACATGATTTGAGTATTTCATGTGATTTAAACACAGTCGTGACAAGGAACCTTATTAGGCTGCATACCAAAAATAGTTCAGTACAGTCTAGGCACGCACAGCACTGGGAGGCGTAACATAAACAATTATCACTAAGTTACTGAGAGTCTCCCCAAGAAAGGGACTCATTTCCACAAACCTCGTCTAGATAAGAAAAAAGGACAGAAGCTATTTTCTGCCACAAATACCCCACCATGTCAAGAATTATGATATAGTCTTAGCATGATTTGTCCTTTAAAAACAAATTATTTATCTCAAATAATGCTCATCAAGAAGAAAAAATTAATGACTTAAATAAGAAAAAACATAACAAGTAACAATCTTTGTCTCAGGACAATTTTCCTTATACTCTTTATACAGAAATATCTTCCACCCAAACCAAGAAGTTCCACAAAAATGCAGCGAAGCCACTAAAAATTCATACCCACCATCCTCTTAGATGCTGCCCCATGGCCCTCAGACCTTTCCATCCTTCCCCACTGTCTCTGCCTCTCCAGCTCTGTACCCTCCTCCATGCCTCCCACCCCCACCCAATCATTCTAGCCAGCATGTCATCTGATTTCTAGAAAAAATACTGCCAGATGAGCAGAAAGTTCTTTTTTTTTTTTTTTTTTGAGACAGAGTCTTGCTTTGTCACCCAGGCTGGAGTGCAGTGGCTCGATCTATGCTCACTACAACCACCGCCTCCCAGGTTCAAGCAACTCTCCTGCCTCAGCCTCTTGAGTAGCTGGGTCGAGGGTCACCAAGCCTGGCTAATTTTTGTATTTTTTTTTTTTTTGGTAGAGACGGGGTTTCACCATGTTGGCCAGGCTGGTCTCGAACTCCTGACCTCAAGTGATCTACCTGCCTTGGCCTTCCAAAGTGCTGGGATTACAGGCATGAGCCACCATGCCCGACCAGAGAGTTCTTATATTTTTAAAAAATTGTGTAATTCCCTGATACTGCATGATAACTTTGTTTATAAGGTGTGTGTTATTATGGATTGAACTGTGTTCCCTCAAAATACATGCTGAAGTCCTAACCCCTGGTACCTCAGAACATGAGGTCATTGGGAATGGGGTCGTTGCAGATGTAATTAAAGTTAAGATAAGGTCACACTGGAGTAGGGTGTGTCCTTAATCCAATATGACCTTAATCCAATATGTCCTTACAAGAAGAAGAAAATTTAGACACAGACACAGAAGGAAGACGGCCATGGGACAATGGAGACAGAGACTGGAATGATGCTGCCACAGTCACAGAACACCCGTGGCTACAAGAAGCTGGGAGGGGAAAGGAAGGATCCTCCCCTAGGATTCAGGGACAGCATAGCCCTGCCAACACCTTGATTTCAGATTTGCAGCCTCCAGAACTGTAAGACAACGAATGCCTGCTGTCTTAAGGCATCTGGCCTGTGGTACTTTGCTAGGGCAGCCCTAGGGAAATCACCCAGGTGCTACAACTCAAGGTGGTCTACGCTCAACCACACAGAGAAGAATCTCAGGAAAGGACTGCTATGTCTCAAAAAACAAACAAAACAAAATGCTTGGGACATACAGACTTCCAGTTAGATTGCTCTGTTGTTGATTACTATTTTGTATTACCAACAAATATGTGTTTTCAATGTAATTACTTACTTTATGATGCTCTGCTAATGACAGGGATGAGACTGAAATAAAGCCTCTTTGGACATGAGTCACCTATTTTTTTCTTGACCATTCTTATTTTTTCTGTGCTTTCAACTCTGAGAATAAGAACATTTCCAAGCTGGGCGTGGTGGGTCGATTTGTTAAATGAACAGGAGGTCAGAGACAGGAGGAAAATTAGAGCTAGGAAGCCAAGGAATTTTTTTTTTTTTTTTTTTTTTTTGAGATGGAGTCTCGCTCTGTTGCCCAAACTGGAGCGCAGTGGTGTGATCTCGACTTGCTCCAACCTCCGCCTCCCGGGTTCAAGAGATTTTCCTGCCTCAGCCTCCGGAGTAGCTGGGATTACAGGCATTAGCCACCATGCCCAGCTAATTTTTGTATTTTTAGTAGAGACAGGGTTTCACCATGTTGGCCAGGCTGGTCTGGAACTCCTGACCTCAGGTGATCCGCCCACCTTGGCCTCCCAAAGTGCTAGGATTAGAGCTGTAAGCCACTGCACCTGGCCTAAAGTTTTAATGTGTTAAAGAAATAAAAGACAGGAAGGAATGAGAGACTATAAAAATGTCCCAGCAATTTCAATAAACAACAAAAAAATAAACTTCTGAAAAAAAAAGAGTTAACTGAAATTACAAATTCAATGAAAAGGTTAAAGAACAGACTAAACATAGCTGGAGGGTGAGTTTGTGAACTGGAAGGCAGATGTGAAGAGATCACCCAGAATACAGCCAGAGAGATTAAGAGAAGGAAACATAAGATGTTAAAAGGTATGGCGAGCACAATGATTTGCACGTTCTTAGCACTACTCAGCTGAACCCTCAGAAATGGTCAAAATGGTGGTGGCGCACGCCTATAGTCTAGCTACTCGGGAGGCTGAAGTGGGAAGATCACTTGAGCCCAGGAGGTCAAGGCTGTAGTGAGCTATAATCATGCACTCCAGCCTGGGGGATAGAGTGAGACCCCATCTCTTTAATACTAAAAAGAAAAGTCAAAATGGTAAATTTTATGTTATGTGTATTTTACAATTTTTTTAATGAAAAAAAAAGACATGGAGAATATAATAGGTCTAATATACATTTAGTCAGATATCTAGGAGATAATAAAGAGAATGATACTATACAAAGAGATACTAATTGAGAATTTTTCAGAGTTGTTGAAAGACACAAAACTTCACATCCAGGAAACCCAACAAATCTCAAGTAAAAATAGAAATCTATCCCTAGAAACACTGTAGGGAAATGATACAAACCCAGAGGCCAGATAAAAGAGATTGATCACCTTCAAAGGAACGGCAATTAGACTGACAGCCAACTTCAAAATAGCAGCAATGCGAGCTAGGAAATGATGCAATCTAGCTAGGATTTGTATCTTCAATGTAGTAAGAGACAATAACTGTAAACCTAGTATTCTAATCCTATCTGAGAAAGCAATAAAGACACTGCAGTCAAACAAGAACTGAAAGAAGAGATCTTCAAGGAAAGGGGGTTTTAAAGACATGTACTTAAATAAGAGGAGACGACTATCCCAGATGGAAGAGGTCTTTAACACAAGATGGAATGATGAACAAAAATACTGGTAGCTATAAGGGAAAATCTACACACACTGATTGCATAAAATAGTAAAACTTCTTAATTTGTACATTTAAAATATATAACTAAGATACTTGACAAAAAAAAAAAGGACATAAATTGTGAAGGGGATGAATGAAGTTAATGCATTCTGAGTTCCTTGAATGTTCTGGAAGAAAATAAAGATTAAATTTAGACTTTATGGCTGGGCGTGATGGCTCATACGTGTAATCCTAGCACTTTGGGAGGCTGAGGCAGGCGGATCACCTGAGGTCAGGAGTTTGAGACCAGCCTGGCCAACATGGTGAAACCCCGTCTCTACTAAAAATACAAAAATTAGCCGGACATGGTGGCGTGTGCCTATAATCCCAGCTACTCAGGAGCCTGAGGCAGGAGAATCGCTTGAACCCGGGAGGTGGAGGTTGCAGTGAGCCAAGATTGAGCCATTGCACTCCAGCCTGGGTGACAAGAGTGAAACTCCATCTCAAAAAAAAAAACAAAAGACTGACTTGATTATGTATACATACTAAAATATCTGTGATTACCATTAAAAGAACATATGTAGACTAACAAAAGAAAAAAATGGAATAAAATGAATCTCCATGAATACGGAAGGTCATTAAATTCCTTAAACCACCAGAAGCTGAACTCCACCTTGGAACACCAAATCTGAGTGAGTCAAGCTGCCAGCTGCAGCCTCTGCTAGGCCCCATCCCCGATTCTGCCAGCTCTACTGCCACCTGGATCCAAGCTTTATCTATGCCACTATGCCAGAATATTCACGAACAGAATACTTAGGAACAGAAGTCTCACTGTGAGAAAATCTACCATCTCCTTCCAAGAATATTTATTTTTAGAAATTTTTTAATTTAATTTTTAATTTTTTAAAATTTATTTTTATTATTTTCTTTGTTTTATCCTCGAAGACATCTGAACCCTTCCAGATTTAATCACCTTCTTAACCACTTTTTTCTTCAACCTTCTGGGAGAGGAAGTAGGTAAAACTAAATCTAGAATGATCAAGAAAAAACAGCAAAAATTTCAACTTGGGCTACTCTACAAAAGGCCTGCTTTAATGAAAGCGGTCAACTAAGTAACCTTCAGTTTAGCAGTTACTATTCAGGAGGGATGAAAGTTGTTTTACAGAATTACAACTGAATGGGATGCTGAAATGTACTGGGATTTGGAAGAATTGCATCAGTTGCTGTTGAGTGAGAGTGACCTGGGTGACAGAATGAGACTCTGTCTCCAAAAAACAAACAAACAAGGCGCGGTGGCTCACGCCTGTAATCCTAGCACTTTGGGAGGCCGAGGCAGGTGGATCACCTGAGGTCAGGAGTTCAAGACCAGCCTGGCCAACATGGTGAAACCCCATCTCTACTAAAAATACAACAATTAGCCAGGTGTGCTGGTGCGCACCTGTAGCTCCAGCTAAACTCAGGAGGCTGAGGCAAGAGAATCGCTTCAACCCAGGAGGCAGAGGTTGCAGTGAGCCGAGATCGCGCCACTATACTCCAGCCTGGGCGACAAAACCAACCAAACAAACAAACAAAACATATGTGTGTTACAATTCATAGGACTATACATCCTGAAAAAGTCAATTCTGTGTGTGATAATGTAAAAATTGTTAGGTTGCCATTCGAGCAGGTGAGAATCCTTGCTTTCTGTAATTTTTTTTTTTTTTTTTGAGACAAGGTCTCACTCTGTTGCCCAGGATGGAGTGCAGTGGCACTCCTGGTTCACTGCAACCTTCACCTCCCGGGTTTGAGCAACTGTTCTGCCTCAGCCTCCTGAGTAGCTGGAATTACACACCCGGCTAATTTTTGTACTTTTAGTAGAGACGGGGTCTCCCCATGTTGGCCAGGCTGGTCTCAAACTCCTGGCCTCAAGTGATGCACCCACCTCGGCCTCCCAAAGTGCTGGGATTACACGTGTAAGCCACCGTGCTCAGCCAACTTTCTGTAACATTTTAACACTGGTACACATATGCCTAAAAACTACTTTTGTTTGCTTTGATGTATATACAAAGGGAATCACATAGCATGTCCTCTCTTGTATCTGGCTTAAGATTTCATCAATGTGTAATTTAGTTCATTCATTCTCATTGATGTATAATATTCCATTGTGTGAATATAATACAATGTATTTATGCATGCTCCTGTTGGTGTACAATTGGGTTGTTCCTAGTTTTTGCTATTACAAAGTGTTAATTACTATAACTCTTCCAGATTTAATGTATGTAGAAGTTGCAAACCACTGCTAGTATAGGATGGCAAAAACCAAACCTAACTAACCATCCAATAGGAGACTGACTAAACAAATTATGGTTATAACTAAAAATAATACTAATGTAAGCAAATTTTAGTTTTTTTAAAGCATCATTCAGAAGCCCCCAGCATACAGAAGGTAAAACCACAATGTCACCCAGGATCTGACACAAGAGTTAAAAGCTGACATTTACCTGGAAGAGTTCTTTAAATGAGGGGTGCACCATAGGGTTGGGAACAAAAGGAAGGGCATAGAAAGGAAGAAACTCTGTGGTCTGGCTCAAGGCTGCCCCTTTGGTCTCCAGGTAGGTTTTGAAGTAGGAAATCTTTTCATCCAGCTCCTCTTTGTCCTAGAAGAAGGGAAAACACTTGTTTGAGGTCTCCAGATCAATGCCCAGTCTATCTGCTCACCCCATCCTCTCTCTGAGGCTCCTTCTGTCCCAGTCGTGTCGCTGGCATCCCCTATCTAACCTGGCAGGTGCATTGTCTCTAGAATTCTACCATCCACCCTAAATTTCCCCCTTAATGAGACTATGTCAGGAAGATCAGACAACTATATATACAGTTCAATATGCTGCTTTTTAACTTTATTATTGCCATTTTCTCATGTCCTTAAAATTCTTCATAAACATTTTTAATGGCAGGACAAAACCTCATGTTGTCTATCACATTTATTTAACTAGCTTCCCCATTATTACCTAGACACATTGCTTCTACTTTTCAGATATAAATAAGTATCTGTCTGCATTACCATGCCTCCAGCAGGAGCGGTTTCTAAAGATTAACAGGCATTTCTTTATGGTGTTGGAAACAAAAGCTTCCAAGTCACTCCTTTCCTTTCTTGTGCTAAGGCCTGGGCTCGCTCTGTGTCACTACTCCATGTGGATCCCAGGCAAGTCAGTTCCCCTCTCGGGGCTTCTATCTCCTCTTGGCCCTCAATGAGAAAACCAGAGGAGGTGAATGTGGGGCTTTGCTCCCACACTGGCTCTACTAATCATGGCCTTCACAGTCTCGTACATAGACTAAGCCTGTTCTTACAAACACATCTCAGTTGACCTATACCATGAGCCCTCTTTTGACCCCCAGACTTAAACAGAAATACAAACAGAAAATGAAAATCTCCTGTGATCTTCCCTGCAAGAGTGATAACCTGAGGAAGAGCCTTCCAACAACGGCTACCACAATGTATGGTCCTGCTGCTCCCTCCACCACTGTCCCCACCGTTGGTGTTCTGACATTCTCATGTGTTCACCTTGGTCCATAGGGCAGTCATTAATGCACGGGGTCAAATGCCAGCTTGCCTCTGCTGCCCTTCTGTCATTTACTCTGCACTCAAAGCTCAGCCACCGCAGCAGCTTCACATTTCAGCCTTCTCCTCTCTTCCCATCTCCAGCCCCATCTGGGAAAGGACTACAGATGCTAAATTCAACCTATCACTCAAAAGGGCTTTCCACAAAGAGACGTACTCTTTTCCACTACCTAAGTTTAAATGTGTGTTCTGGCCAGACACAGTGGCTCACGCCTGTAATCCCAGCACTTTGGGAGGCCAAGGTGAGACGACTGTTTGAGCCCAGGAGTTCAAGACCAGCCTGGGCAACATAGCAAGACCCTTTCTCTACAATAAATAAGTAAATAAATTTATGTTCTAATATAGGGTCTAATATGCAGCTGAAATATATGTTCTCTTAGACATACACGCCTACATACTAAGTTGCCAAATAAACTTTATTTTGATGAGGTTTCAAAAACTTGAGGTATTTAGGAATATAGCTTTGATTACAGAAATTATTAAATCTCCATAGAAATTAGAATATAAACTGCTGGGAATACAGTAGAAAATCACTCACCAGGAGAGAGGATGCCTGTACCTCGTAAGCATTATGACAGCACAGCCACATATGAAATCCATGCCCATGTGGACAATGACAGCAAACACTGTTCCTTAACACACCACTCAGACCCACCCGCATCACCAGGTAAACCCACCGGTCTCCCCACAGAGTACTTCAAAAGATAGATGGCAAAATGGATGTGGAGATAGAATTCCAGCTTCTGGGCAAAGGAGTCCCCATCTCGGATGGAACTTGAAATGTGCTCCTCCCACAGATCGAAGAACACCTTCTGGTCTCCGTTGTCAAATGCAGCGACAAGATCCTTCTGTGGAGAAGACATCAGACTACATACCTCGTTGTAAATTTCAACACCCAAAATTCTCACAACCCACTCAACACCACAGATCTCCCATATACTCCTTTTCAGTGGTAAAGGATAGAAAAATAGAGATCCCACAGGATTCAAGCTCCTGAGCCTGCGATTCCTGCACACCAACCCTGGTTTCCCACACCTTTGCAATATCTAATCTGGGCACTATAAAGAACACACAAAACATTTAAGGTCTTTGAAATGGAAAGAATCAGGCACAGAACAAAGACTTGGGGCCAGAGAACTCTTGGACACGTAAATATACTGAAGTCACCCTTTGGACCTGCTGACCCACAGCGTGCAACTGACAAAAGCTATCCAGACCAAGTCTAGCCAGGCCTCCCAGGAACAAACCTCACAGGCATGGAAGGTTGCTGACAGCATGGCTCCACATCCTGGAGTGGCTGGGAGCCCACACACACTGACCCAGTCAATCCTGGGCCTAGGAGATAGAGCTGCCACTTGCCCCATTGCTAGAAGCACACCAGGCTGATATGGAGCTGAAGGAAGCCACCACAGACCCCATTATACCATAAGGTGACTGTCCACGCCTGCCAGCTGCAGCTGCAGCGACAGAGAAGGCTGGAGATGGAGGAAGGAGCACCGGCTCAGTGCCGTTTGACCACAGAGCTGTGTGAGTCCACCTGGGACAATGACAGCATCATGATTCAGCATGCACTAGTTCAAAGAATTCTGGAGAAAGGAGGTGGCAATTATCATGTCACCTGTCTCACAAGGAAGATAACTCACCTGTCACAAATATCTGTGGCATAATTTTGTGGATTTAAGTATCAGGCAGAAGTCAAAGAACTTCTTAAGAGTCCAAAACAATGCAGTTGCTACTGTTCTTTTTGTATCGAATGCCCAAGATATTTGTACTTACATTTTACGCTCAACTGCAACAGCGTTTCTGAGATTGGATTTTCTACAGAATCCCCACTTCCCCACCCAATACCATTGTTATTTACCACCATTATTGGCCATTGTTCTTTTATACTTCTAAAAATGAGTTTATGGGTGAGATGGCTCACACCTGTAATCCCAGCACTTCGGGAGGCCAAGGCAGGTGGATCACAAGGTCAGGAGTTCGAGACCAGCCTGATCAACATGATGAAACCCTGTCTCCACTAAAAATACAAAAATTAGCCGGGCATGGTGGTGCATGCCTATAATCTCAGCTACTCTGGAGGCTGAGGCAGGAGAATTGCTTGAACCCGGGAGGCGGAGGTTGGGGTGAGCCGAGATTGCGCCACTGCACTCCAGCCTGGGCAACAGAGCGAGACTCCATCTCAAAAAAAAAAAAACCAAAAAAGTGAGTTTACATGGCCGGGCGTGGTAGCTCACACCTGTAATCCCAGCACTTTGGAAGGCCAAAGTGGGCAGATCGTTTGCCCAGGAGCTCAAGACGAGCCTGGACAACATGGTGAAACCCTGTCTCTACAAAAAGTACAAAAATTAGCTGGGTGTGGTGACATGTGCCTGTAGTCCCAGCTACCCGGGAGGCTGAGGTGGGAGGACCATCTGAGCCTTGGAGGTAGAGGCTGCACTGAGCTGAGATCCCACCACTGGATTTCAGCCTAAGCAACAGAATGAGACCCTGTCTCAGAAAAAAAAAAAAAAAGAAAAAACGTTTACAGATAATTTTCCTGCATAATTGTCATTTTTAAAAATTACTTGTTTTATCTGTTTATAAGCAAATTTTCTAACATAAAATGGAAATGTATAGAGAACAAATAATGTAACAGTGTTTGGTTACACATAAGTCAAAGATGTTGATTGGTAAGGAATCCTCAAATCTGAATATTACAAAAATTTCACTATGTCATGTAATCAAGAACTGTCTCTGAATACTGCCTTACGCTGGAAGGTGCCAGTTACATTTCAAGTAAACTCAGAATTTTTCAAATAAGCCCTACAATGAGCATCTACCTCCTCAAGGCTGGCTCTTCTGTTCCTCCCGGACACAGGCGAGGGACAGTGTGTTAGCGCCTGTGGGTGAGGGTTGCCAAAACAAAGCACAAGCAGCTGAATGCAGGCACCCCTTGGAAGAATTTGGGGAAGCTGACCAGAGACCTGCATGCTTGTTAATGACTGCCACAAAGGTGAAGGGATCCTCCCAGGGGCAGTGCTGTGGGGCCAGGCTCAGCCCCATGCTTGCCTCTGCCAAGGTCCCAAGCAAACCCAGTGCCCATTCCTGAGGGGGCCTTGCCATGAGAAGTGCGGTGACCAAGAGCTCTCTGACTGTGTGGATGAGGTGAGCGCAGACTCTTGTGAAACGTTATGGCTTAAAGAAAAGTTATTTTATCAATGTGGCTTGGCAGAGTCCACAAGTCAAATGGCCCATCTACAGTTTGTTCTAAGGTCTATATTTGTAGACCTGAAACCACAAACCTTTGCTATGTCATTACAATCACATCTATCATTCTTCCTAACTCATGAATCACATTCTGTACCTGGAAATGGTCCCTGAGCTTAAAATAATACCCACACATAAAAGAATCTGCTATTATAACTTACAGTCACAAAATATTAGTGATGTTCTATAAACCATGATCAAAGCAGAATCAACAAGATGAGAAAATGTGTACACCATCAATAGTAACTTGTAGACACACACGCTTCTTATATCTCACAACAATGTAAACATACGTAACACTACTGAACTATACACATAAAACTGCTTGGGGAAACTCACTATTTTTTGAGTTCCACTAACAATTAGCATATTTTGCTGAACCTCAGTTCTACATATTTTTTTTATTTTTCTTTCTAAATTTTTTCCCCACTCTTCTTCATTCAACCCAGGCATTTTTCATTTGGGAAATCTACCATAGTGGGGGACACAGCTGTTGACTGGATGAGCAGAAAAGATATGCTTGTGACAATCAGAAAGTTTCAAGGTCTTTGAAGTTATATAAAAATAGACCTGAAGACATCAGAGAAATACAAATCAAAACTATGACAAGATATCACTTCAAACCCATCAAAATGGTGAATATTTTAAAAACACACAGAGAAAATAACAAGCATTGGCAAGGATGTAGAGAAACTGGAACGCTTATGTACTGCTGGTGGGAATGGAAAATAGTATAACCACTTTGTAAAACAGCTTGGCAATTCCTCAAAAA
The DNA here is from genome assembly GCF_000001405.40 of Homo sapiens. NCBI lineage: Eukaryota > Metazoa > Chordata > Mammalia > Primates > Hominidae > Homo > Homo sapiens. The sequence continues at coordinate 231,211,657 of NC_000002.12, read as the reverse complement.
ATTAAAAATAGAACTACCATATGATCCAGCAATACTTCTGGGTATACATCCAAAAGAACAGAAAGCAAGGCCTTAAAGAGATACTTGCACACCCACGTTCACTGCAGCACTATTTTTTTTTTTTTGAGACAAAGTCTCACTTTTTTACCCCAGGCTGGAGTGCAATGGTGTGATCTTGGCTCACTGCAACCTCTGCCTCCCAGGTTCAAGTGATTCTCCTGCCTCAGCCTCCCAAGTAGCTGGGATTACAGGTGCCTGCCACTATGCCCCGCTAATTTTTGTATTTTTTTTTTTTTTTTAGTAGAGGCGGGGTTTCACCATGTTGGTCAGGCTGGGCTTGAACTCCTGACCTCAGGTGATCTGCCCACCTCGGCCTCCCAAAGTGCTGGGATTACAGGCATGAGCCACCACGCCCAGCCCCAACAGCACTATTCTTAATAGCCAAGAGGTGGAAGCAACCCAAGTGTCCATCAACAGAAGAACAGATAAACTGTGGGGGTGTGTGTGTGTGTGTGTGTGTATGTGTTTGTGAATATATATCACAGATTATTATTCAGCCTTTAAAAGGAAAGGAAATCTTGTCATACATTGCAACATGAATGAACTTTGACGACATTATGCTGAGTGAAATAAGCCAATTACAGAAAGACGAATACTGCATAATTCCATTTATATGACATATCTAAAGTAGCCAATTCATAGACAGAAAGTAGAATAGTGGCTGCCAAGGCCTAGGGGGAGGATAAAGGCGGAGTTGTTAAATGGGGACAGAGTTTCAGGTTTGTAAGATGAAAAATTCTAGAGATCTGTTTCACAACAATGTGAACACATTTAACACTACTGAACTGTACACATAAGAATAGTTAACATGATACATTTTATGTTATCTTTAATCACAATTTTTTAAAAAGACCTAAAGAGACATTTGAGTGTTCTCAGATGCAGCTGGAGCTGAAATGCGATGGCAAACCAGTTGCGGAAAGTGTACAGCAGCCACCTCTGGAGGGACCGATATGCAAAGAAGCTTCAAGGCACAGGGCCTGTTGGCCTTACCCTGTATCATCACATCATCTGGTCATGTGTGAACTTCACAAAAGAGTCTCACTGTTCTGCTAGTTAGGTATTGAGGATTTGCTATATTCCTCTCAAATGGTAGCTTTAATTAAGAGATGCTCACCTATACTTCCAACGTGTAGGGTAAAGGTCTTTCTTCATCCAGAAAGAACCAGGGAAGCCAGGTGCTGGGGAGTGAAGCTGATTTCCTGAGGAACACACTTCACTCTAAGAACCTGTTTTCACCTCTACTAATGACTATATTCTTTTATGTTCTGAACATATCGTTCTAGGTGTGGGGGGTGCCAGGGAGGTCTGGCTGCTGTAGCATCCACAGAAGAGTCTGTGTTGACAGGAAGCAGCAGCAGCTCAGCATCCAGGGGCCAGAGGCCTGAAGCGGAGCAGGCAGAGGGTTCAGCCCTGCCTTGAGCTCCACGGGCCACTTCAAAAGTGCCCCTCTCTCAACAGCGCCCATGCCAGGCCACTGGGGAGTCAAGGACTAGGAGAAAACCAGCAGTGAATACCACTTGAACTCCAGCCACTCAAGGGGCTTGCAAGCCAAGCCTAAAATTATTTCTGGAAGTAGGTATGTTAAAATTTAAAAATCTGTTAAAATAATAAGGCCAGGTGCAGTGGCTCATGCCTATAATCCCAGTGCTTTGGGAGGTTGAGGCAGGAAGATCACTTGAGATTGGGAGTTTGAGACCAGCCTGGGAAACACAGCAAGACCCTGTCTCCACATAATTTTTTTTAATTATAAAAATAAAATAGACCAGGTGTGGTGGCCACATCTGTAATCCCAGCACTTTGGAAGGCTGAGGCGGGTGGATCACCAAAGGTCAGGAGTTTGAGACCAGCCTGGCCAACCTGGTGAAACCCTATCTCCAATAAAAATACTAAAACCAGCTGGGCATGATGGTGTGTGCCTGTAATCCCAGCTACTTGGGAGGCTGAGGCAGGAGAATCGCTTGAACCCAGGAGGCGGGGGTTGCAGTAAGCCAAGATCCTGCCACTGCACTCCAGCCTGGGCAACAGAGCGCAACTCCGTCTCAAATACATAAATAAATAATAAAATCATCCAAATGTGAAACATGCTGTCTCAGGAAATGGTACAGTCTCTAGTCAATGGAAATATTCTAGGTGAACTGATTACTTACCTGGCATATTACAAATGAGATTTAGACATCAAATAATGGTTAAAATAATGACTTTTTAATTTTTTTGGAGACAGGGTCTCACTCTGTCACTACAGCTGGAGTGCAGCAGTATGATCATGGCTCAATGCAGCCTTGATTTCCCAGGCTCAAGTGATCCTCCTACCTCAGCCACCTAAGTAGCTGGGACTACAGGTGCATGCCACCATGCTCGGCCAATTTTTTATTTTTTATAGAAACGAGGTTCTGGCTGGGCATGGTGGCTCACATCTGTAACCTCAGCACTTTTGGGAGGCCAAGGCGGGCGGATCACTTGAGGTCAGGAGTTCAAGACTAGCCTGGCCAATGTAGTGAAACCCCGTCTCTACTAAAAATACAAAAATTAGCCAGACGCAGTAGCACGTGCCTGTAATCCTAGCTACTAGGGAGGGTGAGGCAGGAGAATCGCTTGAATCCTGGAGGCAGAGGTGGTGATGAGCCGAGATCGTACCACCGCACTCCAGCCTGGGCGACAGAGCGAGAGACTCCATCTCAAAAAAAAAGAAAAAGAAACGAGGTCCTACTGTGTTGCACAGGCTGGTCTTGAACTCCTGGGTTTATGCGGTCCTCCTGCCTCAGCCTCCCAAAGTGCTGGGATTACAGGATTCAGCCACCATGCCTAGTCAAGGATTTTTAAGGTCCCTTCTAACCCTGAGAGTTGAGGTCTGTATAACCTCTGTGCCCCTGCAGCCCACTGGTATTCACAGAGCTATTCAGACTTCCTTTCACAGACCCGCCTTGTCAGTCTCACTCTTGCTCCCTGTTCCCTCCAACCTCCCCAAGCTAGAATGCAAATGCTGTGCTGGCAAGGGGCTGGATTTTGTTTGTTCACTGCTGGATCCCCAGTGCCTAGAATTAATAACCTGAAACTCCTCAGGAGGAAGGCTACAATTGTCTCAGTTCCTAAACACTGCATGGTTTCTTCTTTTCCTTCTTCCCAAGAAATGTTTGTGAAAGATCTTATATGGCCACACATTTCCTGGGGAGGGTACAGAGATTTAAAATGACATTATTAGTTCATCTATAAACACTTGTGCCATCTAAAGTAACTCTGAGCAAGTGCTCAAAAACTATTCTAGCACTATCCAACAGCAGCATTTTCCACAAGTTGGGAGCATCCTGAATTATCTACAGGGATGAAAAATAAGCAAAATGTTACCTGAATTGTCAATGATTTGGAGTCTCTGAAAGATCCGCCTACTGTTTTACACAATGGTTTTCCTTTTATTTTGCATTCTTTTGAAAATGTTTTCAAGGTGTCTTCAAATTCAGCAAAATCTAAATACTATAAAAAATAAATAATTCAATTCAACAGCAAAACAAACAAATAATCCAATTAAAAAACAGCCAAAGGATCTGAATAGATATTTATCCAAAGAAGACATTAAAAAGACCAACAGATACATGAAAAGGTGCTTAACATCACTAACAATCAGAGAAATGCAAATCAAAACCACAGAGACCTAATTACCTCACACCTGTCAGAATGGCTATTACAAAAAAGACGAAAGATAAAAAGTCTTGGCAAGGATGTGGAGAAAAGGAAACACTTGTGCACTCTTGGTGAGACTGTAAATTGGTACGGCCATTATAGAAAACTGTATGGAGGTTCCTCAAAAAAATAAAAATAGAACTACCGGCCAGGAGCCGTGACTCAAGCCTGTAATCCCAGCACTTTGGGAGGCCAAGGCGGGTGGATCACGAGGTCAGGAATTCGAGACCAGCCTGGCCAGCAAGGTGAAACCCCGTCTCTACTGAAAATACAAAAATTAGCCAGGCGCAGTGGCGCGTGCCTGTAGTCCCAGCTACTCGGGAGGCTGAGGCAGGAGAATCGCTTGAGCCCAGGAGGTGGAGGTTGCAGTGAGCAGAGAAAGCACCACTGTACTCCTGCCTGGGCGACAGAGTGAGACTCCATCTCAAAAAAAAAGAAAAAAAAAAGAAAAAATGGTATAGGCCAGGTGGCATGGCTCATGCCTGTAATCCCAACACTTTGGGAGGCTGAGGTAGGAGGATCGCTTGAGCCTAGGACTTTGAGACCAGCCTGGGCAACAAAGCGAGACCCCATCTCAAATAAATAAATTTTTAAAAGAAAATGTGTTATATAGGTAGGGTGCAGTGGCTCATGCCTGCAATCCCACAACTTTGGGAGGCTGAGGCAGGAGGATTGCTTGAAGCCAAGAGTTCAAGACCAGCTTGGACAACAGAGTGAGATCCTATCTCTACAAAAATTAGAATAAAACCTAGCTGAGCATGGTGGTGCACGTCTGTAGTCTCAGCTACCCAGGAGGCTGAGGCAGGCAGATTGCTTGAGCCCAGGAGTTCAAGGCTACAGTGAACCATGATGATGCCACTGCACTCCAGCCTAGGCGGCAGAACAAGACCTTGTCTCTAAAAAGATTTTTAAATGTAAATTTTTTAAAAAAGAATATATTCGCCATCACACCACCAAATTCCAAATCTGCAGTTGCACGGTGGGTGCCTCATCCCTGCTCCAGGCCCGTGGCTCTCGCAACCTGCAGGTGGTTACTCACACAGTTAAGCAGCAGCAAGCGCGAACCATTTCTTTAGCACCAGAAAGTTTAAGGCCTGGGCCCTACTTGTCAAAGCTTTTAGCGTAGGAAACCTAGGCCATTACCAGACAATGAGTTAAAAAAATTATGATGCAGCCACTCAATGAAATACTCTATGGCATTCAAATGTCTAGGGCCGATCATAGGCAGATGTTCATGCTATATTATTGTTGGCAGATAAAAAGCAAGCTACAGAACAATGTATCATCCCATTCTGTAAAACAAACTACAGGCATGTGAATATATTTTTACTATACATAGAAAAAAGTCTGGGAGGGAAATTTCCTTTTTATACTTCTGTAGTGCTTGAATCTTTTACCGTGGACGTGTATTGCTTTTATAATTTTCTTTCAAGGGACTTTTTAAGTGGCTTTAAGATTTGTTTAGTTATAAAACCAAAATGTAAATACATGGAATATTATATAATAGAAAAATAGCTCCAACATAACAATAGAAGAAACATTACAAGGCACTAAATAGTTTGTTGCATTTTAAAACACAAGTTTTCAAGATCTGTTTCTCTGTGACCTCTGCTTTGTATAATATACCTACCTCTTTCACTAGTCCAAGTAATTCAGATTCATGAGCCAGAATGTCCCCCATATTGAACTGTTACTGGTAATTAATTCTCACAGCAAAAATCTCTAGAAGGCAAAAATACAAGACAACAGCTTTCATTTCAACCACCTATGAAACTACAAAAAGGTGGTTGTGGTGAGCAGAATAATGGCCCCCAAAGACATCCATGCGCCAATCCCCAGAACCTGTGAATACGTGAGGTTACACGGCAAGGGGGAATTAAGGTGCAGATGGAATTAAGGTTGCTCATCAGCTGACCTTTAAATTGGGGGATGATCCTGGATTACCCAGGTGGGCCCAAGGCAGTCACAGCAGAGGGAGGGGGGCAGACGGAGGCAAGAGGGTCAGTGCCAGCATGATGAGATGTGAGAAAGACTCAACAGCCACTGCAGGCTTTAAAGGGGATAAAGTGGCATAAGACAAGGAGGGTAAGGAGCCTCTAAAAACTGCATAAGGCAAGGAATAGATCCTCCCACTGCATCCAGAAATGATCCAGCACTGCAGACACCTTGACTTCAGCTCAGTGAAAGCCATTTCAGACTTCTGACCTCCAGAACTAGAAGATATTAAATCTTTGTTGCTTGACACCACTCAGTTTATGGTCATTTGTTCAGCGGCACTAGGAAATACAATGGCTAAAGTCAAAAGAAACTCTTCCTACTCTTTCTACTAGCCCTCCCTCAAGGTGTACCCAAAGCAGTCATTCCCCATGGCCCACACCCCAGGCTCAGCCCAAAGCAGTTGCCCGTAACCCCAGAGGAATGAAAAGGTCTGGGCTCTAATGTTAACCATGCCATTCACTGGCACCTGATCTGAGACAACTCACTGAAGTGCAGAGCCTTTCTTCATCTATAAAATTCAGAATGTGTCAGAACTCATCGAATTTTTTTTTTGAGATGGGATCTCACTCCGTTGCCCAGGATGGAGTGCAATGGTGCAATCATAGCTCACTGCAAGCTAAAACTCCTGGGTTCAAGGGATCCTCCCTCCTCAGCCTCCCCAGTGGCTAGAACTATAGGTGCATGCCACCATACCCAGGTAATTTTTTTTTTTTTTTTTTTAAGTAGAGACAGGGAGACAGGGTCTTACTAAGCTGCCAAACTCCTGGGTAATGCAATCCTCCCGCCTTGGCCTCCCAAAATGCTGGGATTATAGGCGTGAGCCACCACACTCAGTCAGATCTCTTCTGAGTCTGTAACCTTACATTTTTCTGCCACTGCCTCCCCACCTCCTTTCTCTCCACTTCAATCCAATTTCTACACTTTTAACAAGTGAGCATTCCCCTCCTGCTTGGGACCCTCCTGTGGTTCCAGCGCCCTCCAGATGAAGGCCAGGCTCCTTAGGCTCAACTCCCAAAGCCCTAGACAACTTGGCCTCTGACACACTCCCATTTGTTCTGTAAACCTGAGCCACACTGGCCACTGTGTGGTTCCTGTGGACACCCACTGAACACCCAAAGCACACGCCTGCCCTCGTGAACTCTGGCTCACTGCCCTTCCTTCAGATACGTCTCATTCAGGTCTCTGCCTAACTGTCACCTCCTCAGAGAGTCTTGCCCTGACCACCCTTTCTAAGAGGTCGGCCCATCACTTCTCAGCCCTTTGTACTGCTTGATTTTTCTCAACAGCACCTGACAGGTGTTCCCCTGTGCCTAGACCAGTGCCTGGCACACAGTACAGGCTCAAAAACATGGACGGAGTGGAAATTGATTCCAGACATGAAGAAAACAGCGCAAGGAAAGGGACAGAACCTGAAGGAGACGGGTATGGGGTTATTTTAGATAGAGTGGTTGATGGCCTCACTGGGAATGTGACATTTCAGCAAAGATTGAGCACCTGGATCTGGGGAAGATGGCTTTGTTAGTGCACAGGCCTCAGGCTGAAGAGCTCTGCAGTCTTGGGGTATTGGGATGTAGCTAGGGGTGAGGCAGACAGCAGCAGGCAATGGGGGGCCGGGGCCAGGTCAGGTGGGCCTTACAGAGCTGGTAAGTGGCTTGGACATTAGGCTGACAGTAACAGGAGGCTCAGAGAGAGTATGGAGGAGGGGACTGACACCACTGATGTCCTTTTTTTTTTTTTTTTTTTTTCCTGAGACAGAGTTTCCCTCTGTTGCCCAGGCTAGAGTGCAGTGACATGATCATAGCTCACTGCAGCCTCAAACTCCTGGACTCAAGCAGTCCTCCCACCTCAGCCTCCTGAGTAGCTGGGCCTACAGAGTGTGCCACTATGCCCCAAGTCTTTTGTTTTCTGGTTTTTTCATTTGTTTGGTTTTTGGTGAGGTTTTTTTTTGTTTGTTTGTTTTTGAGACAGAGTCTCGCTGTTGTTGCTTGGGCTGGAGTAGAATGGCACAATCTTGGCTCACTGCAACCTCCACCTCCGGGGTTCCAGCAATTCTCCTGCTTCAGCCTCCCGAGTAGCTGGGATTACAGGCACCCGCCACCATGCCTAGCTAATTTTTGTATTTTTAGTAGAGACGGGGTTTTACCACGTTGGCCAGGCTGGTCTCGAACTCCTGACCTCAGGTGATCCACCTGCCTCGGCCTCCCAAAGTGCTGGGATTACAGGCATGAGCCACCACGCCCAGCCTTGGTTTTTTCAGAGACAGGATTTCACCATTGCTCAGGCTGGTCTTGAACTCCTGGGCTCAATCCTCCCTCCTCTGCCTCCCAAAGTGCTGGGATTACAGGGGTGAGCCACCACGCCCGGCTGCTGATGTCCATTTTTTAATATGCATGTTGCCTGCTCTACAGAGAAGACTGGAGGGGAGTGGGAAGAGGGAGATGAGTACTGCTCAGGCCACGCCAGCCATGAGCATCATTTGGATAAGCAAGAGGGGCCATGAGCGCTGTGAGTCCAGATGGAAAAGGCAGAAGAGGCACAATCTGCAGACCAGTTAGTTGTGGGACATGAGGGGAAGAAGGGAAGGAAGAACCCTGGGATCTGAGCAGCTGGCCGAAGAGTATGTGATTTGCTGAGTCAACGAAAACCTGGGGAAGGACTGTTTTGAGGTCAAACCAAGAGCTCTGTTTTGGCTATAAGTCTGAGCTGCCTGTTAGACATTCCAGTGGAGGTTCCGAAATGGTCAGTGGGTATTGTAAGAACCAAAGAAAGAGGAGAGAGGAGAGAAACACGAAGGGTGGCTCGACAGTCAACAGGTTTATTTCAAACCTGGGAGGGACTTCCGACCGAGTTAGGTCAGAGCCACACTCTCCTACAGACTAAGAGTTTTTAAGGATTCAGGGTGGGAGAGTTTATCAAAGGCTTGAACTGTTTCTGTGTCTCTCTGTTGTGCTTATCTGGGAGGGAGAGTTGTGTGTCTGTTCCTATACAACTTTCTGCAGCTGCAGGCATACCCCCCAAGTCTGCTTTTAGCTTCCCTTAGTGCACCTGAAGGGAACAGAATGTCCTTATTAAGGCCCACTGTTATACTGAGGCCCATTGTAAGAGGGTGAAGTTTGGCCGTTACCCAGGAAACAAACCTGTTGACTGTCAAGTCACCCTTCGTGTTTCTCTCCTCTTTCTTTAATTCTTACAGATATATGAGCCTGGAGTTTAAGGGAGAAGCAGGAACGGCATTCAGAGGGATAGCAGAGAATATGGGTGCTGAGCAAAGACACAGATTTAGTGATTAGAAGTGAAACAGGCTGGGTGCAGTGGCTCACACCTGTAATCTTGGCACTTTGGGACACCAAGGCAGGCAGATCACTTGAGCTCATGAGTTCGAGACCAGCCTGGGCAACGTGGTGAAACCTCATCTCTACAGAAATACAAAAATTAGCTGGGTGTGGTGGTGTGTGCCTGTAATCCCAGCTACTGGGGAGGATGAGACAGGAGGATCACTTGAACCAGGAAGGTCAAGGCTGTAGTGAGCCGGGATCACGCCATGGCACTCCAGCCTAGGTGACAAAGTAAGACCCTGTCTCAAAAAAAAAAAAAAAAAAAAAGTGAAACAAGAAACAAGATCAGCTGGGCACGGTGGCTCACGCCTGTAATCCCAGCACTTTGGGAGGCCAAGGCAGGCAGATCGCCTGATGCTGGGAGTTCAAGACCAGCCTGACCAGCATGGTAAAACCCCATCTCTACTAAAAATACAAAAATTAGCCGGGTGTGGTGGCAGGCACCTGTAATCCCAGCTACTCTGGAAGCTGAGGCAGGAGAATCGCTTGAACCCAGGAAGTGGAGGTTGCAATGAGCCGAGATCGTGCCATTGCACTCCATCCTGGGCAACAGAGTGAGACTCTGTCAAAAAAAAAAAAAAAAGAAAGAAAGAAAAAAGGTCATCGGCTGCAAGTAAGAAGCATGGTGACAGTTCGAAGAGAAGGGAGAGTGGGAACGGAAGGGAGGGTGGGAACCAAAGCGACTACAGCAACATGGCAGGGTTGCTGGTATTATAGTCCATTTAAGATCTCTGCACTTGAATCTAAAATGGAATCAGTCTGCACAGTTTTGCAGCTCTTCTCCAGGCACTTTCAGCTATCTGAGTTAGGTTAACCAATGTGAGAGGTTCTTCTAGAAGAGAGAGGAAAGGGAAAACAGTACAACCACGATGGGACACTGGAACTAATCAGGTTAAGAATGGGGGAGGGGAACACACATAAGGCGGCTGCAGAGCAGTGAGGAAGCAGTGGGGTCTGAGACCTGCTGAAGGAGGCACATTCCAGTGAGTGTGAAAGATGGAAAGGAGTGGGCAGAGAGTGGGACAGATGCCTGAAGGCAAGACTTTGAAGGTGACTAGTACTAAAAAGCTCCCGACCACGGGAGTGGGCAGATGAGGAGGATGGAGGAAAGAGACGCCTGCAAGTAAGGAGGATGAAGAAACTGGAGGGGCCAGGATGTGGAAACCCCCAAAAGTGAAGTAAAAGAGATGAAGGGATAGGCAGCCAGCCGGGTGCTGGAGGCTCCAAGGGAACTGGAGAGACTTGCCCTGGGAAGTGGCTACCTCAGGGAGGGCTGGCAAGGGGTATGGCATCTGCCATGTGCTTCAAAGGAGCTGGGGTTTGTGAAGGAGTGGGTAGTGATCTGGAAGCAGTAATGAGGAGCAGGGAGGACACCTCCCCATGCACCACACCAGCCCTGCCAGATGCAAAAGGGGAGAGAAGAAAGGCAGCTGCTCCTGGGGGACACCCACCTCTCCAGCCTTTTTCTGGACCATGCCTCCAATCCATCCACCTCCCCCTACCTGATCCCTCTCCTTGCTCCCTTCCACCAATCCCACACTGGACCCTGCCAACAGCGAACTCCTGGCCATTCCCCCATGCAACAAGCTCTTCCAGGATCCTAAGCCTGTGGTTGATGTATGCTCTGCCCCCCCAGGCAAACATGACTCATGATTCTAAGCCAAGCCAGATTTAATCTCTTTTCAAGAAGTCTTCCATGAAAAACCCCTCCCTTCTTTCCCTACCAAGGCTTTTTTTTTTTTTTCTTTTTCTGAGATGGAGTTTAGCTCTGTTGCCCAGGCTGGAGTGCAGTGGCGGGATCTCGGCTCACTGCAACCTCCACCTCCTGGGTTCAAGTGATTCTCCCACCTCAGCCTCCCAAGTAGCTGGGGTTATAGGCATGCGCCATGACGCCCAGCTAATTTTGTTGTTTTGAGATGGAGTTTCACTTTTGCCGCCCAGGCTGGAGTGCAAAGGTGCAATCTGGCTCACTGCAACCTCTGCCTCCCAGGTTCAAGTGATTCTCCTGCCTCAGCCTCCCAAGTATATGGGATTACAGGCGTCCGCCACCAACGCCCAGCTAATTTTTGTATTTTTAGTAGAGACAGGGTTTCACCAGGTTGGCCAGGCTGGTCTTGAACTCCTGACCTCAAGCGATTCACCCACCCAAAGTGCAGGGATTACAGGCATGAGCCACTGCACCTGGCACTTCTTATAACCCTGTTCACAAAGACAGGGAGCTGTATTTCAACTTCATATCCCCAGAACCTAACAGAGTGTCTAGTAAGCAAGAAAGGTACTCAAGGCATATAATGAATAAATGAAGCCGGAGCTGAGGGGATGTCATTTTAAAGGCCCTGGAACGGGAAAAGTGAGTTTCTGAGAATTTGAAACCTTGAGGCCAACCTCAAGGCCTTTGCGCATATTACTCTCTCCGCCTAGAACACTCTTCCCTCTCTTCACCTGGTTAACCACTGTGCCTAATAAACATCACCTCCTTAGAGTAGACCTCCCTAAGCCGTTTAAATAGTATCTGCTGTGATCAACTGTCATTGAATGTGAGTGCTGCTGGGTATCCTATTACTCAACATTCTTAGAAATTACAGAATTGGCCAGGCACAGTGGCTCACACCTGTAATCCCAACACTTTGGGAGGCTGAGGCAGGCGGATCACCTGAGGTCAGGAGTTCGAGACCAGCCTGATCAACATGGTGGAACCCCATCTCTACTAAAAATACAAAAATTAGCCGGGCGTGGTGGCGTCTGCACCTGTAATCCCAGCTACCAGGGAGGCTGAGGCAAGAGAATCGCTTGAACCCAGGAGGTGGAGGTTGCAGTGAGCCGAGATCATGCCACTCCACTCCAGCCTGAGCGACAGGGAAAGACTCCGTCTCAAAAAAAGGAAAAGAAAAAGAAATTACAGAATTTTCTCTAAACTTTTATATCATAATAGGTATCATTTATTGAAGGTATATGGTATGCCAGGCAATGTGCAAAATGTTTTACATTTAACCTTCATAGTAAACCTGACAGGTGAATATAGTTTATATTTTCCCATTCCAGATGAGGCAATTTGAGGCCCAGGAAGTCTGACACACTCCCAACAGCCACAGTAAGTGACTAAGCGGCTGAAAAGAACCACTACACAGTATTTCCCAAAGTCTGGACCACCTAAATCAGAATCAGCTGGCACGCTTGTGCAAATGAAAATTCCTGCCTCCACCCTGGTCTTACTGAACACCGTGGCAGGCACCATGCCCAGAAATCTGCCTTTTAAACAAGCTCCCTGAGTGACTTTTACACACTCTCAAGTTTGAGAACCAGTGCTCTCCTTTATGCGGAAACTAAGAAAAACTTTTCCAGTTACATTTGGGGATTGCAGCGGCAGCTTTTGAATTCCTATATAAGAAAGATTTAGGGCCCACAAACGGGTGGGATTATGGGATTTGTATGGAAGCCGAATCTGCATAGCACGCATCCTGTTTTTCCTAAGATTAGGTGAAGTCTGGACTTCAACTGGGTGCCTCAGGAACGCGGCTAGCAGATGGAGATTATCAGGGGGATCTAAATCCCGGATAACCCGCTCGCGCCGCCACCACCAGCTGGATGGCTTGAGGGACCCCCTCCAAGTATGGCCCACTGCAGCAAAGATCAGGGACTACTTGCGGGAAGCAGCTGGGCCTGTCCTTTCTTGGGATGTCCAGGCGGCCGCCTCGGCCCTTGCCGAAGAAAGATCCCTGGACCGCAGGCGAGAAGTGGTAGCATCCGGCGGCGGCGGAGCGGGCGCGTCGGGTTTTTCCTCGGAACAAGAGGTCCGCAGAGCCTCGGCCCTCCAAACGCACCGCTGCTCCTCCCAGCACCAGGACGGCGGGCGGAGGGTGGCCCGGCTGCATCCGGGGACGCGCTTACCTGCTGCTCGGCCGCGGACACTCGCGCTATCCCAGCCCGGCCGCCACCTCCGCAGCCGTCACCCGGGCAACCGCCGCCGCCACCCCGGCGTCACGTGGGGGCGGCGCAGCCAATCGCGCGGGGCGCCGCCGACGCGGAGCAGCCTGGGAGGGAAGGTGGGCGACCCCGAAACTTCCTGGCGGCGGAAGTGAGGGTCCACAGCCCAGCAGTGGTGAAGGTTCACGCGCTGGATGACCGCGTCTTCTGTGGTCCTCTCCACCACTCCACTTTCGTTCGTTCATTCATTCGTTCATTTCCCTTTCGTTGCGCCAGTCGCTGCGCCGGCTCTCGGGATGAGCCGGAGCAGGCTCAACCCCTTGTCTCAAGGAGCTCGTGGTCGCGTAGAGAACACAAACTAGGACAGTGTGGTGTCCGTGGGGAAAGAGTCAGGCATGGTTATTCCCATCTTAAAGGAGGGACCTGGGGCCACCTTAGAACCAAAAGTGACGCCCAAGATGTGCATTAAAGCTCCGGGGACCAGGGTCCCGCCCCACTGCAGCGGTTTCCAAGGATTTCAGAGAAACTTTTTGTTTTCCATGTCAAATGTGGGCTATTAAAAATAAATCAGGAGCACACGTCTTCCCTCTCTTTGCACCTGATGCTTTTGAACTGAAGTTCATCAGCACTGAATGAGCACTTGCTAGTCACCCAACTTTGTGCTGGAGGGTGAAGAGATGGCCATGGATAGAAAATCCCTCCCCTCCAGGCGTTGAGATTCCGTGGGAGTCTCTCGTTGCCACCTCAGTGTTTCCACCTCCATGCTTCCAAGAAGGAGGAGGCTACCAGGGCCAGAGACAGGGAATGGGGCACGGAGAAGGTAGGTCAGCTCGCCTTTGAAGAAGCCCTAAGATGGGCTGTGGCCACCACTTCCCCAGTCCCCAACCCTGCCAGTGGATTGTCTTCCAAAAGAAAAAAAGCTGTATTTAGTAGAAGAGAGCCCTATCTTCTGTCCAGGTAATATGGATTGAAAATAAATCTTCAATCCATGGCCATAATATTTATCGTCAACACAACTGTATGCCGGGAGATGCCAGACAAAATATAGAACACACAGTTAAATGTAAATTTTAGATAATGTTTTAGTGTAAGTAAATCCCAAAAACTGCTTCATTTTATTGTGCATGTAGGATGTTATATTGTTCTGTATTTTTGTTTGCAAAACGTGCAGCCTATATGTGTGCCCAGCATTGTGCTAAGTGAATCATATAGATTGTTTTCTTTAGTTCTCACACCAGGCCCGGCACGGTGGCTCACACCTGTAATCCCAGCACTTGGGAGGCCAAGGCAGATGGATCACCTAAGGTCACAAGTTTCAGACCAGCCTGGCCAACATGGTGAAACCTGTCTCTACTAAAAATACAAAAATTAGCTGGGCGTATTGGCATGTGCCTGTAGTCCCAGCCACTCGGGAAGCTGAGGCAGGAGAATCCTTGAACCCGGAAGATGGAGGTTTCAGTGAGCCGAGATCACGCCACTGTACTCCAGCCTGGGCAACAGAGTGAGACTCTGTCTCAAAAAAAAAAAAGTTTTTAATTCTCACACCACATCTATGAGATGAATAATATTTTCAGCATTTTACTGATTGACAATGTTGTAATTAACCTGAGCTGTGTGCTCTTAGAAAACAGCCACAGTTAAGAAATCTCACCCACGCACCCCCAAACCTTTTGTTTTCTAAAATCCTCCACACTTTTGTGTTCTGGGAAGTAGCTTATCAGAAAGAACTACCCTTCCACATATGACTTCATCAGACCCACAGTCCTGTCTTTCTCATGCCTCCCATATGATGCACGGATGACCCCCTTGTTTACCTGTGACAAGGACAAATGCAGACCTTTTCCCTTCTGCCTGAGTCTGCCGGCAAGGCCAAGGACAGACTTTTCAGCTTCTCATTCTTTGTCTCATGGTTGATTAGCTGAGATTAGAGCTGTCTGTTTTGTCTTTGGCAAGATGAACAACATGAGGCATACGGGATTAAGAAACTCCTCAAAGTTTACACCACTGAGGAGACCAGGACTAAACCCAGGTCTCCGTGTCTCTGGACCCTGGGCTCTGAGCTGCCGTGAACACCCCACCTGCTTTGCTTTCCCTCCTGAGTGCATTTGCCTGACTGCCGGGATTATGGTCATTGTGGTGGCTATTGTCTTTGTCTGTCTACCTCCCCTCTCCCTTCTGGTAACATACCCCATCCCTCACCACAGGATGGGCAGATGGTCCAAACTGGACCAATCTTACCCCATCCCTCTGGCCTCAGTGATGGGTCCAGGATGGGCATGTGAGCCAAGCAAAGCCAATGATAGTCCTTCCCTGGGATTTTGCTGTTGAAGTGTGGTCAGGTTATTGTAAAGTGAGACTCCAGGGCAGCCTACAGCATTCACTACATGGGAAAGACTGAGAAGATGAAGCCATTACCTAGAGAAATGCAAAGAAAGTGCTGGGGACATCAAATCCCTGGTCCCAGGATCTGAGTTCCCTGGAGCTGCACTTATTCTTACAGCTCCTCCAGCATCCTTCCAATCAACTGTCTTTTAAATTTTTTATTTTTTTGAGACAGGGTCTTACTCTGTCACCCAGGCTGGAGTGCAGTGGCGCAATCTCAGCTTGCTGCAACCTCTGCCTCCTGGGCTCAAACAATCCTCCCACCTCAGCCTCCCTCATAGCTGAGATTACAGGCATGTGCCACCACGCTCAGCTAATTTTTGTACTTTTTATAGAGACGGAGTTTTGCCATGTTGCCCAGGCTGGTCTCAAACTCCTGAGCTCAAGCCATCTGCCTGCCTCAGCCTCCCAAAGTGCTGGGATTATACATATTACTGCACCCGACTTCAACCATCTTTTTAATTTCAACTAGTTTGGACCTGCATGGTGGCTCATGCCTGTAATCCCAGCACTTTGGGAGGCCAAGGTGGGAGAATTGCTTGAGGCCAGGAGTTTCAGACCAGCCTACACAACATAGCAACATCCATCTGTACAAAAAAAAAAAATCCGTCTGTACAAAAAAAAAATTATTTTAATTAATAAACTGGTTCAAGTTGGGTTTCTGTCACTTGCAACCAAAAGAGACCAGACTAACATAGACACAATTTCTATATGTCTGTTTGAGATAGGAAAAACCAAACTGACTGCTTTTACTCTTCTCACACTCAACACATTTTTTTTTTTTTGAGACAGAGTCTAACTCTGTTGCCCAGGCTAGAGTGAAGTGGCACAGTCATAGCTTGCTGCAGCCTCAGCTTCCAGGCTCAAGTGATCCTCCTGCCTCAGCCTCCCAAGTAGCTGCTGGGACCACAAGCACGCACCACTATGCTCGGCTTTTTCTTTTTTTTTTTTTCCTTAGAGGTGGGGTCCCACTTTGTTGCCCAGGCTGGTCTCGAACGCCTAGGCTCAAGCGATCCTCCCGCTTTGGCCTCCCAAAGTGCTGGGATTATAGGTGTGAGCCACCATGCCCGTCCTCAACACAATGCTTCTGACAGCAGATGTGTGGAGGTTTTTCCTTACACACTAAGCAACTATCCAGCAGACACTAACTGGTTGTCCTACAATTCAATTCTGATACTAGCTAATGACTGGAGTTAGAATCAGATCCCATAGGTCAAAGGCTCAGTCCCACAAGACTGTCCCCCACCTCAGATGCCAGTCAAAAGTAGCAGTTGTCATCTGTACTTCTAACCAAATGGCTATAAATGAGGGTTCCATTAATTTACTAGGATGGCTCATAGAAGGAAACACTCACATGTACTGGCTCATTATAAAGAATGTGACAAAGGTTACAGATAAACAGCCAGATGAGATGGTACCCAGGGCAAAGGATGGGGGCGCAGACCTTCCATGCCCACTCCAGGTACCTCCATGGTTCAGCAGTCTAGAAGCTCTTCAAACGCTGTGGTTGAGGGATTTTTACAGAGGCTTCGTAATGCAGGCACAATCGATTGTTATTATTATTATTATTATTTTTGAGACGGAGTTTCACTCTTTGTTGCCCAGGCTGGAGTGCAATGGTGCAATCTCAGCTCACTGCAACCTCCGCCTCCGGGGTTCAAACGATTCTCCTGCCTCAGCCTCCCAAGTAGCTGGGATTACAGGCATGCGCCACCACGCCCAGCTGATTTTGTATTTTTAGTAGAGACAGGGTTTCTCCATGTTGGTCAGGCTGGTCTCGAACTTCCGATCTCAGGTGATCTGCCTGCCTTGGCCTCCCAAAGTGCTGGGATTACAGGCGTGAGCCACTGCGCCTGGTCGGCACAATCAATTATCAACTCAATCTCTGGCTTTTCTCCCCATCCCAGAAGATGGGGATGGGGCTGAAAGTTCCAAGCTTCTAACCTTGGCTTGGTTTTTCTGGTGACCAGCCCACCAAGAGTCATCTCATTAGAATACTAGATGTTCCCATCACCCATGAAATTCCAAGGGATTAGGACCCTTTATCAGGAGCAAGGGACAAAGACCAAATAGAACAAAAAGATCCACCTAGTGCCCCATCACTCAGGAAATGACAAGAATTTTAGGAGCTCTGTGCCAGGAGCCAGGGGCAGAGATCAATTATATATTTTTCCTTTCTTTTTCTTTCTTTCTTTTTTTTTTTTTTTTTGTTAGACAGAGTTTTGCTGTTGTCACCCAGGCTGGAGTGCAGTGGTGCAATCTCAGCTCACTGCAACCTCTGCTTCTTGGGTTCAAATGATTCTCCTGCCTCAGCCTCCCGAGTAGCTGTGATTACAGGTGCGTGCCCCCCACGCCCACCTAGTTTTTGTATTTTTAGTAGAGACAGGGTTTCACCATGTTGGCCAGGCTGGTCTCGAACTCCTGACCTCAGGTGATCTGCCCGCCTCAGCCTCTCAAAGTGCTAGGATTACAGGTGTGAGCCACCGTACCCGGCCTAATTATATATTTTTCTTATTTCACAATGTCATATCAACTAAAAGTGGCCTCAGCAATGGGGGTGGTGGTTCATTTTCTTATAATAAATACAGAAGTAGCTGGCTTCTTACCAGCAGCTCAAGTTGTCAAGGATCTGGGTTGGTTCTGAATTGTATCATCCCCGTGACTAGGTGTGATATGGAACAAATAGATACGGTTTGATACAGTTTAAAAATAATTAAACTACTATAATTCCTTAGTTATAATTTAAGACTTTCTTTGAATCCTGAACACTTGTGTAAGCATAATGCCAGTATTTAGGTGGAAAATCTCTGACTCAATCTCAGTCTGTTTAACTTATTCGATGTGTTCTCGTGGGAGTACAAAGGATACTTTTGTCACAAGAGGCAAAACTGCTTAGTTCTGAAGCTTCCTCCAGGCAGTCTCTAGGTTGGCTCTGCTGTGTATATTCCATGAGTTCATAGCAATACACTGAACCAGCTGCCTCAGCTTCCCCACTCTTAGGACCTGCCAAAGCATCCCATTTGCCCCAAATGTTCTTGTTTGACCACTCCAGTTTTCCCAAAATGGGATACATACTGCCAATGGGCCCAAGATGACTTTCTAAATTGTTTAATTATGAAAATTTCAAACATATGCAAAACCAGAGGATGGTTTAGTGAATCGCCATACACCCATCTCTCAGATTCTAGAATTATAATGACACTGGTGCTGGGAAAAACTTAACCTCAAATTAAATCCTTGGAATATGCTGAACACTTTAGCCAATATCTTCAGCCTTGCATAGGACATCGAAGGGACTGGTGGAGCTCTAGATTCTGGTGGGGGACACAGCTGATTCTTCTGCAGCCTAGAGCCCTCTGTGGGCCCTAGCCCTGAGTACTTTAGGGGCAGGAGGGTCACACTCCTCTGTGGCCTGCTACACACAGTTCATGAATGAAGTCATCTTTGCAGGCAAAGCAGGCATCTTTCTGGCTGCTGTCTTTGTTGGAAGGCAAAGAGCTGAGACCACAAGCAAAGAGGGAGAGTTGGTAAATGTTACTTTCCTGAGTTGCATAAAAGGGTGAAGCCACCTAAATTAAGCACACTGAGCCTGACCCACCCAGGCAGACCAGCGGCCAGCTAGACTAAACGCAGTTGCCTCATCCGGGAGCTCCTGCAGGGGGAGTTCAGACCAAGAGCATGTTTCTGGGCAGGCCCAGCGCCTGGATCTAATCAGTGGGATGGAGGAGGAACATACTGAAATGCCCGGCGTAAATCAAGAGATGAATTACAAGATGCTGCTTAAGCGAACATTTCCTTCCAGGAAAGTTGGATCTTGGTCGCTGCTCAAAACTCATGATGTGTGGGGTATGCAGGTCCATTCATCTTCCCAGCCCGGAGTCCATGTAGGGGTGGAGGAACAATTGTCTCCCAAAGGCTGCTTCTCCTCCCACTCCCCTTCCCAAAGCTGTTTATATCTGGAAGCTGAAGATTTCTTGGAAGGAGAGCACACCGGGTGGAAATATTCATCTCCCAAAAGAGCTCTCGGTGGGCGGTAAAGCAGGCGACCCCTGAAAGTCACTGAGCAGCCACTGTGGCCTCTAGTGTGTGTCCTTCCTCCCCTGTCCCAAGGATGTGAGCCGCATCACTGCCCCAATCGTTCTGTGGCCTGGAGGAGGTTGGCAGAAAAACTCAGGCCTCAAAATGAACATCTGGAAGAGCAAGCCTGGATTCCCAGGTGGTTTCCAAGCAGGCACACTTGGAGAGATTGCTAGGGCTTTCATCAGTGGTGTTCATAGACATACTCACTTAAGACTTTTCATGACGACTGTCACTTTCTTTTTTATTTTTTATTTTTTTTGAGATGGAGTCTGGCTCTGTCGCCCAGGCTAGAGTGCAGTGGCGCGATCTCGGCTCACTGCAAGCTCTGCCTCCCGGGTTCACGCCATTCTCCTGCCTCAGCCTCCCGAGTAGCTGGGACTACAGGCACACGCTGCCGTGCCGGCTAATTTTTTGTGTTTTTTCGTAGAGACGGGGTTTCACCATGTTAGCCAGGATGGTCTCGATCTCCTGACCTCGTGATCCGCCCGCCTCAGCCTCCCAAAGTACTGGGATTACAGGCATGAGCCACTGCGCCCGGCCGAGGACTGTCACTTTCTAAGCAAGTTTAAAAAAGCACATCACAGGGCACAGGATGTTAGCCCAGAGGGTGGCATGTTGGTTTAAGCTGGAGGAATAGATGCTAAAGTGACCACATTTGGGTAGTTTCCTGGCAGGTCAACACACCTGGGTGACCAGCAAGATGTGGCACACAGAGAACATCTTTTTTTTTTTTTTTTTTGAGATGGAGTTTCACTCTTGTCACCCAGGCTGGAGTGCAATGGTACAATCTCAGCTCACTGCAACCTCCGCCTCTCGGGGTCAAGAGATTCTCCTGCCTCAGCCTCCTGAGTAGCTGGGATTATAGGCACGTGCCACCACACCCAGCTAATTTTTGTATTTTTAGCAGAGAAGGGTTTTGACCATGTTGATCAGGCTGGTCTCGAACTCCTGACCTCGTGATCTGCCTGACTCTGTCTCAAAGAAAAAAAAAAAGAAAAGAAACGCAAATCTTCTGGCTCAGCAGTCTGGGTGCCTCTGCTGGAACTCAAGGGTCCTAGGCAGGGCCCCTGCAGCATCTGCGGCCAAGAAAGCCGAGCTGCGGGCCCACTGGGTACCCCAGCCAACTCCAAGGAGAGACCCGCGGCCAGTGCAGGCGGGGCAGCCCCCCCAGGGCCCTGCTCCGCGGAGGATAAATGTCTCAGCGGGAGCATCCGGCCGGCGGAGCAGCCCGGGAAGCGGCCCAGACGCAGCCAGACTGGCGTGGGGGCCAGTTCCCGATCTGGGTCCCGGCGGGGGGAGCGAGCCCGTCCCGCGGCCTCCAGCCAAGAGAAGCGAGCGAGGGGCTGCAGGGATTTTTACCCAGTGGCCTGACACTTAACGAAGGGTGGGTCACTGCAGTGATCTCCGGCGTGGGAAGGATTGGGGTTGGCTGCGGCGGGAGACTCAGGTAGAGTCTTGGGGAACAGCCAGCACAGCCCGACCTGGCCCCAGGTGCACCCCCACCTCCCTTAGGCCGTCATTTCCAGCAACACAGCGCCATCTCTGCCAGCCCAGCGGTCAGGACGGCGAGAGGCGCCCAGAAAACATACGCCCTGCAATGGAGAGTCAGTCCCCACCCGGGCGTCCTGGGTTCCCTGTTTTCCTCCCATCACCGACCCCCAAGCCGCCCCCTCTCAACACGCCCCGGCTTAGCCCCCAGCCCCTGACTGTGGAGCTGCCCTGGCCGGCCGGCAGCCCTGGCCCACCCGGGTCCCTTACTGCACGTTCTCTCTGGTCCGGCCCCTGGCCCTTTCCCTCCCTGCCTGAACTCCTTACAAAGGACAGATCAGAGCTGTCCGGTGTCTTAGGAAAGAAGAGATCCTTCACATTCAGTGATAGGAACTTGTCTCGAAACAGCTTAAGCCAAAAGGGCTTTCTTTGGCTCACATCCCTGAGAAGTCAGGGGTGGAGCTGGCCCCGCTGGGCAGGGCTGGAAGTAGGACTTTACAGTGCCCTCGGTCTTTGGGCTTCCGTCCCGCTCTCTCCCTCTCCGCTCCGCTTTCAGCCCTGTGTGGGACTGGGACTGCATGTCCGCTCTGCCTGGGTAACCTTGGGTCTGCTGAGAACCAGAGAGGAGCCACCAAGGCCTTCCAGGGTCTTCCCTGGAGGCTGGGAGCCTAGTCCTTACCCTGGCATGGCTGCACCCTCTTGACTTTCTAAAATGCCTCTGAGTGTATTGGATAAAGGATCCTTTTTGACTCGAGCTCTTCACACTGATCACTTGCAAGGCAGAGTCTGCACTCTTACAGGCTCCCTGGCAGAGCCAGCCTCCATCCCAGGCCTCCCTTCCTGCCCACGAAGCAGAGTTCTAAGCAGGAGGAAAGAACAAGTGGCTGAATCTCAGCTCCGGGGGCCCCCTCCTCCCTCCCTCCCTCCCTCTGTGAGCAGGGGCTCAGCCGTGTCCTCCTATTTCTCCAGGTCCTGGAAAGGGGCCCCGGGATCCTGGGGGAGGTGCTGAAGGAGGCAGTTGTGCTGAAGTTATGTGCAGTGTGGCGGCAGCTTGTCCAGGCTCAGACACTTCTAGTAAATGGAGTTAAGTCACCCACTCCCCTAGGTATTTGCGGCCCCTGCTTTGAATCAAGGCGTAGAAGCTATCCAGAAAAAGGTGACATGAGCCCTGCCCACCCTTTAGATTTAAGCAAACCCTATCTGAGGACTGGGGCTGTCCTGACAGAGGTTGGCCTGCAAGGGTCTGGGTGCATCTGGAGGCTGACACCTTGGGCACAGACCCAAGGGGCAGCATCATCAAATGGAGAGAGCTGAGGCTCAGAGAGCTGCTCCCTGGCCCGTCAGTGCCCAGCCGTCAGGATGAACGCATCGAGACAGTGCTCCCCATGTTGCGGGCGAAGACCTGGCAGCTGTCTTCCAGTCCCATAACTACAGGGGTGCAGCGGGTCCCAGCTCCCAGGAGGCGCACCAGAGTCCCATTTGGGAGCCAAAAATCTCTGGGATTCATCCTACTAGAGGCAAGAGAGTCCCTGGGACCAGCCAGGAAACATGTGGAGAGTGAGAGAAGTCTGTGGGAGGGGTTTTGGGGAGGCGGGGACCCCCTGCTTTCAAGAAAGCTTTCAACCCACCCCTTGAGAGCTCTGAGGCTGAGGAAGCCTGAGCCGCTTGGACCCCACAGTGTCATTTACTCCAGGCCTGTTAGCCGGTGGGGGTGGAGGGAAGAGATGCTCTGAGTTTGAGGGTTTTCTGGCTGTGGGTGGGGAAGCCCAACTGACCAATCAGGCTGGAAAGGTAATGGGGTCCCATGGTAGCAGATGAAGGACATTTCTTTCTCCAGATTTCCTCTTAGGAGGAGCAATGGATTCATCGGGAAGGAATACTTACATAAGTCCTCTAGGGTGAGGTGGCAAGAGGAGCAGGGTGAGACTCCGGGGTCTCAGAACTGCCTTCAAGGAGGTGGGGTGCTTGTGCCTGGGGGCCTTTTGGGTCTCAGTGCCGAAGTGGGTGGAGGGTGTGTGGTCCCATGGGGGCACTGGGGCTGACCTGGAGTGTCCTGGCCTAGAAGGGGCCTAGAAGGAGCTTTGGAGTTGGGGAGAAAGGGAGCTAGCAAGGTGGTGAGCTGCTCATGGAGGTGCTGAAGGCACTGGCTCCATCAGGGGATCTTGGGATTTAGGGTCCAGAAACATCTAATAGAGGAAGTTTGTTTATTGTGGAGTGTCAGTGTGCAGTATAGCGCCTCCATCTTTCTTCTCCCCTTTTCCCAGACGAATAAAAGGAATAAAACCAATTTTTTTTGCTTGTGTTTTATCTTTGTTTTTGAGACAGTCTCACTCTGTTGCCCAGGCTGGAGTGTAGTGGCACGATCCCGGTTCACTGCAACCTCCACTTCCCCGGTTCAAGCGATTCTCATGCCTCAGCCCTCGAGTAGCTGGGATTACAGGCACCTGCCACCACGCCCGGCCAATTTTGTATTTTTAGTAGAGATGGGGTTTCACCATGTTGGTCAGGCTGGTGTCGAACTCCTGACCTCAAGTGATCCGCCCACCTCAGCCTCTCAAAGTGCTGGGATTACAGGCATGAGCCACTGCGCCCAGCCAAACCAAACATTTTTAGCTGGGCACATACCACTAAGTGATTAATCTCTGGCCAAATGAAGGCAGAAATGATGTGTACAATTTCTGGGAAGTGTCCCTCAAGGGGAAGATTGTGCCTTCAGCATTCTCCCTCCTCCCTCTCCTGATGGCTGGAACGCAGATGTACCGTCTGAAGCCCAGGCGCCACGTTGGATCACGAGGTGGCCTTGGGAAAGGAACCATGCCTGGTAGCTTATCAGTCAGCTGGGGCTCTCATAACAAATGAGCACAGCTGGGCAGCTGAAAACAGCAGCAATTGATTCCTTCCCAGTTCCGGAGGCCAGAAGCCTGACATCAGACCAGTAGGGTTAACTCTTCCTGAAGGCTAGGAGGGAGACTCTGATCCCTGCCTATCTGCTGGCTTCTGGTGCTGGAGAACCACGCTACTCCAGTATGACCAGATCTTAACTAATTACGTCTGCAAGGGTTCTATTTCCAGATAAGGTTACCTTCTGAGCGCTGGGTGGAAATGAATTTTAGGGGGACATTTTCCAGCTCATATAGGAGCACAAGAGAGTGGGAGCATGTCCCCGACATTGAGGTGCATGAGTGTCCAGCCACCTGTGGGACCCCTCATGCCATCTGTGCATTTCCCCTGGGTGAGGGCACTTGCAGGGGCGTGGCATTCTCTTTATAGGTGGGCACAGGGTAAAAAGCTGAGAGAGTTCCTGGCAGAAGGACACACCTTGCACTTTGTCACTTATTTGTGGGATCTAAAAATCAAAATAGCTGGGCGCGGTGGCTCATGCCTGTAATCCCAGCACTTTGGGAGGCTAAAGCGGGACGATTGCTTGAGCTCAGGAGTTCGAGACCAGCCTGGGCAACATGGCGAAGCCCCGTCTCTACAAAAAATACAAAAATTAGCCGCGCATGGTGGCACTTGCCTGTAATCCCAGCTACTTGGGAGGCTGAGGCATGAGAATCGCTTGAACCCAGGAGGTGGAGGTTGCAGCGAGCCAAGATCACACCACTGCACTCCAGCCTGGGCGACAGAGTGAGACTCTGTCTCAAAATAAATACATAAATAAATGTAATTAATAAAAATCAAAGTGATTGATCTCATGGACATAGAGAGTACAAGGATGGTTACCAGAGGCTGGGAAGGGTAGCGGGGGCTTGGAAGGGGATGGGGATGCTTAATGGGTACAAAAAATAGAATGATTGAATAAGACCTGCTATTTGATGGCACAACGGGGTGGCTGTAGTCAATAACTGTACATTTTGGAATAACTTAGAGTGTAATTGGACTGTTGGCAACTCAAATTTGGATAAATGCTTGAGGGGATGGATGTCCCATTCTCCATGATGTGCTTATTTCACATTGCATGACTGTATCAAAACATCTCATGTACCCCATAAATTAAAAATAACAATAACAAAATAGCTCATGCCTGTTGGCCAGAGCCTGGGAGGATAGCTGACCCCCACCCAGGCCCACGGCGCTTCCTGTGCTGAGCACTTTGACCGGGGAGGTCCGGGCGAAGAACTTGAGCCTTCAGTGGCTGGGCCCAAGGGTCGCAGGACCTGGAAGTGGCTCAAGGACCTGGCTGCCCTGGAGGTGGTGGCCGCTCTGGGATCTCAGCTCTGTCTCTGCTGCTGGCCCTGGCACACTGGCCCCACATCATTCTCTGACCTTTTCCTGCACAGCCTGAACACTGCACCCCATCCAGAGCAGGTGCCATACCATCATCTCAGGCCAGTCCCACTCCTGAGCTGGAGGGACAGACTGGCAGCCTGACCCTACCTGTCCTTCTGTCCTGGCAGGTTGGTTAAGGCGGGTGGTCCCAGAGGCAGTCCAGCAAAGACACACAGATCCACAGGGCCGGCTGAAGGCAGCATCCTCTGGGGAATCCACCAGGGCCCTGAGAGAGGAGGTGGTCCCACTGACTGCTGGGACCCAGGCTCTCTGTGACATGATCTGGACCTGGGTTCCACACAGGCTAGGGCTGGGCAGGGAGGCACAGGATGACCCGGATGAGTTACCACCCTGTCCTGTGTCTCCATTTCCCCTTCAGCCTGCCTGTGAACGTCCCTCCCTGGAGGAGCTACCAAAAGGCTGGGAAATAAACATTTTTGGTTCCAAGAACAACTGTGGAAGGAAGGCCAGGCCCAGCTTCTTCCCAGCCTCCCTGGAACCAGCTTGGAAGTGCTGGTGGGGCTGGGGACTGGAGCAAGGCCCTGGCCCTCCAGCGAGGTGGGGGCATGGTTGAACCCCCACTGCATCCAGGGGTCTCTGCAGATGGTGGTACACTATGGGGGCCCCATCCCTGCAGCATCAAGGTCTTGGTCTGGAGCCCAAAGCCCCCCGAATCCAAGCTGTCTAGGCCTTCAGGTCTCAGGCCAGGCCAGCTGTGGCCTCACCCGCCCCTAGGCAGGCCATTCGCCATCTCCACCAGTGGCACCAAACCCAGAACACAGGTCTGGGGAAGGAGCCAAGACAAGGGACAGATTTCCCTCCCCACCCTCCATTCTGGCCCCAGGAGCCTTCAAGGCTCTGATCTGTCCTGACTCACATTTTCTAGACCCATCTGTCCCATGGGCATGTGTGTGCACCTGTCTAGAGGGAAGTAGCAGGGGTCACAGGGCATTTTCCTTGCTTGCACTTCAAAGTCTGGCTTGCCCAGCATTAGCTCTGGAGGCTACCTCCAATCGGGGGCTCCCGGGGCAGGGGTTGCTGTGGAGCTTCCTCTCCTGGGAGGCTGCTCAGTCCCAGTCTCCACAACCTTCCCCTCCCTCTGCTCCGGGGAGCCGTGAGAGCCACCGGCCAGGGAAGCCCATTCATTCTGTCTGCTGCTCAGCCCTCACATGGCCTTATAGGGTAGAGGCTGAGAAGGGTGCCAGGCCTGCGGGGAAGGACAGGCAGGGTGGCCTCAGAGGGGCTCCCCATCGAGCATGCCTGGCTGACCTGGGCGGTGAGTCTCCACCCTCCCAGACTCCCCCTTTAATAACATGTTTCGTAATATCCTCTTTCCTGTCCTAAAAGGAAATTCCCAGATATTTATCCACATGATTTAAAAATGACCCTTATAATGCCCTATCTCTAATGGAAAGAAGAAATAAAAGGCAAGCAATTTATTTTAATTAATTAATTAAGTAATTACTTTTTGAGGCAGGGTCTCTCTCTGTCACCCAGGCTGGAGTACAGCGGTGCGATCATGGCTCACTGCAGCCTCAACCTCCCGGGCTCAAGCAATCCTCCCACTTCAGCCTCTCAAGTAACTGGGACTACAGGCAGTTACCACCACACGCGGCTAATTTTTGTATTTTTTTTAGAGACAGGTTTTCGCCATGTTGCCCAGGCTGGGGAAAGCAATTATATATATATATATGTATATATATAAAATAATTTCCATGTATAAGCGCTTAGGCTGACTATACCAGAAAGCATAGAAAAATGCAGATCTTTCTAGAAAGAAGCAAAGTCTGATGCAGGTGACCTGAGGCAGAGTGGGTCATGCACACTCGCACTGGCATAGGTGTGTGCTGGTTTGGTGACTCAGCAGAACAAATGGTGTGGCTATCTTTGATGTGAGTTTTCAAAATGATGAACAGCTCTTGGTAAAGTTCTGAACCCACCCCAGGTCAGTCTCTGCCCACCCAGCGCTGCAGGACGTCCAGCATGCCAGCTCCCTCCAGGAACGCTGGTTGGATTCCCCCATCATTGTAGAAACCAAAAATGTCCCATCATTGTGTGCAATGCTTCCCAGGGGCAGTGGTGCCCTCCCTGAGAATCTAGGCCCTGGAAGTGGAGGGGATATGAAAATGAAGGGACCCAAGTCCAGCCCCAGAAGCTCATAATCCAGCGTGGGAAGAGGCACAGAGCGCAGTGAGGACAGATCCAGGGAAGTTCACAGTCACCACTCAGTGCCCCCGACCTCCCTCCTAGTGGAGCCGGCACCACCAGGCTCCAGGAAGAAGCCAATCTCCTCCCTACGCCGATGCAGTCAGCATCAGTGACCAAGTCTCAAGTCCATGTTCTCTTGATCACTCCCGCCTCCTCCTCAGCTCTCCAGTGATGACTGCAGTGATTTCCTCCAGCTGGCTCACCTCCTTCATGCCCCCTGCCCGCATTCAACCGCCCCACCTTTCTTCAGGTAAGCCCTCTGTGTTAGCCTGCTTGGGTGGCTGCAACAGCCACAGACTGGGTGGTTTTGACAACAGATGTTTATTTCTCGCAGTTCTGGAGGCTGGAGTCCAAGATCAAGGTGCTGGCAGGTTTGTTTCTCCTGAGGCTTCTCTCCTGGGCTTGCAGGTGGCCACCTTCTCCCTGTGTCCTCACAGTGTCCCTCCATCTGTGTGTGTCTGTGTCCCAATCTCTTCTTATAGGGACACTAGTCAGAGTGGATTAGGGCCTATCATAATGGCCTCATTTTATATTAATCATCTTTTTAAAGGCCACCTCCAAGTATAGTGACATTCCTTTTTCTCTTTTTTCTTTTTCTTTTTTTTTTTTTTTTTTGAGACAGGGTCTGGCCCTTTTGCCCAGGCTGGAGAGCTGTGGTGCCATCATGATTTATTGCAGCCTCAACCTCCCCAGCTCAAGCGATCCTCTAGCCTCAGCCTCCTGAGTAGCTGGTACTACAGGCATGTACTACCACACCTGGCTAATTTTTTCAAAATTTTTTGTAGAGACAAGGTCTCAGTATGTTGCCCAGGTTGGTCTCAAACTCCTAAGCTCAAGTAATCCTCCTGCCTTGGCCTCCCAAAGTGCTAGGATTATAGGCGTGAACCACCGTGCCCACCCAAATATAGTGACATTCTGAAGGTACTGGGGGTTAGGGCTTCAACATATGAATTTTGGGAGGACACAACTCAGTCCATAATACCCCCCATCACGGCTCCTCTTAAAGTGCTCTTTTGGTATCAAGTGCCAGAAATTCACCTCCAAGTAGCCTGTGTTTTGCTTAAGCAAATAAAACTTGCTGCCTGGAATGACACAGTCTGGAAGTAGAGGCACGGCTGGACGTAGGGCTTAGGAGAGCCCGTCTGGATCCGCTTCTTAGCTCAGCTTCCTCTTGGTTGGTGCCACATTCAGGATCTACATGGTGGAAGGAGCAGTTTCAGGCTACATCATCAGTGGAAGATAGATAGATAGATAGATAGATAGACAATAGATATAAGATAGATTAGGTAGAGAGGTAAGATAGGTAGGTAGTTAGGTAGGTAGATAGATAGATCCTGATTGATAGAGAGAGATGGGTTCCCAATAGCCAGAACAGATACCCCAGAATTGGGTCTTGTTAGCTCTGATTGGCCTGACTTGGTCACGTGCTCATCCCTGAACCAATCATTGTCACCTGGTGGATGGAATGTGTGGGCTGGCATCTGGGCTGAGCTAGGAGGTGGCCACTTCCCTTAAGAAGAAATGAAGGCACAGATACCCGTTACCAGGAGTGCCAGTGGTTGCTGGGCTGCAGACGTTGTGGAAGTTCACTATTGAATGTGCGAATGAATGAGTGAAGGAGGCTCTGCCATCGTCTGTAACCTGATACAGAAGTTTGAGCTAGGTCCGGTCTGCAGACTGGATTCCCCACCGTCTGGTCAGGTCAGTGGTCTTTGCCCTGCGATGTGCTCCTTCTCCACGTTCATTATCCTTGTCAGTATCAGCTCCACCGCCAGAGTATGACTTTATCTTGAACCAGTGGCTTGAGAATGTTGAGGGACCGAGCACAGATTATGTGTCCCTGTTCGGGTCTGGATTAAGACATTTAAAGACTCTAAGCACTAAAAAGATTACGGTGCCTTCTACTCACCCCCCTCCCTTTTTGTCCCCATTAAAAACAACAACAGCTGTAAGCCACAGAATGAATATAAGGAAGTCTGATGACTTGTTCCTTTTTCTGTTAAAGATTATTTCAATGACAAACAAATGTTGATCAAATTATTTTAAGAAAAATGAAATTATTTTTGTTGGGCCTCTGCTGTGCTGGCTCCAGCGTGTCCTTTGCCTGCTTATAGGAGTCTGGCCCTGCTGTCCTAATCTGACCCTGGAGCGTGGCCCTCTCACTTCCCCCTGCTGCTGGCTTCCCGCTGTTGCGTGACTAGTGTGACTCAACAGAGTTCCCCTTGGAGAACCGACAAGAGGCTGAAGCACCTGTGTCCAGGCCACCATGGGGCAGGCCCGAGGCCTGGAGATTCCAGGGCAAGGACTGACTCCATGGCACCCACTCATAGGCACTGTTTGCTTGGGTCATCGGATGTGTATTGATCTCCTTGGGTTGCTGCAAGCTGCAGAGTCTCAGGCCAGGGCACTTCCCAAGAGAAGTGGTGCGTTCTGGCTGCCCCTGCTGGCTCTTGTGGCCCCTGGGCTCCATGGTATGCCAAGCATGGGCTCCAGGAAAGACAGCCAGAAGCATTTCAAAATATGGGCTGCTGTTAGGGTCATATACACACAAAGCCTTTATTTTTTTTTTTTATTTTTTGAGACAGAGTCTCACTCTGTTGCCCAGGCTGGAGCACAGTGGCACAATTTCAGCTCACTGCAACCTCTGCCTCCAGGGTTCAAGCAATTCTTGTGCCTCAGCCTCCCGAGTAGCTGGGATTACAGGCGCCCGCCACCACGCCTGGCTATTTTTTGTATTTTTAGTAGAGAGGGATTTCACCATGTTGACCAGGCTGGTCTCAAACTCCTGGCCTCAAGTGATCCACCCACCTTGGCCTCCCAAAGCGCTGGGATTACAGGCATGAGCCACCGCACCTGGCCAATCCAACGCCTTTTTGATGATAAACAGCAATTGCCATGGCGAGTTTAGCAGAGCCTGGAGATGGGGAATCTGGCAGACCTGCTGCCATGTGTCTTGTGTCCTGCAGAGAGACCCGTCCAAGGGGACATAGACGGCACTCCCACCTGCTCCCACTTGGTCAATGGATTCTGTGGTTGGGGAACTCCCCTTTGGGAAGTATATTCCGTCTCTAGAAATATCTGTACTCTATTGATGGTAAGACAGACCCTGAGTACCCTCTGGAGAAATCTGTTTTTCAGGGAGGACTTTCGCTTATGTCTACTGTCATCCATGCTGGTAGAGCGTCCTGGGGTGTGCACTATTCCTGTATCCACGCTTCATTGAAATGGCCAGGAGACTCAGGTCTTCTGGAGGCACCTTTATATGGGAGAGTTTCTTAGTGTGGAGGCCTCAGGACCATCCGTCTCAGAATCATCTGAGTACCTGCTAAACTTGCTGGATTCCTGAGGTGGACTCCAAATCTGCCGAATCACTGCCATAGTGGTTAAGAAATAATCGAAAATAGCCAGGCACGGTGACTCACGCCTGTAATCCCAGCACTTTGGGAGGCTGAGGCAGAAAGATCGCTTGAGCTAAGGAGTTTGAGACCAGCCTGGGCAACACAGCGAGACCCCATCTCAAATTAAAAATAAAAATGAAAAAAGAAATTTAAAAAAGGGAAATAAGTAAAACAAAACCAAAAGAAACAGGTGTTATAGTTAGACAACGCTGTGTTTGAATTCCAGTCCTGTAAATTACCATGCACCTGTAATATCTCTAAGCTCTATTTCCTTTATCTGTAACATTTACCTCACCGTAGAATTGTGAGGATGAAGGGCAGCCAAGTGCTGAATGCAGTGCCTAGAGCACAGGAGCTAAATACATTTTCGCCACTATTGTCCTTCCAATAACTATTTACCAGGAGTCTACAATGAGCCAGAAACTGCTGCAGGCACTAGGAATACAGCAGTCATAAAAAACAAACTCCTTGTCCTCATTAGGTTTACGTGCTAATCCGGGGAGACAGACAATAAACAAATAAGCAGCTATGATGCCAGGTGGGTGTAAGTGCCATGAAGAAACTCAGTCAGGATCAAGGGCATCACTAGACTCCCAGAGCTAACTCAATGATTTAATCTGATACCAATAGGCCTCATGTATCAAGCGTTGTGATGGGGACTTTGGGGGACACTTTGGGACTTGCCGTTAAGGAGCTTATTTATAGACTGGTTAGGAAACAAAAATTGTACACACACAGGAAACCACAGGAGAACAAGTAATCACCTTGTGAACCATGTGTCATACATGCCTGAGAGCTGCTCAGAGAAGAGATTACTGGGGACTGACAGTGAGGTGTAAGTGAATCCCTCCATCAGGCTTCTAATCCTGGAACAAAGGAAGGAATTTCCTTACGACCCGTCCCTGTTGTTACTTTAGAGATGCTAGTTGATACTCTGCATACAGAAAAAGGCTTAGACACTTGCAAACCTCTGAAATCTTTGGAACATGTATCAGGGCTTCTGAGAGATGATAATGGCAGAAGAGTCAGATGCTGCCCAGCCTAGGTCATGGGAATAAGACTTAATGGAAAATTCCTTATCTCTGTCTAACTCTTTGCCAAGTCCCAGCTCTGCGTAATGCCCAAGATCTCTAAAGGTAATTATCTACCAGATATAATTTTTTTTTTTGAGACGGAGTCTCGCTCTTGTCGCCCAGGCTGAAGTGCAATGGCACGATCTCGGCTCACTGCAACCTCTGCCTCCCGGGTTCAAGCGATTCTCCTGCCTCAGCCTCCTGAGTAGCTAGGATTACAGGCACCCGCCACCATGCCCGGCTAATTTTTGTACTTTTAGTAGAGACGGGGTTTCACCATGTTGGCCAGGATGGTCTTGATCTCTTGACCTCGTGATTTGCCCACCTCGGCCTCCCAAAGAGGTGGGATTACAGGTGTGAGCCACTGTGCCTGGCCTGGGATATAATTTTATTAAAAATAAATAACTCGCTGATTGGGAAAACACTGAGTACATGCACCAAAGGTACTGCCCAGATCCCAGCGAACAAGTGGCAAATGCCCATCACCAATGGGCTACATTGTAGAGGGCAACTGGAAAGAATGCTTTTGTTAAAAATCCCTTTCTGAAAAGGCATACTGACTTAGGAGTATGGAGGCAGATAGAAATGTGGAGCAGAGTATGGTATAGGATGAAAGAGACACGGCTATTGGTGTGTCTGTTGATCCTTTGGATCAAACAATACCAGAAAATGAAGAGGCCAGAAACCAGGTTAACGGAAAGAGGAAGTAGAAACACAAATGTAAAAATGGCTTTTGATATTGAATAAAGCACTTCAGTCTGCATGTTCTCACCTGCATGAGGTGTTAGGCCGCATGATTCTCTCTCTCTCTTTTTTTTTTTTTTAGACAGAGTCTTGCTCTGTTGCCCAGGCTGCAGTACAGTGGCACGATCTTGGCTCACTTCAACCTCCGCCTCCTGGGTTCAAATGATTCTCCTGCCTCAGCCTCCTGAGTAGCTGGGATTACAGGCATGTGCCACCACACACAGCTAATTTTTTTGTATTATTATTATTATTTTTTGAGACGGAATCTTGCTCTGTCGCCAGGCTGGAGTGCAGTGGCACAATCTTGGCTCGGGGCAACCTCCGCCTCCCGGGTTCGAGCAATTCCCCTGCCTCAGCCTCCTGAGCAGCTGGGACTACAGGTGCGCACCACCATGCCCGGCTAATTTTTTTGTATTTTAGTAGAGATGGGGTTTCACCATGTTGGCCAGGATGGTCTTGATCTCCTGACCTTGTGATCTGCCTGCCGCAGCCTCCCAAAGTGCTGGGATTACAGGCATGAGCCACTGCACCCGGTCTTTTTTTTTTTTGTATTTTTAGTAGAGACGGGATTTCGCCCTGTTGGCCAGGCTAGTCTCGAACTCTTGACCTCAGGGGATCCGCCCGCCTTGGCCTCCCAAAGTGCTAGGATTACAAGCGTGAGCCACCATGCCTGGCACTTTTTTAAAATTTGAGATGGAGTTTCACTCGTCGCCCAGGCTGGAGTGCAATGGCAAAATCTCGGCTCACTGCAACCTCTGCCTCTCAGGTTCAAGTGATTCTCCTGCCTCAGCTTCCTGAGTAGCTGGGATTACAGGCACACCACACGCCTGGCTAATTTTTGTATGTTTAGTAGAGATGGGGTTTCACCATGTTGGCCAGGCTGGTCTTGGACTCCTGACCTCAAGTGATCTGCCATTCTCGGCCTCCCAAACTGCTGGGATTACAGGCGTGAGCCACTGCGTCTGGCCGGCCACACCATTCTGATTCAGGTAAAATTTAGTGAATGCCTACTTGAGTGCCGGTTTCTTAACGTAGATTTTCTCTATATAATAGCATCTACCTCTTCAAGTGGCTGTGAGGAATGAGGAACAATGCATGTGATTCTCATCAGTAGCACATAGCCATCGTGTAATAATCAGCCATTCTTAAATCCCTGTAACAACCTTGAGGTCAACATGACTCCCTCTGTGCAAATGAGGAACCCATGAAGGGATCCTCAGATGAGGATCTGGACTTAAATCTGAGGCCAAAGCCCATGATCTTCCCATTTACGTGGTTTGGCTTGGAAGGGCCCCTACAGCTTTAACAGTAAAGGATGGGAGGGTGGAACCAAAACTGGAACCCTAGAAACAGCAAAATGCACTTGCTAAGGAAGTGGAAGTGTTTCATTTATAATCGATACAAGAAGGCTGGGAGTTGTCTGGGACAAAGCCACAAAATCTTTGCCCATGCTCATGTCTTCTCATCATCTCACGCCAGCTGGAAATTCCAGAGACACTGTTTGCCTGTGCACATAAAGAAAAACAAGCGTTTTTCAAGAGCAAAACTAATGGAAAAAGTCCTTAGCGGGAGCATTTAGTCACTGGAGGAAGAGTGAGAAGAGACATTTAGGTACTTGGGGAAGGCAGCCACAGTTAGCAAATGAGTATGTGACCATAAATTATATGCTAGGGTTTATGATGGTGAGCAAATGTAGGACAGGTTAGGCAAATAAACCAGGCAATGAATGAAAATACGGTGGGGCGGCAATGCGGGGCAATGTTGGGTACTGGGGAAACAGAGAACCTAAGTCAGCCCTGGTGGGAGAAATCATGGAGGGCTTCTTGAAGGAGGTCTTTAAAAACCTCCTAAATAACAAGCAGATCTACCAGATCTAGGCAGAAAATGGCGGGAATCAAAAGAGGTGGGCATTTCAGGCAGAGGGAATGGTATGTGCAAAGGCCAGATGACAGAAAGCCTGGGTCTTTGGAGGAAGTAAAAAGCAGTTCTGAGTGTGAGGTGAGAGAAAAATGAAGAGACAGGAGGCTGGAGAGACAAGCAGCAGTTCAAGCCTTGGGCAGCCATGTGTACATATTGAAGAACTTGGGCTTTATTCGGTAACAAGAAAGCACAGGTTTTTAAGACTAACTTTTTTTTTTTTTGGTGGAGACAGGGTCTTGCTCTGTCATCCAAGCTGGAGCGCAGTGGCGTGATCACGGCTTACTGCAGCCTTGAATTCCTGGGCTCAAGCGATCCTCCTGCCTCAGCCTCTCGAGTAGTTGGGACTACAAGCACGCATCACCACACCCATCTAGTGTGTGTGTGTGTGTGTGTGTAGAAGCACGCATCACCACACCCGTCTAGTGTGTGTGTGTGTGTGTGTGTGTGTGTGTGTGTGTAGACGGTCTCACTTTGTTGCCCAGGCTGGTCTTGAATTCCTGAGCTCAAGCGATTCCTGCCTCGGCCTCCCAAAGTGCTGGAATTATAGGTGTGAGCCATTATACCAGGCCTGATTTGTGTTTTAGAGAGATCAGTTTGGAGAATGGATTAGAATGGGTCAATTCTGGAAGTACAGACCAGTTAAATGCTTCAGCTGAGGGTACTGAGCAGTGGGGAAGGGAAGTGGATGAACTGGAGAGATAATTGAGATGCCAAGCATTGAGTCAAGGTGAAGCTGGGGTTTCTGGTGTAGGAAACCACATGGAGGGCTTGGCATTAGCCCGAAGTAGAGCAGGATGGGTGTGGAGTGTGGTTGGACATGTTTTAAGTGCTTGTGCAGCAGCCCAGATAGGGACACCAGTGAGTTGCTGAAAGGTACATGTCAGAAGCTCAGAGGCTGGGTGTGGTGGCTCATGCCTGTAATCCCAACAGCTTGGTAAGTGGGTGTATCACTTGAGCTCAAGAGTTGGAGACCATCCTGGCCAACATGGTGAAACCCCATTTCTATTAAAAACACAAAAAATTAGCCGGGTGTAGTGACATGCGCCTGTAGTCCCAGCTACTCGGGAGGCTGAAGTGAGAGGACTGCTTGAGCCCAGAAGGCGGAGATTGCAGTGAGATGGGATTGTGCCACTGCACTCCCCCGCCTGGGTGACATGGGATGGACGAAGTTGCTTGGAGAAAGTAGACTGAGAAGAGGATCAAAGACCAAATTCTGAAGGTTGGCAGTTAAAGTGCAGTCAGAGGGAGTGGGACTTGCCAAAAAAACCAAAGAATCTCTGCACAAACAGATGCTCAAATAAAGAGAAATACTACTGATTTGTCAAATGAAGAGGTCAGAGACAGGAGGAAAATTAGAGCAAGAAAGCCAAAGATAATTTTTTTTTTTTGAGATGGAGTTTTGCTCTGTTGCCCAGGCTAGAGTGCAGTGGCGCGATCTTGGCTCACTGCAACCTCTGCCACCTGGGTTCAAATGATTCTCCTGCCTCAGCCTCCGGAGTAGCTGGGACTACAGGCACATGCCACCATGCTTGGCTAATTTTTTCATATTTTTAGTAGAGACGGGGTTTTACCATGTTGCCCAGGATGGTCTTGATCTCCTGATCTCGTGATCCACCTGCCTTGGCCTCCCAAAGTGCATGAGTCACCATGTCCAGCCCCAAGGAGAGTATTTTTAAAACGCAAGAGTCATTTACCTGCAGGCCAGTAGGAAAAGACTAGATTCTAGGATCGGTCCCATTTAAGAAACCAAACCATTTATCACTTGCAACTGGTTTCAATGTTGTGCATCCCACTTACCGTCAACCCTGACACTGTGTGCCACAATGACACCATCTGGGAGTAATTGCTGCCACCCTCCCTTCTGTTTCTTCTATTGGTTGTGTCAACTCTAGCTCCTAGCCTGTTTTCATATGACTTTCACTCTTATTTTACTGTAGACTTCCTTACTCCTTGGTTAGCTCTCAGTCCTAATGCATATCCCAGGACATCTAGGAAAAAAAAAAACCTAGCAGGAGGCCAGGCGCAGTGGCTCACGCCTGTAATCTCAGCATTTTGGGAGGCTGAGGTGGGCAGATCACCTGAGGTTGGGAGTTTGAGACCAGCCTGACCAACATGTAGAAACCCCGTCTCTACTAAAAATACAAAATTAGCTGGACATGGTGGCAAATACCTGTAATCCCAGCTACTCGGGAGGCTGAGGTAGGAGAATTGCTTGAACCCGGGAGGTGGAGGTTGCGGTGAGCTGAGACCATGCCATTGCACTCCAGCCTGGGCAACACGACCAAAACTCCATCTCAAAACAAATAAATAAATATTCATCAGGAAAGCAGATACCGACTGTCTCATCATAATCTGTTCCATGTAGATATGTTACTTTATAGCTTGCACTTTTTAATGCTATAACCTTTTCAAGATTTAAATTCTGAATTGCACTGCCTAATAGGAACTAGTGCTAATTGCTCCCTGAAGTTCAGTCTATTATTTTGGAAGGAGTGTGATAACATTGGCAGGATGCCAGCGAATGTACCACCCCTCCCAGACTACTCAATTTTGTACAGTGACATCCAGAGACTTCTGTTTTTTAAACATTTCATATACTAGGGGAAATGTAAGAGATAACTGTCTGAAATGCAAGCAACGTTAAAAGCTTGAACAGGAAGGACATAGCTAATGAGAGGCTAGGAAATGAGATAATCTCTTTTATAGAATCATCTGATATTGAGGAAACAAGGAATTTACAAAGGAGGGGATACAATGAAATTAACCAATGAGTGGTTGATCCTCTGGGATCAGTAACCTTTAGACCTGGACATAAAAACTAGCCTGTGGTAGATGAATGTACTAGGGCTAATCTACTCAGGAATTTGTTTCCTTTAAGAATAGTTTCCCCCTACAAGATTCAGAAAACTACATCCTAAGTTAAGAAGTGAAAGAATCAAGGTAGGGGCAAAATGCCATTCCTGTATAATTTTTTAAGCTACCTACTCATAAAACAACACAAAACCCTTGAAATCCAGCTCTTTTAAATTCCATGTCCCAGTAAATCAGAAACATCCATTTCATATGCCAGAACATGAGGAGATGGTGTAGTGGTCAGAATATCAACCCTGACTGCTTATTCTAAAAGCCTAGCATCCAAGAAAGGCTTGATAATCTAGAAACAAAAATTGTACTTGTCAAAATTCATTATCCTGTATATACCTCAAATGTCTGCATTTTATTGCTTTTAAATTATACTTTAATTTTTAAAAAACATGAAAAAAAGATTGGAAAATGAGAAAGGAATAAAGGTACGTTATCAGATCCTGTGGCTAAAGGAAACTAAATAAATTTTATCTATTAACAGGATCAAAAGCAAAAAACAATAAGCAAAGGTTTAACAAAAAAGCTTCTGAGCTGCCTAAACACACAATTCCCTTGGATTATGAAAGGGACTTCAGTAAGTGATGACACCCTCTATTCGATTAAAAAATTGTAGTTCAGGCGGCTAAAGTGGGAGGATTGCTTGAGCCCAGGAGTTTGAGACCAGCCTAAGCCTAAGCGACAGAGTGAGGCTCTTTTTTTTTTTTTTTTTCCAGACAGGGTCTTGCCCTGTTGCCTAGGCTGTTGTGCAGTGGTGCACACACAGCTCACTGCAGCCTCAACCTCCTGGGCTCAATTGATCTTCCTGCCTCAGCCTCCTGAATAGCTGTGACTACAGGTACATACCACCCTGCCTGGCTAATTTTTTTTTTTTCAGAAACTGTCTAACTCTGTCACCCAGGCTGGAGTACACTGGCACAATCAACCCTCACTGCAGCCTCGACCTCCAAGCTCAGGTGATCCTCCCACCTCAGCCTCCTGAGTAGCTAGGACTACAGGCACGTGCCACTGTGCATGTCTAATTTTTTTTTTTTTTTTGTAGAGGTGAGTTTTTGCCATGTTGCCCAGGCTGGTCTCAAACTCCTTGGCTCAAGCAATCTGCCCACCTTGGCCTTCCAAAGTGCTGGGATTATAGGCGTGAGCCACCCTGCCTGGCCTACCCAGCTAATTTTTCAATTTTTTTGTAGAGATGGGGGTCTCACCATGTTGCCCTGGCTGATTAGACCCCATATTAAACAACAACCCACAACCACAACAAAACTGTAGAGAATTCTTGGGGGTGATGAGCAAGGTTTGATTTTTTTCCCTTCCATTATTTTCATGGTCTATAATTTAAGAATAGTTTGACTTTTTCATCAATATGAAAGTCGTGCATACTCATCCTAGCAAATCAAGACTCTGGCTCTTGGGATTTAGGCATTTCATGGTGTGGGGAGGATTAGATACATTTATTAAAAACCCAGGCTGAAAAACAAATGTCTTGTCCATCTGGAGATCTTATATTTATTTGAAAACCAAGTTCTGTGAAAGAGCACACTCAACAGTCATATATCTTCTCTTCAACCAAAGACTTGGAGACAGGGTTCTTCAGGTCAGTGCAGAGGCAACGATACATGCATTGAATAGCAGGTCTCGGCATGAATTTCCTCATAAGCATTCCCAATATGAGCCTGGACAATCTTCTTCAGATAAGCAAGTGAGATCCTGGGAAAGGGAAGAAAGAACAGTAGTAGCTAGGGTCATTCTTAATTTCAAGACATTCTTTTTTTTCCTCTTTACTATTAACTGTTGAAATCTAAAACTAGGCCCCAACCCTGCCTCTGCAGTCCTAATATACCAGTTTGTGCCACGACAGATTATAGTTTCCAAACTCCTAATGGACTGAATATTTTACCCCTTTGAAAACTAACAAGATTCCAGTTTCCAGCTATAAACCTCTAAGTCATTTTGTAATTAACTGCCTTGAAAGCTGTAATCAAGGGTTTTCCATGAGGTATTGCCAAAGGCTTGATGGGAGCTAACGTGAGTCACCTCAATTCTCAGACAGACTGAGTGATCATGATAGCCTACGCTGTACTGTGCAAGTTGGGTAAAGCTTAGGAAACTATCAAGGCTGAAAGATAATTTTCAAAAGTAAGTTTAGAAAATAGGAAGGTTAGTATAAATCTGCCTTTCTCTAAGGCCCAAACTAATAGTCTTCCTGAGGTATAAATATATTTTCCTACTAATGGCAGGTTTCTACCTTAATATTTATCTGAGATTTCTGCAAATCTTTCCTAAATTGCTAGTCAGTATCTAACACACAGCATGCTAGATTTGCAACCAGACCTTTAAATATAACAAATGATACTGTCCTTATTTTTTTTAAAGAGTAGAATGAATTGGCCGGGCGTGGTGGCTCACACCTGTAATCCCAGCACTTTGGGAGGCCGAGGTTCGCGGATCAGCTGAGGTCCAGAACTTGAGACCGGCCTGACCAACATGGAGAAACCCTGTCACTACTAAAAATACAAAATCAGCCGGGTGTGGTGGCGCATGCCTGTAATCCCAGCTACTCGAAAGGCTGAGGCAGGAGAATCGCTTGAACCCAGGAGGCGGAGGTTGCGGTGAGCCAAGTTTGCGCCATTGCACTCCAGCCAAGAGCAACAAGAGCGAAACTCCGTCTCAAAAAAAAAAAAAAAAAAAAAAATTGTCTGAAAACGTGTTTGTGCTTGGGTGGAATTAGGAAACCTTGATTATGTCTCACAATGTCTTCAAATATGTGATGAACACTCAAAAGAAAATGGGGAAATGAAGAACGACAATTTCATGAAATTAGATTACTCCAAACTTTCCCATCTAAAGACCCCTTTCAACACTGTTAAGACACTGATATAGTAAATGATCTTTGTCAATGGACACAGCCTTGTGGTTAGTCTAACTGACCTCAAAGTCCCTATAAGCACTATGTCTTATACACAGTAGATATTCAATAGCACCATCATAGAATGAATGAATGTTAAGGCTTCTATGCCAAAAATACTGTCGAAGGAGATGGGGAGAGAGAAAAATCAGTGAGAAGCCTATATTTGTGCTACTCAAAAGTGTCACCTATGGGCCAGTGCCAGTCCACAACTATAACTGATCCACAACAAGAAGCTTACATCAGAATGTAAATCAGCTCTATCACTAAGCAAACTGCAGTTCAGCTGATGTTTTGGGGAAGACTTTCTTGATGAAAGAAGCGTTGAGCAGACAGATTCTGGAGTAAGCTTCCTATCTCCTTATGGACCTATAAAAATAGTTTGCAGACCAGCCACTTTGAATAACGTGAGTAGAGTACGAGTCAAAGAGGAAAGAAAAAGGAATTTGTGGTTATATATGCAGAAAAAGGTTGAAACGGGGAAGTTTTAATACTGTTTAGGTAAATAAGGATTAAACACAAAAGGAAGGAAAAACGTGAGATGATGTCCTTGCAAAAAACATTTGTGAAGTATTGACAAAGAAGTTTCCCTTCATAATTTTGTTGCACACGCACCTCTGGCCCTTAATCATCAATATACTCAAATGGTTCTGGGGGTTCTGGCTCTTGTTCCTCCTCCTCGATTTTTGGGCCATGTGCTGCCACAGGTTCCACCAGCTCCTCAATGTCTTCACTGGTATCCTTCAGAATGATGATGCCTCCAATAGAGAGCTGGAAACACAGGGGCGTGCAGAAGCGTACACTCATATTTCAAGCGTGCTCCACAATCTAGAGTAAATACTTGTTAAATGGTACTTTAAAACTACTTAAATGATTTGGAAGTGAAAAACTGGAGTAGAACTTTACTGGGATAAAGATAACTGTGATCTATACGAAGTATTTGCAAACTTAACCCAGTAGCTCTAGATGGTATAACATGTGATGCTGTTCTACTTGGATGATGCATCCCAATTTAAGAATAGTTATTTCCCAGCCATGGCCTTGACTACCAGCCTCAGTCTCACTGCAGGAAGAATGTTTACTGTCCAAATATAGTATCCTAATTCCTTCCTACTCAAGATATGGTCCTGGGCCAGAAGCATCATTATCATCTGGAGCTTGTTAAAAATGCAGAAAAGCTGGCCCCACCCTAGATCTGCAGAATCTGCATTCTAACAAGATCCCAGTCAATCTGATGCACACTGAAGTTTGAGAAGCAGTCTAATGCACACTGTATGATTTGTGAGATGATAATCATTTTGAACACGAGAGTGTATAAATTAAAAGCCAATTTTTTCTCCAGCAATTTCAGAATGATGGAGAGAATAACACAGATATCCCGGGTTTTTCACTTTAATCTATAAATCCACGTGATGCAAGCCGATGAAAAAATACATGGGAAACAAAAGGGAAGTAGACTGTAGCAGCAATTCTATTAAGCCCTCTCCCAAACATATTACAGAAGGTAAATTCAAACACTAAACTATTCACCCCTCTCT
This sequence comes from Homo sapiens, assembly GCF_000001405.40. NCBI lineage: Eukaryota > Metazoa > Chordata > Mammalia > Primates > Hominidae > Homo > Homo sapiens. The sequence continues at coordinate 231,169,798 of NC_000002.12, read as the reverse complement.
AGTGTGCTAATCTTATTCTATTTGCTTGCCTGTGTCAAAGGAAATGGAAAGCTGCTCTATGTAATTAAATCAGTCAACAGTGGCAGGGCACATCTGGAAAAAGCATATTTCTACCAAAGCACATTACTGGGAAGGAAAAGAAGCACAAGTACATTAGTTAAATGATTCACGTATGTATAAGCATCTCTGCAGTTCAACCTAATCCAATTTTTACTCATCAGAACTCTGCCCTGCCATGCTATAAAACTGGTGTGCTTCGTGAACTCCGAACTATTTCCCTTCTCCTGACACACACATATCTATACATTTTTCTACAACCCCTTCCCTTAAAAAGTTTGCTTTCCTTGAAGAGGATCCATTTTATGAATGGACCCTGCCCTTACTGCCAATACTCCCAGAATGGAGCATAGGGCCACTGTCCTAATCCTCCATAGCCTAAAAGTTTACTTGAACCTAATGGACCAAATGGAGATGAATCTCCTACCAAACAGAAGAAAATATCCACGTTCACATGAGGACTTTCTATTTTTTGGAAAATGTGGATCCAGGTTATGCTATTTCATGCTTAACTGGAATGAAATAATCCAACTTAATCAAAGGAAGGCCTCATCATACAAAAACAACAGTAACACACACACAAAAAAAAATCCCAAAACTAATAATCCAAATCAACACATGGAAAGGGCTGTTTATAGCTATACATGGTCTAGGTTTGTTAATGCTTTACATGTTGGTGGGAAAGTTCACACCCTCTATGCATAAGATATACGATTTTCTGTTCTCTGGGGAGGCTAATTACAACTGTAGATATAGGCAATGAAACACTTCCTCTTGCCTCATGGTGGACAGGAAGCAGGGTAGGAATGTTACTTGTTTCCAAAACTACAGCTGCCTCTTTCAAATGCAGTGTCTGAGGAAGGGTCCCATGACCTTGCCACTGAGGGTAGGGGAGTGAGTCACTGCACATACACAGAGGCAGTGTTTTCTTTTTTAAAATGAGATATATTAACATAAAATTCATTCTCTCAAAGCGTACAATTTAGTACATTCACAAACTTGTGCAGCTATTAATACTTCTGCTATCTAATTCAAAAATATCTGCATCAACCTAAAGAAACTGTGGGCCCAGTAGCAGCCACTCTCCATTCTCCCCTTCCCCTGTCCTTGGTAGCCACCAATCTAACTCGTCTCTATAGATTTGCCTTTTCTGAATGTTTCACATAAAGGGAACCAGACCATATGCAGTCTTTTACGTCTGGCTTCTTTTACTTAAAATAATGTTTTCAAGGTTCACACACACTGTAGCATATATCAGTAAGTCTTTCCTTTTTATGGTCAAATAATATTCCATTATTATCTCACATTATTCATTCATCAGTTGATAAGACATTTAAGTTGTTTCCGTTTTATGGCTATTATGAATCATGCTGATATGAGCGTTAGTGTGTAAGCTTTTGTGTGGGCACAGTTTTCTCTTCTCTTAGGTATGGAATGGAATTGCCGGGTCATATGATAAGACTACATTTAACTTTTTGAGGAACTGCCAAATTCTTTTTTTCCACTGTGGCTGTAACTTTACTTTCCCACTATTACTCTATGAGGGTTCCAATTTCTGCATATTCTTGTCTGTGCGGTCTTTTTGATTACAGCCATCCTGGTGGGTAGAATGTGATATCTTCTTATGGTTTTGTGTTTCTTTTTAAATTAAGAGATGGGATCTTGCTATGTTGCCTAAGCTGGTGTCCAGTGGCTGTTCATAGGCACAATCATATTGCACTACAGCCTCGAGCTACTGGGCTCAAGCAATCCTCCTGCCTTGGCCTCCCATGTAGCTGGGACTGTAAGTGGGAACCACTGCACCTGTTATGGTTTTGATTTGCATTTCCTAATGAGTAATGATGTTGAGCATCTTTTCATGTGCTTATTTGCCCATCTGTACATCTTCTTTGGAGAAATGTCTATTCAAATCATTTGCCTGTTTTAAAATTAGGTTGTCTTTTTATTGTTGAGTTGGAGGAGCTTTTCGTATGTTCTAGATGTAACTGTCTTATCAGATAAATGATTTGAAAATATTTTCTCCTATTCTATAAAGTTTGTATTCCCTGATTTGTGTGTCCACTAAAGTCAATGCTCATTTAACTTAGTAGTCAGCTAACAACTGGACAGGAATTTCCTTAAACACTTTGGAACACAAAGTCTCCCACTCTTTGAAGGAGTGTGTGTGTGTGTGTAGGGCTATACCTTCAACAGGATTCCTCATTTCTTCCTTGCACAGACATAGGCAGTCTTTTAATTCATAGGTGGACCAACTGTTATAGCTATCTCTGACTTAATTTGAGCAAAGGCTTAGCAATCATTTAGTTTTCTACTGTGGTGTACAGTGTGCTCATATGGCCTCATGGCATTGAGCACGTGCCTCACTGTCTTAGTTCATAATTATCAAAAACACTAGTTATTTCACGTGCTTAGAGTATGCTCTAGTTGTGTCCTAATACATCTGTTCTGGATTCCCATGCTACTGGTAAGATAAGTTTACAGACACAGTTAGAATACGTTCTCTGTAAAACCGCCACCGAGATGAACCAGGTTGCAGATCAGACAGTGACTGCATTAAAGGTATCCATTGATGATTCTGTCCATTCATTTAACACTACACAGCAACTACTACAGATCAGGCAGTGCTACAGATTAGCATTTACCATTGTTTTAGGTGCTTTACATGTAACAACCTATTTAATCTCCACAACATCAACAGGAGGTAGGTAGCATTACCATATCAATTTTACAGATGAGGAAACTGAAATACAAAGATTAAATGACTTGTCTTAGTCACACAGCTAACAGTAGAAATAAAAACCCAGTTATGCCAAATTCCAGCTCTAAACCACTACATACACTATCTTGCATCCCTTGGCTTTATCTCTTCTAGCTGATAAATTAGTCAGGTTAAGACCCCGACTCACAATTATAGATAGGAGTTGCCTTTGACCCACCATCAGGTTGATAAGAATAAGTTTACTCTTGTATAAGGATAAGGATCTAGAAATCGAATCTCTGACATTTTAGACAGATCTAGCATCTGGATGTCTTGGATGGGTCTACTGATGGCGCTCTAGTTATCTACAAGAACCTGGAAGATAAAGGCAGTATCACACTCATATTTCTGATAAGCATTTGTTTTTAACATGAAGCACTCTGTCTTGGAATAAATTAAATTCCATGAAGATCCTTTTCTAACTAAAATGCAATGCATTTATGACAATGGTGTAATGAAATAGAAAAAAAAAAAAGACAACGGTGTAATTACCATAGTAATCAATACTTATTGAGCAGTCCCAAGTCTTGTTCTCAGTGCTTGTTCAATCTGTGCCTCATTTCTGAGTCAGGGATGGTAATCTCTGTTTTATAATAAAGAAAACTGAGGCAGAGAGAGATTTAGTACCTGGCCTAAGGTCACTTAGCCTGAGCAGTATACTCAAGATTCAAATCCTGTATGCTTGGCTGTAGAGTCTATATTCCTAATCAAATTGTTGTATTAGGAACTCCTACGTCGTATGTCTGTGGTAGAAGACGGGAGTTTGTAGGGTTACACAGGGAAAAGAAAAATTCTCCCAAATCTATATGAAATGGAAAAGAACATTCTCTCTTTTGTTAAATAATTTCTTAGAACTAGTGAGCTTGCTCCAATGCTTTGGAGATTTATCATTCTCTATCAATATTCTATTGTCCTATGGATTAATATCCCACTGGTATATACAGCTAAGAGTCACTGGTAACTTACTGGTTTGAAAGGCTGGTATCTACAGGTCTCCGGCATGGTTAGGACCTTAAGCTGGGCAGGCATAACTCGGGCTGGGTTATCCAATAACTGGAAGTTTGGCTCAGGTTCTTTTTTCTTCTCTTTTTCCTCCTTTTTCTCTGCCTCATCCTATAAAATAAAATTTAAAAAAAGTTCAACAGAAGTTCATTTCTGTTCCACAGAACTGAGTAACATCTGAAGTTGACTGAGCAGCTATAAGGTACAAGAGGTAGTGGTCGGTAGTAATGGAAGTACAACTAAAGTGCTATCAGACTCAGAGGAGGGAAAAGTAACTCTGCTTAGGAATGAGAATGGTATTTGACTTGGTTTTAAAGGATTAAAAAGGTTTTTCTACCAGCAGAGATCAGAAAAAGGTCTACCTAAACAAGTGATAATCCCTTTGCTTGAAAGGGTTTTTCTTTCTCCTACCTCATCATCTTGTCTGTGAAAAACCTACTTTGCCCTTCAAAACCTATTTTAGTTGTCATTTGCTCCAGGAACTTTTTACTGATTTGTACCCTTCTATTCTTCCCACAAATGGATATATTTTCGAGTCTCTTTCAAGTACAGTTTGATGATTCTACATGCTGGCAACAGGATAATTGTTTGAAGGAAGCCAAGAGCAAGGTAGAATAATATTCAACTAAGGAAGAATCTCGACCATGACAGAGACAGAGATACTTCAATCCATATGACCACCAATTTATACCTACCACTTCCATTTTCTCCTCCTCCTTTTTTTCCTTTTCTTTTTCCTTCTTTTTAGCCTTGGCAGTTATAGATAATACAGCAGTAGAAACCTGGGGAAATGAGCAGGGTAAACTGTTGTAATCCCTTACTGACATACAAACATGCAAGCCCTAGAGAACTCAGTCCTACAACACTATTCTATTTCCTAGCTGTATTACATATATATATATATATATATATATATATATATATATATATATATATATATATATATAAATATATATAAATCAAAGAATAAATGGGAAAACTAAGCAGGACATTTACTGAAATAATTTACTACTCTTGTCATCAAGTGAATCTTTAGTTCTTGGAGGCTTGTGTCCAATATAACTCTTCCCTTTTTTTTGATCTGTAGCCTACCTTGGATATGAATTTGCTCTCATGTACTTCCAAGATTGAGATTTGGGTGCTATAGCCTTTTTGCTTTACAGGAAAGCAATGGAAAATAGAACAATTTCCTTCAGCGCTGGTTGTAGATATCCTCTCTGGACTATATGTCTTACAATGCTAATACACAGTGGGTGAGTGGTTAGCCTATATTATTCTCCTTCATGGGTCTTGCTGAAAACAAAGGTGAAAAGCTGGGCAATACTGGTGTAAAAGCTGACTTTGTTTCAGACCCAAAGGAGGGTCTGAAACATAGCTGATGAAACAAGATGCTGTCAAGGCTATTCCTTAACTGCTACCCTCAAATTTGGTTAATTATCCTTACTTATACACAAAATTTACAGCAAATAATCAACAACTGGCCAATATGAAAATTATGAGAGAAAGAGCCACTTTCCTATATATAAGGTATCAAAAAAAGTATAATTTTACTGAGTAAAACTTTATGGGCAAGTACAACTCTTTAATGTATTATTCTTTAATACAGGAGTGTCCTCATACACAGTTGGTAGGAGTATAAAGTGATTATGTCCATTTTGAAAGGCAAATTAGTTAATAACTATGAACATAATGTGCATTACTTTTGATCAAGTAACCTGACATCCAGGATTCTAACCTACAGATATACTCACACAGTGCACAAATACATGTGTATAAAGACTTTCAATTCCAGGCTCACTTGTGTAGGGCTAACAAATGAGAAATAACCTTAAATGAATATCAAAGAAAAAACTGGTAAAACAAACAGTACTACACATAGTAAAGGCATTGTTTTGCAGCTCTGGGAAAAAATGAGATCTGTATACATTGAAAGTTTTAAAAATAAAAAAAAATATAGTTAATGTGAAAACAAGATGCAGAAAAGTATGTAGAGAATAATTTTATTCGTGGTATAAAAAGTACTGACATGTGCAGAGAAAACCTTCAGAGGGATTCAGAAGTTGTGACTCCTGTGACATGAGACTTGGATGACCAAGAGACAAAAAGGACTTTCACTTCATATTCTTGTGTAATGTCAAATGTTAGCATAAGAAGTGTTACTTTTAAAACATAAAAGATAGTTAAAGAAAAAGTAAAATACTCAGTGGCTCCTATATTTAAGTACAAATGCTGCTAAAAGGAACAAAGAACCTACCTTTTCCTTTTCTTTTTCTTTTGGTACTTCCAGAGGGGCAGGATATGCAAATGTGGATGGTTTACAGTTCGATTTATACTGAACTTTCGGCATCTGAAGAAATTCCATTAAAATAACATTGGCTTTAAGTACTCTGTGCTCTCCACAGGCATACGGATACAAAAGGAGACCAAAGTTTTAATGCAGGCTGTATGTTCAACTATGTTATGACTCCTCTCTGAAAGCCATGTCTACTTTTACTGATTTAGTTTTTAGGTTCTTTACAGAATTACCTGCAGTTCTCTATACTTTTCTTAATCTCTGTGCCTTTGAATGGGCATCCCTTTATCTTTATGAACAAACCAACCTGCTTCAATGGGTAAGTCCTATTCATGGTGTGAGCATCAGATCAACTGTTCTCTCCTTTGTAAAGCATTTGATGGTCTATCCTGCATACAAACTGCCATTTCCCTTCTTTGTACCAGACTAGTAACTTACACTAGCCTGAATACAATTTCCACACCATATATAATCATGCCTTGTAAGAGTGTAACATGAGCCTAATAGAAAGTCAGCTTCACATTACCTAGTGACCAGTTTTAAAGTTCTTTGGTCTCAATTTTTCCTTTCTTTCTTTTTTTTTTTTTTGAGACGGAGTTTTGCTCTGTTGCCCAGGCTCTGGAGTGCAGTGGCGCAAACTCAGCTCACTGCAAGCTCTGCCTCCCGGGTTCAGGCCATTCTCCTGCCTCAGCCTCCCGAGTAGCTGGGACTACAGGTGCCCGCCACCATGCCCGGCTAATTTTTTTTGTATTTTTAGTAGAGACGGGGTTTCACTGTGTTAGCCAGGATGGTCTCAATCTCCTGACCTCGTGATCCACCCGCCTCGGCTTCCTTTCTTTCTTTCTTTCTTTTTTTTTTTTTTGAGACAGAGTTTCACCCTGTTGCTCAGACTGGAGTGCAGTGGTGCAATCTCAGCTCACTGCAACCTCTGACTCCTGGGTTCAAGCGATTCTCCTGCCTCAGCCTCCCAAGCAGCTGGGACTACAGATGTGCACAACCACACCCGGCCTGAATTTTTCTCTATTTACCCAATCTGCATTGATGGAGGATGATAATAAATACCACCATAAGGACAAAGAACCTTATCTTCTCCATCCCATTTTCATCACAAAGAGTAAAAACAGCAGTCATAAAATTGTTTGGCAGAGAATAAAATAGGTTATACAGGATGTTTAATTACAATGTTAAAAGTTGGGGATTGGGAAACCAAGGGATTCTTGTTCTGACAATAAAGCTGCTCAATATTTACAAATGTGAGCAGTTTTAATACCGAAACACTTAACGAAGGATAACTGGCTGTACAGCTATACTGAAAAATCAATACAAAGAAATATTCTATTTTTACCAGTCAGTTTTAAGCCTAAAACTTTTCCACTCTGAAAATTTAGTAGAACATTTCAACAGTGATGACCAGATGTAAGAGTTATTTAAAGGTCAAAAAGCCTTTTGACTTTTAAAGAACAAGAAGATGAATCATCAAGTCACAGGACTAAGAAAGACCTAAACACAAACTCCATTAAAAAAATATGACCACAAATGTGATGACAGGGCACGCAGTGCCTTAAATTTCTGACTTAAGTCAGCAGTTACATTCCATCAGATTCCCTAGCTCCTCACAGTTGGTCTTGTTTCCTGCTTCTACCAAAGGGTCATCCTCCTATTTTGCTTTTTCCCTTTAGTAATAATTCTTTCTTCCATCAACCACTCGAGTATCAGATAACTCTGGAAGATTTAGTTTAGGTTTGCATTCTTCCTTGCCCAGACTACTGCAATAGCATTGTAATGAGTTTCCACTGATACCAGAAAGATCTTTCTAAATGGAAATCTCATGTTCATTTATCATTTGAAATCCTTCGACAGTTCCCAGGCTTTAGTATTAAATAAAATTCATCAGAGTGGTATATAAAGCCTCTTCGTATGTTTATATTTAGCCCCCTCTCTCACCATTCTTTCTCAACTAATTACTTGAAGTTACACAGCTAGTAAGGAGATATGCTTTTCAAAACTTTCAATGACACACTCCATTCAAAAAGGTGACGATTCAACTTGAAGGGAAAATGTTATTATAAGATGTTAACTCATCTTTAAAATTTAATGGAAATCCTTGCAAGTGGGCGGTAAATATGAATAAGATACGGTGAACAGGAAATACTACAAAGCTGAGGTCTCACAGACATACCTTTAAGTCCTTGTTAAGGCCAATGACACAGGTAGGGGTATAAGCCAATGACAGGAAGTGTGAAAGAGGAAACCAGAACCAAAACTGGGTAAATACAAGGACGCCAACCACAGAAGGCATATGAGTATGCCCAGTCCTGGACTGCAAGGAGATTGTGACATTATGACCACCTGTAGAAAAAGAGAGAAACCATGAACAATAATAGTATTGTCCTATTATTATAGTAGGACAATAATAACGATATCTTTCTTTCTTTCTTTTTTTTTTTTTTAAAGAGATAGGGTCTCACTGTTACCCAAGCTCGGGTGACAGAGTGAAACACTGCACCCAAGTGCAGCAGCACGATCATGGCTCACTGCAGCCTCGACCTCCTGGCCTTAAGGGATCCTCCTCTTTTAGCCTCCCGAGTAGCTAGGACTACATGTGCGGGCCGCCACACCTGGCTGATTTTTAAATTTTTTGTAGAGACGAGGGTCTCACTATGTTGCCCAGGCTAGTCTCAAACTCCTAGCCTCATATGATCCTCCCGACTCAGCCTCCCAAAGTCTTGGGATTACAAGCATGTGAGGCACTACACCCAGGCAATAATAAAGATTTGTAAGTGCTGCAGTAGGGAAACATCTGGTGATGATTTTAAAAGCACAATTCATATGTGCAGTCTAATATGCAGTCCTTGGAATTAGTGAGTTATCCAGGCTCTCCAAAATTGGAAGTGTACTTTTAACTGGATTTAGCACACATCTAGACTTACTTTCTCTATAGGCAGGCGTTTTTCAAAAACTAGGCCTGAAGGGTATCAAAACTGTGATGCTAAATTAAGTATTAATCTGCATTATATATTGGCTTTTCATGTGTTAATAAAAAGCAAAGTTTTAGTATATACTTTTTGCACACCATAGCAGAGGCAAGCATAGATAGTTTGCTTAGTTTTACTCTTTCCGCTTCAATCATATGCAAATACATATTTATAATATACTTACACATTTATAAAAATTTATATAAAACAGTAAAGAATATGTTCTGACTCTTGGTCTTTTAGGTGCTAAGCAGCATAAACATTATTAGAATTTTGAGAAATATCCCTTACAAATTATGAAGATTTATATGCAGCTATATAAAAATCTACGAAAGCATTGAGCATTACCCTACGAATTATTAAGCCACTTAAATTGGTGGGAGGAGCTCTGACATTAACTAGCCCTGTAACCATGGACAAAACACTTTATTTCTAATTCCTTTTCTCCCATTAGCAAAATGAGGGGTTGAATTTGAACACTTGAACGAGAGCACTACCACTTACAAAAGAAAACTTAACCTCTAACCCTAACTGAAATTTTTCTAAGGAAACACAATATGTAAAGGAATGAAATCAGAGCTGCTTCTGTTTAATCAGAAGTTTGGACTGCTGGGAGAATATATGGCCTGGAACCAGGGGTCCCCAAATCCTGGGGCTGCAGACCTGTCCATGGCCTGTTAGGAACCTGGCTGCAGAGCAGGAGGTGAGCGGAGGGCAAGTGAGCATTACCACCTGAGCTCTGCCTCCTGTCAAATCAGCTGTGGCATTAGATTCTCATAGGAATGTGAACCTTATTGTGAACCGCGCACGCGAGGGATCTAGGCTGAACGTTCCTTATGAGAATCTAATGCCTACTGAACTGAGGTGGAAAAGTTTCATCCTGAAACCACCCCACCCCCGTCGTAGAAAAAAAAATTGTCTTCCATGAAACCTGTCCCTGGTGTCAAAAAGGTTGTGGACTGCTGCCCTAGACTATTCCTCTAGAGTGCAGATAAAGTTTGAAAGCCAGTGAACTAGAGCTAAGATCCAAGCCATCAGTTGGGGAGAGCTGGTGAGCCCTTGTAAGGCTGAGATTCTAGGAGGCTATGAGGGATTACCAACTCAAATGCCTTTAGGAACAAGTCAAGTAAACAAATAAGGAATAAGTGGGCTGGGAGCAGTGGGGACTGAAGCAAACTGTAAAGTACATGTACTATTTAAAGGGAGCTTGTTACTGGGGGTGTAGGTCCAGGATTACTAGGTCATTTTGTTTTTAAAACTGAAGCAAACTGGAAAACACATGTTCTATTTAAAGGGAACATCTTACTACAGTGTAGGTCCAGGGTCACTAGGTCATTTTGTTTTTAAAAGTAGACTATGGATTTTGTCCAAAATCTTGCAAATTTTGTTAGGCAGGCAAAACAAAATACACCATTATCAGATTTGGCCCATGCGCTAGATGGTAACAGAGTTAGTGCTGGATCACAGAACTTTGAAATGCAAGAATCTTCATTTAAATAATATATCCTATAAAAATGGGGCTTGTCTGTGCCTAATCAGGGTCTTAATTGGAATTCCAATGTGGATTCCTGTTGCTTACATTTCTCTTCTCTTGATCTCAGTGTTTTATAGGCATCTTCACATTTTGCTTGGAGTCAAGAACCAAACACTGACTTGACTTGACTAAACCAAGCAGCATTTTAATTTTTATAAGAATCAGGGTTCTACTGTTCAACCAAATAATCTAGATTTTCTTAATACTCCACTATAGGTATTTAAATTTTTCATCTGAAAAAAAGGCCAGGTATACTTTAATCTTGTTTTTCCAATAGAAATGAATTATATACATTTATTGTCTACTTGTACTCTTCCCTACGCTAACCCCCATTCACTGAATGCTAACTATATGTTGAGGATTGTGAATAACATACTGGAAAAGATCCTAAGGAGACTCCAGTCTCACAAAGAAGACAGATAATTTGATAATTAAAATAAGATATGAAAGTATTATGATAGCTATAAACCTGGGTGCTAGTGGGAACATTTCACTAAGACATAGTAACTAACCTGGGATGGAGACTGGGGAGGGGCAGAAGAGAGGAAAACGATGCCTAGCTAACGTGCTATTTGATCTAACTTTGAAGCTGAATTTCCTTTTAGTTCAATGAAATCTATCTTCTTCGGACTTCGAAGCTAAATTAGCCTTTTGTTCTAACATTCTGAGATTTAATAAATAAGGTAGAGTTTATCATATTGATAATTTGCAGTTTAACAAACTTCAATCAACTTCTTTATCTTCGGCTTTTCTCCCGGAAGAGACTGAATCACTGAGTGAGTTCTCATAAACTTCAACTTCATTCCTTCCCTTGAAGTTGCCCTCTCTAGATTTTTCTCTACTACCACTAATTTTCTTTTTTCTTTTTTTGAGATGGAGTCTCATTCTGTCGTCCAGGCTGCAGTGCGGTGGCACAATCTCAGCTCACTGCAACCTTCACCTCCAGGCTCAAGCAATTCTCGTGCCTCAGCCTCCTGAATACCTGGGAATACAGGCATGCACCACCACGCCCAGCTAAGTTTTGTATTTTTAGTAGAGACAGGGTCTCACCATGCTGATCAGGCTGGTCTCAAACTCCTGACCTCAAATGATCCACCCACCTCGGCCTCCCAAAATGCTGGGATTACAGGTGTTAGCCACTAAGCCAGGCCTACTACCACTAATTTTACTGAGAGAAGATCAAGACTGCAAATTTTTCTAACGCAGTTGCAGCACAGTGTTCTACGAGGATAGGATATTAAAAAGTGAAAAAGGACATGAGATTAATTCTATGCTCATAACAGTGAACACTACAGTATAGAACTTTTATGTAGGGCCAGGTGTGGTGGCTCACACCTGTAATCCCAGCACTTTGGGAGGCCGAGGTGGGTGGATTGCCTGAGATTAGGAGTTTGCGACCAGCCTAGGCAACACGGTGAAACCTAGTCTCCACTAAAATACAAAAAATTTGCCGGGCATGGCGGTGTGCACCTGTAGTCCCAGCTACAGGAGGGACTGAGGCAGGAGAATTGCTTGAACCCGGGAGGTGGAGGTTGCAGTGAGCCGAGATCATGCCACTGCACTCCAGGCTGGGTGACAGAATTGGCCCCCCCCAAAAAAAAGAACTTTTATGTAATAAATGTCTAAAGCAAAAATTGTTATAAATAAAGAGAAACAGAAAGAAGCACCAAAACTTGATTGGTCCACGAGACAAACAGATAAAGTAAAAAAGCCCCAAACAAAAAAAGAAGATATAAAAAAAAAAAAAAAGAAAAAGAAAAGACAAACAGAGGCTGAAAGAGGAAGGAAGAGAACACAGTGAGATGACTTGTAGTAAATCTGGCAGAGAAGAGGCGAAACATAGAATTATCCTCCCCTAATTCTTTTTTCTTAATATATAATTTTATATTTTTAATTAAAAATTTATTTTTCTTTTTTTGTATTGCTCCTTGCAGAGCAGGGCTACCCTACAGGTAGTGTGCCCAGAGCAGTCTCCCCCAATTCTTAACAAGTAACCCAAATATAGTAAAAACCAGCAAAAAACTGTGGTAGTGGTGAACAAGTGAAGGGGTGTAGTCTAAAATCATACACTTTAAAAAGTGGCAGCTAAAAGAGAAAAAAAAGATTACAGAGCAGTAAAATGTTATCCCTAAATGTTGTTTTAAATACTCACCACCAAAAGAAGTAATCTGAAAAGGCTACATAATGTATTATTCAAACTATATGAAAATCTGGAAAAGGCAAAACTAAAACTGTGGAGAGAGTTCAATTAGGATAAGTAGTAAGTTCAGGAGATCTATAGTACAGCATGATGACTACAGCTAATAATAATGTACTGTATATTTGAAAATTACTTAAGGAGATCTTAAATTTTCTCATAACAAAAAATGATAAGTATGTAAGGTGACAGATATGTTAATTAGCTTGATTTAACTATTTTACTATATATATATCTCAAAGCACCATGTACACTGTATGTATAATTTCTATTTATCAACCATACCTTAATAAAATAAATAAGTTTTTTAAAAAGAAAAAGAATGAAAAAGGGGATATCACTACAGATTCCACAGACATTGAAAAAGTAAGAGGATATTATAAAAAAACTTTCAATAAATTCAAAACTTTATCTATTAAAACAAAATAAAACTACAGAGACAGTAAAAAGGTCAGGGACTTGTGGGGAGGGCAAGGAGGGATAAATAGGTTAAGCACAGGGAATTTTTAGGGTAGTGAAACTATTTTGTATCATACTGTTATGGTAGACACATGTCATTAAAGATCTGTCAAAACCCATAAAATGTACAACATAAAGAGTGAACTCTAATGTAAACTAGGGACTTTAGTTAATAATAATGTGTCAATATTGGCTCATTGATTGTAAGCAAATATACCACACTAACACAAGATGCCAATAACAGGGGAAATTGGAGGGGCAAAGGGGACATATGGAAACTCTGCATTTCTTCCTCAATTTTTTCTGTAAATCTAAAAAATTTTAAAAGCCCAATTAATAAAACTTAATTACTGATAAAATCCAGCCAATTAAGTGTCTAGACTTAGTACAGATAACCTAAGAATGAAAAAGCTGCAATAAAAGAAATGGGCACTGAATCCATTTAAATATGAAACTAAGACCGTACAATTGTAAGAATTATGATTTCTGAAGACAATGTAAATATCACAAACTGTTGACAACATAAACATAATATAAAAATATTGGAAGGTAGTGAAGAGTGAGAAGGGAGAAACTATGGAAACCTACATATGTAGCTTGTAAATGGGAGGGAATCAATACCATCTAGAATTGAAACGGTTTACTTTACCTAAAATATTTATAGAATTTTTTTATCTATAAACAGCTGCAAGGAAATATTTTTTAAATTAAAAAGAAAGAGAAAAGTAAACTATGCCTCAATATTAAAATTTTAACCAGAAAACTCTCAACTTCTTGGAAAACAAAAACCAACCAAACAAAAAACTCCATTAGACAAATAAGTTAAAAGAGAGGAACATTTGCCTCAAAAATTTAGAAAAGAACACCAAAGTTATAAAACAGCAAATAATAAAGATAAGATCAAAAATAAAGAATTTACAAAAAAAGAACAAAGTACATAAATAGAGAAATTACTGGCAAACCTAATAAAGAAAAAAGGATTAATCAAATTAGAAAGGAGATATGGATTTTTTTTTAAAGAAAGAGGCCATATGAGGGAGATTATCTAAAATTATAAAAGGACTCTGAAAACTGTGGTATGATTAAAACACTCTCAGCAAGTAGAAAACCCAAAAAGATTAAAAACAAAAATTTATGACAGTTATCAAATTAATAGCAGCTTCTTTTCCTCATCTCCTTCACTACAAATATACACACATTCCTAGTTGACTGAGGAAACAATGACTGCAACAAATAAGGCTAACAGTGTTTTTCTTAGAATTCAATGGCTAATAAATGTGAAAAAAAATGCTCCCTTAATACTAGAACTGCTATAAAAACCTTGAGATGTTATTCCTCACCTTTCAAATTAGCAAAAATAAAAAGGATTATATTCACATGGATAGGGTACATCAAGAAAAAGAATCACATAGTTGAAGAATGAAGTATGTATCTGCTCTTCTCCTCTTATCCTATTGAGAGGTCACCAATAATAACGTTAAGGCATATGTCAAATGAACTCCAAGTCTAAGGAACTAAAGCCCACCACTCTATCTTTTGAAACAGACTATGGTATTATGGTGGATGGTGAGAATTCTGGAGCCAGATGGCACAGTGTGCTCTGTATGCATTTATTAGGTAAATATTCAACTTACCTTATTTTATAAGTGATCTGGCTGCTAGAATTTATTTAAAATATGTTTTCCTCAAAAATGATTCAATGTCAACTTGTTTAAAATTCATATAATACTAAGAAAATTAAAGGAAAAATAAATTGGCTGGGCACAGTGGTTCACAGCTATAATCCCAGCACTTCAGAAGGTCGAGGTGGGAACACTGCTCGAGTCCAGGAGTTCAAGACAAGCCTGAGCAACATAGTGAGATCCTATCTCTACAAGAAGTTTAAACAATTAGTTGGGTGTGGTGACATATGCTTGTAGTCTCAGCTACTTGGGAGGCTGAGGCAAGATGATTGCCTGAGCCCAGGAGGTTAAGGCTGCAGCAAGCCATGCTTGCGCCACTGCACTCCGGCTTGGGTGACAGAGTGAGACTCTGTCTTAAAAGAAAAATAACAAAAAACCAACCAACAGTCACTTTACTAAGTGACAGGCACTGTCACCACTGTCACTGTCACCCAGACTGGAGTGCAGTGGAGCAATCTCGGTTCACTGCAACCTCAGCCTCTCAGGTTCAAGTGATTCTCCTGCCTCAGCCTCCTGAGTAGCTGGGATTACAGGTGCATGCCACCACTCCTGGCTAATTTTTTTGTATTTTTAGTAGAGACAGGGTTTCACCTTGTTGGCCAGGCTGGTCTTGAACTCCTGACCTCAGGTGATCCACCTGCCTTGGCCTCCCAAAGTGCTGGGATTACAGACATGAGCCACTGTGCCTGGCCAACAGCCTGTACTTTTTTTTGGTTTTTTTGTTTTTGGAGACCGAGTTTTGCTCTTGTTGCCCCGGCTGGAGTGCAATGGCGCGATCTCGACTCACTGCAACCTCCACTTCCTGGGTTCAAGTGATACTCCTGCCTCAGCCTCCCAAGTAGCTAGGATTACAGGCATGTGCCACCACGCCCAGCTAATTTTATATTTTTAGTAGAGATGGGGTTTCTCCATGTTGGTCAGGCTGGTCTCGAACTCCCAACCTCAGGTGATCCACCCACCTCGGCCTCCCAAAGTGCTGGGATTATAGGCATGAACCATTGCGCCCGGCCTGTACTCTTAAATGTACATGATCTCTGTGAACTGCAGGCTCCAAATTTTCTCCAGGAATAATTTGCCTCAGACTCAATTTCCATTATGTCATATAGTTAGAGCAGATAGTTATTTTATTAGATTTAGTTTAAATAAATAAATCTTGAAGACTTAAAAACATTTACCTGCATCCAGTATGCCCTGGGCCAGAATAGCGCCAAACTTGGCCATGACATCATCATGCTTATCATTGATGACTTTGGAATACAGCTGTCTGAACTGATTCACCTGAAGGAGCAAGAGAAAGAATTATAGTCTAAGTCTACTCATTTGCGGTACCATTTTAGAACAGGGAATAATATTGCTCCAATGATAATGAGTTAGTTCTGAGTTTCGTAATGCTCAAGAGAGGGATATGGACCAGACTTGAAGGCAGAGCAGTTCCGTGGTTGCAATCACGGGTGTTATGACTTTTTAGTGTGGGAGCACCAGCTCTGTCTTGAATCCTCATTCCACAGTGGATGTTTCAAGGTCAAAGGAATGTTGAATGCGATTTCATACATTACCACTGTTAGTCAGCAGGCCTAAAAAGTCCAAGCAAACACTAAGGCTTTCATTGCATTTTGAATTATAGCTATTCTGTTTACCACCAACCTTGCGGGTTTCCTAAAAAGCATGGTCCTTCAGTTCCACCTTAAAGTAAATTACCCTTCACCAAAGCTGTGTGAGGTATCTTTTGCATGAAGTATATTCACATAAAGTAAAGATTTCCATTATCTACTCACATTAATTTTCTGAGGACTTGTCAGAATGTGTACTCGTACCAAAAGGAGAGTATCGGAATGGAAAATGTGCTGACTCACTTAAGGTGGGATTACTGGTAATTCTTTATCCTTTCTGCATTTTCTAAAATTAATATGTATTATTTTTATGATTAGAACATATATTTATAAAATATATTCTGTATGAATAATTAATATTCCTTTAAATCTGTTTGGGTGACAATAAGTAAACTATTTTATGCTTCTTCTATGTCTTACACTTCTCTGTTTTCCCAACAGTGCTTTTCAAATGGTAGGCACCCAGGAAGAAGTCGGCTTGTTCAAGAAGCACATAATCATGGAGCTCCCCAAATCTGCCAAAAGCAGAAAATATCAAATTTGAGTTTCCTAATATAATGACTTTATCTGCATTACATATTCTTTCAGAATCTTTTCCCCCTTTTCATTTGTCTTGGTCTGGGAGGCCACAATGTGATACAGTGGCAGAATAATAGAATCACACAACCCTGGCTTATAAGCTGTTCTTATAAGCTGTTTGGGTAAGTTACTACCTTTTATGAACCTCAGTATCTTCATCTCTACAGGGATGTTAGCACCTACCTTACATGGCTATTATAGGATTATATGAGGTAACATATACGTCGTGTAATGTATAAAGGGCATTTCATAGTTCAATAAGCATGACTGTTTCACCATATGGGGGAAGAATCCTACCAATCCCTCCTATTATCTCTGCAATCTAAATGCTACTAACAAAATAATATTCCTTGAACATGGTTCTCATTTTTTATTCACAGGCAGCAACAGAATATAGTGGGGAAACAATGAACTAACTCTGCCACTACCCAGCACACAACCACTTAAGTCACTTACTTCTCAGGATTTCTTTAACTATAAAACCTAGCATGATTAAATCATCACTAAATTCCCCTCTACTTAAAAAAATTCTCACGTGGCCGGGTGAGGTGGGTCATGACTGTAATCCCAGCACTTTGGGGGAGACCGAGGCAGGTGAATCACCTGAGGTCAGGAGTTTGAGACCGGCCTGCCCAATATGGCGAAGCCCTGTCTCTACTAAAAATACAAAAAATGAGCTGGGCATGGTGGCAGGCGCCTATAATCCCAGCTACTCAGGAGGCTGAGGCAGGAGAATCGCTTGAATCCAGGAGGCAAAGGTTGCAGTGAACCGAGATCGTGCCACTGCACTCCAGCCTGGGCGACAAGAGCAAAACTCCATCTCAAAAAAAAAAAAAAAAAAAAAAAAAATTCTCATGTTTGACGCTTTTATTCTGGTTCGACAAGTCAAGTTCCTTTGATTCTGAACTTATTTTAGATGAACATTTACATTACCTTATACAGTATGGAAATTTTATGTGCTAAAGGCTTAAGAAGTATTTCACAAAGTTATAAAAAGAAACATAGAACAAAGCACTGAATGTACATTATAGGGAAAATTTAAATTTAAAATTGTACCCAAAACAATAGAAAAGCATTCAGTAAAACTGACAAATGGATAAAAAAATCAGTCCAACTATACAATAGGCTTATCTAACTAATATTAAATAGAATGCTTTAAAAAGCTAGTTTTTATCATTTTAAATTTTTTTCTCACATTTTATTTCTTATGTATCAGTAACTTAATTTTCATTATTGTAATTCTTGGTAAAGAATTATTTTGATAGATTAGGACATACATTAAATTTCGAAGTCAGCTTTGAGACCATCTGGTCTACTCCCTCTATTCACATCTAGTTACAGATATGAAGACTAAAAAGACAAGCAAAACAATTGGTTTGCTTGCTATCACAAGCAATTAATGGTAATCAGGGTGAGGATTAAGATTTTCTAACTCAATTTCATTGTTATGAATAGTATGGTCTCCCCCCACCAAAAAAAACAAAAAGTAGAATTTCCAGGAGAAAAATCATATTAGCTTTCCATTTTATATCACAACAATCTCACAAAAAAAGACAATTAAAATTTTATGCAACGCTGTGATCCATGCATTGTACTATGTAGGAGTATTTAAAATCTACCTTCTCAAAAAGCTGCATTTTAAACATTCATCATGTTTTTACTTGTATACCCTATACTGCTGGAAAAAAGCCCACTCTTAGATATCAGGGAGAAAGCAATAAAGTTCCTTAGCGTTGTTTCTGTTGGTACTTATCATCTGAGTGTTACTCCTCCTTTCTATTTTTCTATCTTCCTGGTTATGGAAATGTAGCTGTACATCAAGGATCAGTTTTGGAGGTGTTTTTTTTGTCTGTGAAATTATATTTGTGCTTATGACTTCAAATATATGTCTGTAATTCCTTCCATGAAATCCTTGAGGTGAGATGTATTTTGGAATTCAGAATTTAGAAGGCTAACATGATACATATCCATATATTATACAATACTCCCAGTGTAGTACTGCTCTATATATTATGATATCCCATAATCAAATAAATTATTTCTGAAGTAGCACAATATATGAATATTTATACTAAGTAGGATAAATGATAATGAATTAATAATTGCATCCAAATGAGTCTTGAAAAACAAACAAACCTCTGAGTTTTCAGAGCTTTCTGGATTCTGTAATGGTAGATAAAGGGCTATAAACACACATACGCACATATATATATGTCTCTATATGTCTCTATATATATGTCTATATATGTGTATATATATCTGTATATATCTATATAGACATATATACTTTTTTTTTTTTCCCCTCCTTGAGACAGCCTCACTGTGTCGCCCAAGCTGGAGTGCAGTGGTGTGATCTCGGCTCACTGCAACCTCCGCCTCCCAGGTTCAAGTGATTCTCCTGCCTCAGCCTCCCAAGTAGCTGGAACTACAGGCGCCTGCCACCACACTCAGCTAATTTTTTTTGTATTTTTAGTAGAGACGGGGTTTCGCTATGTTGTCCATGCTGGTCTTGAACTCCTGACCGCGTGATCCACCCGCCTTGGCCTCCCAAAGTGCTGTGATTATAGGCGTGAGCCACTGCGCCTGGCCTATATAATTTTTTTTATGGCTAGTTCCCAAATCTCCGTATTTAGCGTCTAATTTTTTTCCTATGCTCCCATGTTGTTTCCAATGACATGCTGTCATGTCAAACTCAATATGCCTGAAATGAATATTATCTGTATTCTTCCTTCAAAATATTCTTGTTGATGCTATCATGACTTCCCCATTATCAGGATCCCAAATGAGTTTTCAGCTCCCTCCTCAATTTTATCAGCATTAATTTGCTTAGAGTAGTTTCTGTAGCCTTTTTCTTTTTTATTACCACTAACACTGTAAGAGTCCAAGTCCCTATCTTAAAATGACAGTGTGGTAATAGACTACTACTTACAAATGTGTTATGCTGTGAAATCATATATACAGTGATTTATTTTAGAACTGCAGGAGCTTAATTCTACTTCCAAAGAGGGTACTTGTCAATGATAGGAGAAGCTTTCCTGTACCAGGCCTTAGGCCAAGTAATACTGGTAATAGGAACACCAGATTCTATATTTACAGTGTAATATTTTGATGTGAGTTTATATATGATACTTAATATGTACATGTTCGAGTAACTGTTAATGGTGATTTTTTTGTTTGTTTTTTAGAGATAGGGTCTTGGGATGTTGTTCAGGCTGGCCTTGAACTCCCAGGCTCAAGCGAGTCTCCTGCCTCAGCCACTGTGCCCATCTTAATGGTGGATTTCATTTAACAAGAAAAACAAAAGATAGATAATTTAATAAAGAGGAGAGTTGGGTTTTTAGAGCAAAATAGCTCCAAGGACCTAAAAAAGAACATTACCCTTGTTAAATGTGAACCTTTGATCCAGGGATGTGTGCATGTTCCTGGGTTTATGTTTGTGAGCATGAGCTAGCGAGAAACTGAGAGAAGCAAAGCAAAGATGTACTGGAGATACTTCAACTAAGAGGGCAACGTGTGGAGCTAAGTGTTAGGGATGTGACATATATTAATGGTTACATAAGACATTTCCTTTGGGAATTTCCATTGTGAATTTCACAAAATACCTGAGAAATTTCTCTTTTGAATTCCTTTGAGAGGGGTTTATAACTCTTGATGAAATTCACATTTGATCTTTATTTTTGAGCCATTTCCACTTTATTTCATGGACTGGTTTTGCAATCTTGCAATTAAGACTCTGTAGCCTTGAGAATCTACTCCCCTTCAGAGTTTCTCAACAGATTTTTCTTTTTGGCAACATGCTGTATACCATCTCCAAAATGTCAATTTTGTCTTGTTGGCAATTATCAGATAAAGGAAAGATGATATAAACTGTAGTCTATGAAATTCTTTATCACTTGCTTAATAACAGAAAACAATGAAATTAACTTTAAGAATTCTTAAGCTGAGTAACAACTTTGCTCTAAAGAGTAGTGTTTCCTGAAAGAATTTTTGAGTTTCACATGTCAATTTTGCTTTTTTAGTCAGTGGTATATACACTTACATTTATCTACCCAGTTTATATTACTGGCAAAGGCTACTAGCTGTGACTTCACTTTGACATTTTAATCAGTGTCTAAGATTCCGATACAACCTGAAGATGGGAGTGTGCCCCATGTATCTGCACCAGGTAAGACTTGGTTCAATAACAGTTCCTGGAATGATTATCCAGCTCCTAAAGGACTCTGCCATTTTTGGAACAGAGATTATAATTGTAAAATCAATGAAATCCTACAGCAGAGGATGGGAAGACAGAACATTTGTCTTGCTGACAATACAAGTAACATGAAAGCAACATGTGGGGTCAAAGTGAATGTCTATGTATTACTGTTAGAGGAGGTGCATTCCATGACCAAAATTTGTTTCTTTAATGACACTACTCAGTTGGATAACCTCCAAAAGCTCAGTTGAAGATCAAAAGCAGAAATAAAATATGTAAAAGCTACTCATATGATAGCTGCTATATTTAAAAACAAAAAGAAATGTGGTGTTTGGAAAGATGTTTATGTTCTAGAAGATGTAGTATATTAAGTAATACGTTATAAAAACAGGATGAGAAGTCAGATTCTATCTTTGTAATAATACAATTTTTGAAAGTCCTGAAAATGATTTTGAGACAGAAATAGAAGCACTAAATAAATGAAGCAAAGATGACAGCAACTGTTTAGAACTTGAACTTTTTTAAACAAAGCTCCATAAAATTAGAATAATCAATGAGTTCCGGAAATTTTTCTTTTCTCTACCTCCTCAAATCTACTTTGCTGAAAATGAGGGTGGTGTGCTATTATTTGCTCGATGAGGCATAAGACACAATGCCAACAGTTTTTTCTGTTGTCAATTTTTTGACTACTTCCCATTATATGAGCAGGATTAATTAATACATGGATACTAAAGTCCCTAGCTTTAAGAATTAGAAGATCTGAAATTGTTGTGTAAGCTACACGTGTCTATTTAGTATATCAATGCTAATTTTAGTACATGTATTAAAAATAAGATACATGCATTTTCTGTTTCTTAGTAGAATGAGAAGTTTTGGCTGAAATGACAAGATACATGAGATATCAAACACTAACAACCTGAGGACTGAGAGATTATCATGAGATAATTTTATTTTATTTTTTGAGACAGGGTCTTGCTCTGTCACCCAGGCTGGAGTGCAGTGGCACAACCACAGCTCACTGCAGCCTTGGCCTCCTGGGCTTAAGTGATTCTCCCACCTCAGCTCCCAAATAGCTGGGACTACAGGCGCATGCCACCATGCCCAGCTAATTCCTTTTTAATTCTTTGTAGTGATGGGGCCTCCCCCTATGTTGCCCAGGCTAGCCTTGAACTCCTGGGCTCAAGTGATCCTCCCACCTCAGCCTCCGGGAGTACTGGGATTATAGGAATGAACCACCATGCTGGGCTCATCAGAGAATTTTAAAACAGGTGTCTCAAAACTATTATGGAGTCACCCACAAGGTGGGTGTGGATTGTGGAGGATATGTGAAGAGGATCTCTTTGGGGCAAGCTGGGTTGTGAGTCTTTCCCCCTCACTCCAAGTTTACAGAATAGGGGTTCAGAGGGTCCACTTGGAGTGTCCAATATGATCAGGGGCTGCTGTGCACTGAGACATTAGCTATTAGCTGAGGTACTAGCACTGACATCCTATTATATTCCTATGCAGAAGGGCAAAATGTACAAGAGTGTTTCTGTGGAGCAGATGTGGGTCAAGTGGAAAAGAAAGCTGTCTTGGAGCCATTTGGAACTCCACCCAAAAAGATCGCCTAGGAGGGCAATGACATTCCAAAAGAGAATGTGGATGTACTCATTTCTAAACTAAGATGGTATGTACGATACAAAGTGACTGCAGGCTTTTTAAAAATTACTTTAGAAGGA
Organism: Homo sapiens; assembly: GCF_000001405.40. Classification (NCBI taxonomy): domain Eukaryota; kingdom Metazoa; phylum Chordata; class Mammalia; order Primates; family Hominidae; genus Homo; species Homo sapiens. The sequence goes on along the minus strand of NC_000002.12, from coordinate 231,146,739 downwards.
CAGATCAAAAAAGGCATGGACTGCCTAAGTTTGCATCCTATATTATCAGAGGAAAAAGTTATCCCACTGAATACATTTTAAAAGGACAGTGAAAGGCAAAAAAAGAGTTCATTTTACGGTTTTAACACCCCAAGAGTTCTAATTTTTCAAGCATGGTTATATACTTAAATTAACAAAGGGACCATTAAGTCTAAAAAATACATTTAAAGAGCATTACATATTTAAAGTTTCCCCATTCTCTTATACTCTAAAATGCTCTCTTTACTTTTACTTTACTTTCAGTGTTTACCATATTTGAACTAAAAAACGTCCTCAAAAGACGATAAGTTACTAAAGAAAAGACCAAACCATCTCTCTTCCAGGGAATTTCTTTGTTTGCTCACCTTTGGACAAGTGATTTCAGTCTGCTGGATCATGATGAGAGCTGAAGCTATGAGTGCCCCTTGCCTCACGTAGTTCACGGGGTCGTTTGTCATTGGTTCTAGCAAATTAATGGCTTCCTGAAAGAATTTAAAAAAACACACAACTTTTAAATAAAGTTGATATGGCTGAACTTTCAATTTATAGTCACATGCCATGTAACGACATTCTGGGAAGTGACACACTGCATATATGATGGTAGTCCCATTATAATGGAGTTGAAAAATTACTATTGCCTAAGTGACTTATTGATGATACTGGCCCTGTGTAGGCCTAGTATAATGTATGTGTGTCTTAGTTTTTTACAAAAAAGTTTAAAAAATATAAATAAATCATTTTGAAAACAGAAAAAACCTTACAGAACATAAAGAAAAAATATTTTTGTACAATGGTACAATTTTTTTTTTTTTTTTTTTTTTTTTTTTGAGATGTAGCTTCAACTCTTGTCACCCAGACTGGAGTGCAATGGCGCGATCTTGGCTCACTGCAACCCCTGCCTCCTGGGTTTAAGAAATTCTCCTGACTCAGCCTCCAGAGTAGCTGGGATTACAAGTGCATGCTACCACCCCCGGCTAATTTTTGTATTTTTAGTAGAGATGGGTTTCACCACGTTGGCCAGGCTGGTCTCCACCTCCTGACCTCAGGTGATCCACCCACCTCAGCCTCCCAAAGTGCTGCGATTATAGGCGTGAGCCACTGTGTCCGCCCAGGTTTGTGTTTTAAACCAAGTGTTATTACAAGAGTCAAAAAATTAAAAATAATTAAAAATTTATTAAAAAAAGATAAGCTAAGATCAATTATTGAAGAAAAAATGTATACATTTAGTAGCCAAAGTGTACAGTGTTTATAAAGTCTATTATAGTGACAATAGTGTCGTACGCCCTCACATTCACTCAACACTCACTCACTGACTCACCCAGAGCAAGTTCCAGTCCTACAAGTTCCATTCAGGGTTAAGTGCCCTATATAGTTGTATGATTTTTTATCTTTTATACTGTATTTTTACCATAACTGCCTAGTCAGTACAGTAACATGACGTACAGGTATGTATTCTGGAAGCAACAGACCATAACTATCTATGTTTGTGTAAGTATACTCTATGATGTTTGTACATTCACGGAACTGCCATTTCTCAGAACGCATCCCTGTTCTTAAATGATGCACAACTATATCTACTGTCACTCTAAGTCAATAATTTCATCCAACAGTGTAGTAAGAAGTTAATTAACAACTACGTGAATGGAATAGTTTAGAACTGGTCATGCTTTACTTAAATTTCAATATAACTGAGGGTAAGTGAAAAGGAAGCTTTAGAACCTGAGCGCTCTCGTCTTGAGGTAAGAGGTCATAAAAAATTAAGAGAAAATGGGATTAACATTTGATAAACACCTATTACTTTTCAGACACAGTACTAGGTATTTTATGTATTATGCTATATAACCCTCTTACTCCTAAAACAAACAAAATCCAGCACAAAACAATCTTTATAAACAAAGAAACTGAGAGATAGAAAGGTTAAATAACTTGCCCAAAGTCGAGTAAGTACTGATAGCAAACCCAGGCCAGTCTGAATCCAAAATTTGTATAATTCAACCTCTGTCAGGCTGGGTGGGCGTGGTGGCTTGTGCCTGTAATCCCAGCACTTTGTGAGGCCAAAGTGGGTGGATTAATTGAGGCCAGGAGTTTGAGACCAGCCTGGCCAACATGGTAAAACCCCTTCTCTACTAAAAATACAAAAATTAGCTGGGCGTGGTGGCAGATGCCTGTAATCCCAGCACTTTGGGAGGCCAAGGAGGGTGGATCATCTGAGGTCAGGAGATCGTGATCAGCATGGCCAACATGGTGAAACCCTGTCTCTACCAAAAATACAAAAAAAAAAAAAAAAAAAAAAAAAAAAAAAATTAGCTGGGCGTGGTGGCGGGTGCCTGAAGTCCTGGCTACTCAGGAGGCTGAGGCTGGAGAATCGCTTGAACCAAGGAGGCAGAGGTTGCAGTGAGGCAGGATAGTGCCATTGCACTCCGGCCTGGGCAACAAGAGTGAAACTCTGTCTCCAAAAAAAAAAAAAAAGGAAACAAACCTCTTTCAAATATTAGCGTAAGGTTGGGTGCGATGGCTCACGCCTGTAATCCCAACACTCTGAGAGGCAAGGTGGGATGACTACTTGATCCCAAGAGTTCAAGACTAGCCTGCGCAACATAGTTGACCCTGTCTCTAATATAAAAAAGAAAAAAGAAAAATAGTAATAAACAAATATTAGAGTAAGGTAACATCTCAGATGATTTTATAAGACCTAATTTTAAAAGTTAAATCAAGACAAAAAAATAAACAAACAAAAAACCCAAAATTTTCCAAACAAAATATTTTACTAGCTAGTAGAATAGCAAAACAAATGAAATCATAGACTAGAATTGATTTCATGGTTGCACTTCCTAAGACCACAAGTGATGAAATTTTCCAAAATATTTATCAGTATTTCCCCAATATCCTATTCTTCAGAATATCAGTTCTATGAAAAAAGAAGTCCTTTAATAAATAAGTTTGGGAGTTCAGGCATACTGTATATATATCATCTCCTCTTGCAGATACAAAATATATGTATACACTGTATCAAAGGTTCTAGGAATATACATATCATAACAAAAGTTCTAGGATGCCTTATTATAAACCACTCAACTGTTGTTTATACCAGCATTTGTCCAATGTATTTGATCAAAAACTCTTTTGCCCCGTATAACTTCTATTCACACTCTGCAGGACTTTTGGGAAGAGCCACTTTAAAACACAATGTCCCTGGCCGGGCACGGTGGCTCACGCCTATAATCCCAGCACTTTGGGAGGCCGAGGCAGGTGGATCACGAGGTCAGGAGTCCGAGACCAGCCTGACCAACATGGTGAAACCCCGTCTCTACTAAAGATACAAAAATTAGCTGGGCGTGGTGGTGGGCACCTGTAATCCCAGCTACTGGGGAGGCTGAGGCAGGAGAATCACTTGAACCCAGGAGGTGGAGGTTCCAGTGAGCCGAGATAGCGCCACTGCACTCTAGCCTGGGCAACAGAGCAAGACTCTGTCTTAAACCAAACCAAACCAAACCAAACCAAACCAAACCAAACCAAACCAAACCAAACCAAACCCACAACGTTCCTTTAATCTGTCATTGAGATTAGAGTTAAAAAAAAAATACAAAACAACAAGAAAAACAACAAAAAACCCCACAACATCCCTTACAAGGTCCTTAGGTAGGTATAAATCTGGGACGAAAAGAGTAATAGGCTTGTAAGATTATCAGATATTTCTTAATTTGGTAGGATGTTTCTCAAGTATCCTTCATTCCAAGACCAAGGAAAAGAATGAACTGAATCCTTTGTTGGAAAGTGACTTTGGATTCCTCTACATGTAAACTTAACATATATATATTAAAATTAGAGCTATTAACAGATAATACACACAGCAGATATGGGTATCCTTTCTCCCTACATTACTGAAACATGTAATGACACTGTGCACAGGGAGTATGTTTTTCAAACATATTGTCAATATTCTTTATGAAGTAGTCATGATAAAAATATAACCAAATTTCCATTTTAGAAGGTAAAAGACAGTAACTCGGCCTTTGAGGTACATAATACAACCCCAATGGTATATTTTAGAATAAACAGATGTTTCAGGTTTTTAAGAAATAATTAAAAAAAAGTCCCAAACTAGTTACATAGGTACTGATACCTAGATCACATAAATTATCTAGAAATAAAGGCTTGTTTAGTATGAGTAATAAAAAAACTTTTCATTCAATTAACTTGTCAGATGCTGTGTTTCAAAGAACATTTGCTCCTAGATATCATATTAAGTTCAGAATAATCTGAAAAGAAAAAAGAATCTAATTTACATTTAACTTATGAGGCCTGACATAAATGTCAACTTAAGACTCGAGGGGGGAAATACTTAGTAAAACATACAACTATATTCTTCCTTTGTTTACAGAACAGATGTGTTGTAGAAAAAAAATAAGGCCAATTTCTATAACTACATTCGATATACCCAATGACATCTCTAGTAAAACTGAAGATACATTCTCATGTAAGAAATTCTCCCCCCAAATAAATTAAAACATAAGTAAATTAATTAAAAATAAAAAAACTGGCCGGGCACAGTGGCTCATGCCTATAATCCCAGCACTTTGGGAAGCTGAGGCGGGTGGACAACCTGAGGTCAGGAGTTCGAGACCAGCCTGGCCAACATGGTGAAACCCCGCCTCTACTAAAAATATAAAAATTAGCCGGGTGTGGTGGCACATGCCTGTAATCCCAGCTACTCAGGAAGCTGAGGCAGGAGAATCGTTTGAACCCAGGAGGCGGAGGTTGCAGTGAGCCGAGATTGCACCACTGCAGTCCAGCCTGGGTGACAGAGTGAGACTCCATCTCAAAATAAATAAATAAATAAACAAACAAATAAATAAATAAAAACAAAAATAAAAAACAAAACTCTGTAATGACAGAGATGATGTCCAACTTGGTCACCATCACATCCTTTAATGATCTTGCCATCCATCATTCATGCAACAAACAAAGCTTTAATTTTAGGTTCCAGCAGTGAACATTATATTCTCAGTGATCTTACATTTCGGCAAAGACAAACAATAAATAAGTGTAAAATATATCAGGTGGTGGTAAGTGCTGTGAAGAAAAATAAAGCCCAGGCAACACAGCAAGACCTAGTCTCTATTAAAAAAAAAAAAAAATTAGCCTGGCATGGTGGTATGCGTTTGCAGTCCCAGCTAATTGGGAGGCTTGCTTAAGACTGGGAGATTGAGGCTGCAGTGAGCTATCATAGCCCCATTGTACTCCAGCCTGGGTGACAGTGACAAGAGTGAGACACTGTCTCAAAAAAAAAAAAAAAAAAAGTATAGCAGGGTAAGCAGACAGAATAGGATGAAATACTGGAAAGGAGGGATGTCTCTTTACAAATTTTTACACAATTGTTGCCATGTGTAGTGAAAAATAGCTTTTTTTTTTTTTTCTTTTGAGACAGAGTCCCACTCTTGTCGCCCAGGCTGGAGTGCAGTGGACCATCTCCACTCACTGCAACCTCTGCCTCCTGGGTTCAAGCAATTCTGCCTCAGCCTCCCGAGTATCTGGGATTACAGGCACCTGCCACCACACTAATTTTTTGTATTTTTAGTAGAGACAGGCTCTTGCCATGTTAGGCAGGCTGGTCTTGAACTCCTGACTTCAGGTGATCCGCCCGCCTCGGCATCCCGAAGTGCTGGGATTACAGGTGTGAGCCACCGCGCCCAGCAGGTTAATTTTTGTATTTTTAGTAGAGAAGGGGTTTCACCAAGTTACCCAGGCTGGTCTCAAACTCCTGATCTCAGGTGATCCACCCGCCTTGGTTGCCCAAAGTGCTGGGATTACAGGTGTAAGCCACCACACCTGGCCTTTTTTTTGAGATGGAGTTTCACCCTTGTCCCCCAGGCTAAAGTGCAAGGGCATGATCTTGGCTTACTGGAACCTCCACCTCCTGGGTTCAAGCAATTCTCCTGCCTCAGCTGCCTGAGTAGCTGGCATTACAGGTGCATGCCACCACGCCTGGCTAATTTTTGTATTTTTAGTAGAGTTGGGGTTTTGCCATGTTGCCCAGGCTGGTCTTGAACTCCTGACCTCAGGTTATCCAACCGCCTGGGCCTCCCAAAGTGCTGTGATTACAGGTGTGAGCCACTGCACCTGGCCAAAAATAGCTATTTTTATTCCCAGCCTCAATAATCTTTCATGTGACTAGAAAAACTTATTTGTACACAATACCAACACTCTTTTTTTTTTTTTTTTTTTTGAGATGGAGTCTTGCTCTGTCACCCAGGCTGAAGTGCAATAGCGGGATTTTGGCTCACTGCAACTTCTGCCTCCTGGGTTCAAGCAATTCTCCTGCCTCAGCCTCCTGAGTGGCTGGGGTTACAGGCGTGTGCCACCATGCCTGTCTAATTTTTGTATTTTTAGTAGAGATGGGGTTTCACACCATGATGGTCAGGCTGATCTCAAACTCCTGACCTCGTGATCTGCCCACCTCAGCCTCCCAAAGTGCTGGGATTACAGGTGTGAGCCACAGTGCCTGGCCCACAATACCAATATTCTTTATTGGAAAAAAATTCAAGGAATCTAAAATTTTTAGATTCCTGGAATCAGTCCATAAACTTACAACTATGTTTTGTTTTGAGTTTGGACAACAGATGATAAAAAAAGTGACTCCTTTCTCTCTGATGCAAAGGCACTGGGAGCAAAGCCTTGCTCTCAGTCTTATACATACACACTTTGTTAAAAGGTTCACTTCTGGGAGGTGGCCAAGGTTTGTGCATATGTGCTATGAGAGTCAAAGTGTCATGATTATGTCACTGCTGTGAATTATGAATACTTGTTATTTATGCAATAGCACATTTCTTTATGAATCTCATGATGAATTATGTTTTCAAATCATCACCTTACCCCATTCAACTCTTTTTTTATAACTTTTGAGGGCTTAACAAATACCAGGTTACCTATTAAGGTTAGATATGAGAAAACAGGTAAATAGCACATCGGTGATTTGCTTAAAACAGAAATGTTATCAAATCAGCCGATTTTGGTGGCTTCGGATGAGAACCTTGTTTTCCAGAATACTAATTATACAAATTAAACATGTAACATAATCATATAAAATAACCTGAGTAGTTATTTAACAACAACAAAAACTATTTTATTTTCTTCTTCTTCTTCTTCTTTTTTTTTTTTTTTTTAAGAAATCAATGGGCCAGGCACAGTGGCTCATGCCTGTAATCTCAGCACTGTGGGAGGCTGAGGCAGGAGGATCACTTGATCCCAGGAATGTGAGACCAGCCTGGGCAACATAGTGAGACCCCTTCTCCACAAAAAATAAAAAAATTAGCTGAGTGTGTTGGCAGTGGGCAGTGTTCCTGCCACTGCACTTCAGCCCAAGCAACAGAGCAAGACTCAAAAGAAAAAAAAAAAAAAAAAAAAAAAGAAAGAAAAAAAGCCTGGTGCGGTGGCTCATGCCTGTAATCCCAGCACTGTGGGAGGCCAAGGCGGGTGGATCACCTGAGGTCAGGAGTTCGAGACCAGCCTGGCCAACATGGTGAGACTGCGCCACTGCACTCCAGCCTGGATGAAAGAGTGAAATTCCGTTTCAAAACAAATAAACAAACAAAAAAAACAAAAACAAAAAACCCAGAAATCAATGATTTCAAAAAGAAATTCAAAAGCACTGTTTCAGTTACAGCTATCCATGTAATGTGACGATTTATTCTTAAGCAGCTTTGGGCAATCCAGCATCGCAGAATGAGGGAGTACTGGGAAGCTTTGTATGGCAAGTTTACTCTTACAGATCACATTGCACTTGTATTTTTACAGCTGTTACATAAATTCTGCGGCGAGGGAAAACAGTCTGGCGCCAAGAAAGAACTGACCCCATTGGCTGTGGGCTTTACCTTGTTTCCTGTACCAGCACAGCATATCCCCAAGGCCATTGCAGCTCCGTAGCGCACATGAGGGTTGTAACTCTCTGACAACAAAGAGACAACACTTGGGCACTGTTCAGGGGTTCTGATAAGAAACAGAAAGCGAAGCCACTGTTATAGGTAATCTATTTTAAGTTAAGACAGAAGAGTTTTAACCAAGTTGTTTTTGAAAAAGTTATAGGAAACAATGAGCATTTAAAACATAAATTGCAGAATTAAAAATCTTTCATAGAGTTCTAATTATTGATAGAAGAAATCTGATCTTCAATATTCAGAGAATATATGTACAGAAAGGGGACTCCTTTCTCAGTATAAGTGAGTCCTCAGCCATAGGTCTGGATTCCAGTTATTCTCTGGTACCTCCTCCATGGCAGGAACAGCCATGTTGGGGGTAGCACACTGCTCTACATCTATTTTCCTATTTCTTGGTTACTTTGCATTTTGTTCCAGAAGACAAAAGTCATTTATAGTAATTCCTGGACATTTCCTAAGTTACATGAAAGATTTAAATCCCCCAGTATCACTTTAGTTGAATAATAAACTGATAAAGAAGCCTTGATAATGAAGAAATTCTGACTTCTGCATTTTTGCTTTAGCAATTATTTTTGTGTTGGTAAGAAGAGAAATTATTTTTCATTCTCTCCATATTTGCAACAAGATAAAAAATAGGACAAACTTGACTAATGGTATACCTGACCCCATCTTTTAAAAGATGATCCTGGCTGGCACAGTGGCTATCCTTGAAGAGCAGCAGGACTAGGGTAATAACTAGAAGAGAATGTAAGAAGAGCTTCTGGAAGGCTGGTAATGTTATGATCTTGAATTGGGTACTGGTTACACAGGTGTATGCAGTTGTGAAAATTCATCAAGCTGTGGGCTAATGATTTTGTGCATGTTTTTGAATGTATATTAAACTTCAATAAAAAGATTTTTTTGCAGCCATGAAGAATGAAATCATGTTTTTTGCAGCAACATGGATGCAGATGGAGGCCATTATCCTAAGTGAATTAAGGCAGGAACAGAAAACCAAATACTGCATGTTCTCACTTATAAGTGAGAGCTAAACACTGGGTATTCATGGACATAAAGAAGGCAACAATGAACACTGGGAACTGGAGGGAGGAGGGAAGGGTGCTGGGTTGAAAAACTATTGGGTACTATGCATAATACTTGGGTGACGGGATCTACCGTCCCACAAACTTTAGCATCACACTATATACACACATAACAAACCTGCACATGTACCCCCAGAATCTAAGATAAAAGTTGAAATTACAAAAAAAAGAAAGAAAAAAAAGAAACTAGGCTCTTTCCTAGACTTTGAAGCTGCATATACAGCTCTAGATTTTTCACCATCGCCAAACATTTACTGAGACAAAACCAACACACATAAGAATGTGTATTAAAGGCGGGCACAGTGGCTCATGCCTGTAATCCCAGCACTTTGGGAGGCTGAGGTGGACAGATCACTTGAGGTCAGGAGTTTGAGACCAGATGGCCAACATGGTGAAACCTCCTCTCTGCTAAAAATACAAAAATTAGCCAGGCATGGTGGTGGGCAACTGCAACTTGCTACTCGGGAGGCTGAAGCAGGAGAATCCCTTGAACCCGGGAGGCAGAGGTTGCAGTGAGACAAGATTGCACCACTGTACTCCAGCCTGGGTGAGACAGCGAGACTCCATCTCAAGGAAAAAAATAAATAAATAAAATATATAATATATAAAATATAATATATAAATATATATTATACATAAAAATATATATATTTATATATTATATAATTATATATGGTACATAAATATATAACACAATATATATTATTTATATATTATAATTATATAATATATATAATATATATATACTATATGTAAATATAATATATATTATATATATAAAAGTGGCAAAGCGGCATAAACTACCTAAGATATGAATGCTAAGGAGAAAAAAATATCACAGAAAGAGGTAACAGTGGTCAGGAGACGAATTCACAGAGAATGCAGACATAAAGTGACTTTGAAAGTATTGGAAGAATTGGACAAATGATGAAGAGGAATATAGGCATCAGGATAAGGAAAGTAAGTCAGCAAAGGTCTAGAGATGGGAATTCACCTGGCTTGTCTAATTTGAACACAGTCAGTGTTTTTGTAGCACATGTAATAAAAAATAAAAGTGGAAAGGCAATTAAGAGCAAAATGATACAGTGTCTTGAATGTCAGGTTTAGCAATTTGCATTTTATTTTGCAGATAAATGGAATGATGATTTAGAAAGATTAAGGAGATACCTGTGAACAAGACAGGTTAAAAGCATGAAGGTGGAAAAACCAGCAAGAAAACTATTTCAGTAATTCAAACCAATAAAATAAAATTCATAAACTATTGGCCCAAGGGCCCAATCTGGCCCGTAGCAGATTTTATTTGGCCTACATACTTTAAAAAAATTCAAAATAAGTTGTCACCATTTAAGATGGGAATATTTCACATTAAAACCCGAATTTCCAACTTCTCCAGAAAGGCTGTTTCAAGACCTTCATAGTTCCTAGGGCCCAGGCACTGAGTTTGGAGGTCCTGCCCTACTTTCTTTTAAAAATACTAAAGTGAACCGAAATCCTACACTGAATATAATTTATATGTAACTGTATAGAAGTTGACTTGCATTTAATTAATTGACATTTTAGGGTTTTCAGACATTTAATTAAAACATTTATTTATTAAAAAGGCATTTTAAAAAAAGACTATCCTGTTATGAATGAAAACAATTACCACAAACCAACTCAAATCTATAATTCTATGTTGGAACTGTCCTCCAGCCTCAAACTCCAGACAGTGGTGAATTCAAATTTCAAAGGAGTAGAACGAAGTTTATGAAAACTGTAACTGTTAAAATGAAATTTTGCAGTAAGGAAAGGTTAGATTATTTTTCCCTACAATAGAGTCCATCACTCTTTCTTGAGAATGTTCTCAGTTTGCCTAAACTTCCTTGTATGAATAATTTGGAAATAATACTAATTGTCACTAGTATTATTAGAAACAGTATGGGAAAAACAGTATGGTGGTGTGAAAAAAGCAATATATTAGAAAACTAAAGATCTAGGTCCTAGTTCTAGTTTTGCTAAATTTGTTAGTTATGTGACATTAGACAAATCACTTGGGTTTTCTCCTTTATAATTAGAGATAGATTTTCTTGACTGTTTTCCAGGAATAACAAAAACCAGATGAGCAAGTAACTGAAAATATAGTAATAACATATATGCTATCAGTTATTATGTACTGAGAAAAATAACAGTAAGTTATATAAGAGGGAACCATGAAGTCTAAAACTCATGTTCTAGTTCCTGTTTTGTCTCTAAATAGTTGGGCCAATTTAGACAATGTTCAATCAACCAAACATTCCAGGGTCCTTTCCTCATCTGAAAAGAGGAAGAATGGGACTAGAAGTTCTGTAAGTCTGTTCCAACTTTACAATTCTACAGCATTTAAAAATGAACCAATTATTATAGGTTTAAATCAATGCCTATTATTATAGGACAACTTTTCTTCAATGAGTAACATTCCAATGAAATAAAAATAAAATTTAAAATGATATTACACCAAAGAGGCTATTGAAAAGTTATTCTAAAACTTGTAGTTGAAACTACCATTTAACTTCTATTTTCACTCCTATAAGGCTAAGAACTTAAAGCTCTTTCCGTAATTTGATACCCAAATCATCTAACAAACTCACTCAAGTGTTTTGCCACCTAATTAATTACCAATAAAACCACTCTAGACTGCACAAGGGCTGAGACTATATTTTCTGTCTCCCATAATTTGTTAGCACAGTGCCAGGTACTATAGGTAAAATAATTTTTATTACTTAATAAGAGACAAAGAGAGTTAAACTAAATTTACATTTAGAGACTTAGACAGCAAGTATTTTCTACTAAGTTCAAGGCCTAATGGTTAAGCACTAGGAAATACACCAAGCTCTTTCCTGTTCCACTTTTGCTTTCTCCCTTAAATTTATAATTCAGCTAGATAATCAAAACCAGGGAAAACTGACATACCTGTGAGTATTTCTTTCTAAGGCTAATTGAGTCTTGAATGGGCACAATTCTGATAGCAGAGGGATAAATGTTGTTGGAAAGGAATGAACACTGGAATGTGAGAAACAAGCTTGAGGAAAAGTAGGTAGAAAAACCATATTGATTTTGTGTAGAGGAATAATGAAGATAACACTAGAAATAAAAAATCAGGACTACTAGCATAATAACCACTTGGGTGCATGGCAGGAATCAGAGCTTTCTGAAGAACCCTCTCTATCTTTCTTAAGACCTGGTGGCTGGGTCTAGTCAGTCATATTTATTGAGTGATTATTATACACGACACAGTAGGTTTAGACAATAACAAACATTTGGAAAAACTGGGTCTTGGTTTAGGCTCGCTCGGGACTTAGTTATGTGACTATCTGCCAATTGTCTGATACAGCGGTTCTAAATCTTTTTTGGATCAGAGTCTCCTTCCTCCTGCCCCTCTAAACACACAGATAACACAGAATTTTGGGAGTCGAATCTTTAAATGTAACATGAGGGAATGTATCCCAAGGCTTTAAAACCTAGTTTATACAATTATCATGTAAAGAAAATGAAAAACAACTTTGTTGCTCTTTAGTATTACTATACTTCTGGTTCATCATAAGGTATAATATAATAGGCAGCAGTAAGTAAAAACTTTGCTTTAATCCTAAGTATGTAATTCAATTTTTAATGAAAAAAAGTTGTAATTTTCTGCTTTAAAAAATGAAACGCACACCAAAATAAGCTAACTACATTCTAATTTGTTGTTTCAATAAAATTTCTTGGTTTGTAACTAACAGTCATCTTGCCAATGTTACTATTTGTACAAGCCTTCCACAGAGCAGGAATTGTGCAAGGGCATATGCATAAGTCACTGCCATATCATTGGACCATAAACTGCACATATGAATTCCTTTCTTTCAACACACTGGCTTTTAAATACTATTTCTTTATGAATATTTTGTGCAACCTCAACATTAAATCACTAATAAATCAAGATGCTTTCAAGAATATGGTGTCTTTCTTTTCCCCCTCTAATCCATCTTTACTAAAGGAGGAAAAACAGCAATATACATAGATAGGCAGAAACACTATTCTAAATGGGGCTATCACAGAGGGAATTCTTCCCCCCTGACCCCAGGGAACTACCTGAAAGCAGTCCCCCATCCCCCAATACCATAAATTATGCAATCAAATTTTCCACATTTAGACACATCAAGGGGTCAGCTCATCCAAAGTGCAATGGACAAACTGTGCCCTGGGAAAACCACCTTTGTGGCCATGTGCCTATAATGCTAGGTAAGAATTCAGAGGGAATTTTTCAGGCTTTAAGCCTCAGGATAGTCCCTTAGCAGAATTATGAATTTATAATTCTCATTAGGTAAGTGCCACAGTGTTAGAGGATTAACTCAATACACAGCAATTAAGAATATATCTGCCCCCGTTGCTTGAGTCCAGGATTTCGTGACTAGCCTGGCTAACATGGTGAAACCCCGTCTCTACAAAAACTACAAAAATTAGCCGGGTGTGGTGGCGCGCATCTGTGGTCTCAGCTACTCAGGAGGCTGGGCGACAGAGTGAGACACTGTCTCAAAAAAAGAATATATCTGTCTCTATTTAATTCCCTTGTACTCTCTAACAACAGATTCCAAATAATCTGAGTAGTAATCTGAAATTCTAAGTGCCTATTGGAAATCTTTAACCAAGTATACCACAAACCTCAATCAACATTTAAAAACCCACAAAGAAAGGAATAAAAAAGGGCATCCCTCTCCAAGTTGCTTCTCTTCCCACCATGACAATTCATTGACATACCTAGGAAACTCGTATCTTTAATCATTCTGTTCCCTCACTCTCCACATATAATCTGCCGCCAAGTCAAGAGAACCCCTTAAATCTTACTTCTGTTTCCAATTGCCTTGTTTCAGTTCCTATCACCTCTCACTGGAAATAACATAGTGATTCCTTAAAGGATCTCTTTTCTTGACCTCTCTTCCATTTGTTGTGGTAGACAGAACAGAGGCTTAGAATCAGAAAGACCTGGATTCCAATTCTAGTGCTGCCATTTATTAGCAGGGTGACAATCACTAAATTTCTCTGAGCCTTAATTGCCTTATCCATAAAACAATACCTGCTCCTCCTTATGTATGCTGGGGAGAGTCGGTGGAGTGGTAGAGGAAAATACCATACTACCATCACTGAAATCTAGATGCATAACCAGAAACTGGCTTTGGATCAGAACCAGAACTTTGGCTACTAACATTTGATGTCCAAAGGTTTATCAAAATATAAAACAAGCTGAATATTAAACCTAGAAAGCTGGTTATATTTAGGGTTCAGACCTCCAGAATTTCGTCATCAACTTGTTAGGGAACTAATGGCATGCAGGATACTTATCAAGTTACCCCTTGGCTGCAAGGGCAGGATATTCCAGGGAAAACTGACTCACAGGAAAGAGCTTATCCTAAAATCTGTCAACATTTCATTTATTTTGTCATTTTTACTTGTTATAAAAGAGTAAATAAAATATAACATATATACTATTCTTAAACCAACCACAAAACTCAAGTTCTTTTCTTTAGTAGAAAAGTTTTCTGAAAGGGGATAGAAGTTAGACTTAAGTTTTGCTTCCCAAAAGGCACTAACAATTCCATGAGGTTTAGAAAAAATTTTGCCTGAGAACATAAATACCAGGAGCCTAATGCAGAACTTTACCTAGTTAATTGCAATAAAGACTGAAATAGGCTGTGAAGGCTATAAACTCAAAAGCATATAAAAAACCTGACAGTGTCTCAATCTAACAACAGTTCCAACTCTGACACATTCTTTAGAAAAAACAAGTGTTAAGACAAGAAATGAGAAATTCTTTATTAAATTAGTTTAGACATTCAATCTTTTCAAGAGTACAGTAAAACCATAATATTCTTATATGTTTATTTCAATGTTTCAGCAGGCAACTCTAAAAGGGCAAAAAAACTTTCTTTTTTTTTTTTTTTTTTTTTTTTTTGAGACGGAGTCTCGCTCTGTCGCCCAGGCTGGAGTGCAGTGGCGGGACCTCGGCTCACTGCAAGCTCCGCCTCCCGGGTTCACGCCATTCTCCTGCCTCAGCCTCCCAAGTAGCTGGGACTACAGGCGCCCGCCACTACGCCCGGCTAATTTTTTGTATTTTTAGTAGAGACGGGGTTTCACCGTTTTAGCCGGGATGGTCTCGATCTCCTGACCTCGTGATCCGCCCGCCTCGGCCTCCCAAAGTGCTGGGATTACAGGCGTGAGCCACCGCGCCCGGCAAGGGCAAAAAAACTTTCTAAGCAATGATTGGAATGCAAACATTCACTGAAAGCAAAACTCCTGCACATTAATCTTTATATATACACACAGAGATATATGATATAAACTTTTAAAGGAACAGTTAATAAATGATAAAATTATATCACCATTTTGTAACATATAATGAATAGATCGCAGCATGATTATCAACGACTGCTAACATCATGAAAATGGAAATAACTGTGTGTACCGCCAGCCCCACCACCCTAAAAAAAATGTGAATGTGATCAAGCTTGTAGATTCAACTGTCAATTTACAGGAAATGTGAAGGACCAAACAACACATTAAACTACATGTAAAGATGCACTCAGCAAAATTCATACCATGGGAAACAAAACAGAGATAACTGGTTTCTTCAACAAATAAACTGCAAGGAGGAAGAAAACAAAGAAAAAGAGGGCAAGGCAAGAGATGAAGAGAGAACCTACAGGTTAAAAGAAAATACATTAAATCATTAGTAACAATCCACTAGGCTTTCTTTCAGTTATTTTCAATAATTCTGACACTCCCTAAATCTTTCTTCAGTATAAACATTTGCCTTCTAGATAACATCACGAAATAATTCCTCCAGTTTCTTATAATACCTTGGATCAGCATTTATAACAAAGTATTTAAATGACTAATCCTTAATCAGCAATAAAGCTTATTTCTATGTCTCCATAAACATATTTAGAAAAACTGGCCAAGCACAGTAACTCATGCCTGTAATCCCAGCATTCTGGGAAGTCGAGGCAGGAGGACTGATTGCATGAACCCTGGAGTTCAAGACCAGCCTTGGCATTCCCGCGAAACCCCATCTCTACAAAAAATACAAAAATTAGCCGGGGATGGAGGTGCATGCCTGTAGTCTCAGCTACTTGGGAGGATCACTTGAGCCCAGGAAGTCAAGTCTGCAGTGAGCTGAGATCACACCACTGCACTACAGCCTGGGCAACAGAGTGATGCCTTGTCTCAAAAAACAAAACAAAACAAAACAACGTATTTAGAAAACTAAATGTTGAGAAATGGTCAAGTCACAGGAAAAACACTGGACTTTATTTTAGGGAAGGGCAGTGGAGAGGAAAGAAATCAATACTTGGTAGACAATTTTATTAGCATAGAATGTGTTACCTATAACTTAGCTCTTTCACATGTTTTGATATGTTATTTAAAAGTATATTTACAGAAAAAAGTATATTTACTTAGACAATTATAAATTTGCCAGCTGCATGTGTACTCAACGACAGAGCTACATGTTGTGGGAATCTGAGGAACTTTTCTTGTTCTCCTTTATTTTATTCTTTGGCTAGTTCATACAACTTGTAATAATAATAAAAGAAACAACAGTGCCATTGGCCGGGTGTGGTGGCTCACCTGAGGTCAGGAGTTTGAGACCAGCCTGGCCAACACAGTGAAGCCCGTCTCTACTAAAAATATAAAAATTAGCTGGGCGTGCTGGTGGGCGCCTGTAATCCCAGCTGCTTGGGAGGCTGAGGCAGGAGAACTGTTTAAACCCGGGAGACAGAGGTTGCAGTGAGCTGACACAGTGCCACTGCACTCCAGCCTGGGTGACAGAGTGAGACTCCGTCTCGAAAACAAACAAACAGTGCCATTACAGGTAAAAAACAAAAAAGTAGGGGAAATATATTATGCTTTTTTGAATTTTGTGGCATAAAACATTTTCAGGGAAAAAGCTGAGAAAGAAAACAATTTTCTTTCCCAAACATACTTTTGTTCTTCGTACCTCCATATTCTAAGCTACTGCTATTTGTAGCTTTTAACTCTTATCAGTTTAGTATATAGTGAATACATATAACTTACCACAAGGAAAAGCAAAAAACAAAACCACACAGACTGTGCCATAAATGTTACAAATTCAGTGAAAGAGAATTTATTTGTTGTCATCTTCCTGGACTTCAGAAAACTAAAAATTAGTATACTTTTAGGCAAGCTTTTGGTACATTTCCAAAAAGACTAATACTTTTCAGGTGCTGCTAAAATGGGCGAGGGAGGGAATTTTAAAGATGTAAGAAGAGTCACAAGCCTTATACAAAGAAATTGCTGTGTCACCATAATAAATAGAGCTCTTAAAAATCTCAGATTGCATTCCTGGACCTACAGAAATCTGTAATATTCAAAGTTGCAGCATTATTAGCACACTTGTTTTCATTTCTAATCAGCAAACTAAGAAAAGTCTTGCAGTATGAGTGAGCTGCCATCAACTTACTGCTATTCATTGAGAACTGTATTGATATTTCTTTGATTTTTATAGTAATCAACATAAATGTACTTTGATTCTCAAAAAGTTTTAATCACTTCTGATATTTAAACAAGTATTCTAATGATAAAAGTCTATTTCTAATAGCTGATTACTGTGATTACTGAGGACATGCAGAGTTGAGCATATCTACTCCAAAAGATATTTGGGTTATGATCATCAACTATAATTCCAGGTATAGCAGTCTTTTGATTAAAGGACAACACCATTTTATGACATCAGGTTGTACTCTAGAGTTTCGATGACAAAAAAAAATCTTATTCTTTTGTTCTGGCAATAACCTGGCAAAAATTGTCTAGATCAACTTTTACACAGGAATCCAGTAAAAAACTTAACCTGGGGAGGGCTTAAAGAAGAAGGTGCTGTATTGTGGTAAGACAGCACTGTGGCATCTTAAACTGTCTGCCTACCACACCCCCACTCCTAGACTAGCTGTGACAGTAGAGATGGCAGCCTATCACACTCCTGGTATAGGCTGTTAATGCCAGAGGAAGCAACACAGACTTCATATACATATGAGATGGGATCAAGAACCTAAGTAGAAGTCAATTGTGGAAAGGAATGATAACATGATCCCAAAGAAGGATAGGATGGATGAAAAGAAAGACATTTTGAGAAGACAGTGAAGGAAGCTTGTTTTTGATTTGTCAAAGTCTTTCGTTAAAATAACAGGCAGTCAGAAGAGAATGAAGGAGTCTAACGAGAACAGATTAAGTTTGAAATAGCTATTCTTATAGTTTCAGCTCTTTCACTGATCTTGTCAAAGAGAATGAACATGAGAGGAATGAATAAAAAGAAAGCTGAGAAATATTTGAACTCCACTGTAGGTCCTGTTGAAGTGAGCTAGTCTTAGTTCTACCTTATCTGTACTATAGTTACCAATATACTTGTTTGCATCCTCCATAAAATTATAAATTACATGAGGACAGAAAATGTTTACCTTATTCATTAATATATCTCCATGAGCATATGGCACTTAGTAAATACTTCACAAATGAATATGTAGCAGATACAATCCCTGTCATGTTAAACATTCCTTTATGGTTACTGTTTAATAGGTATTATGACTGAGAGGTAAAAAAGTGTTCTTGGCTGATATTTAAGCTGTCTTCCTAGACCTATAAAGAATATTAGACTGCCCTTTTCGGTCAAAGACAGAATCTGCTCAATAAATTAAAAAGACATCAGGGAGAAAATTCAATTGTCTTAGAAAAAAATGTGCCAATTAGGTTTTTTTGGTTATTACTGGATTAGAGGCTGAGTCTGACCTTGAAGTTACTTTAGTAAGAGTTACTTTATCTGAAGCTTTTGGGAAAGGAAATATTCTACACAAATGAAGCTTCCAGATATTAAAAACTTCACTCTACCATTAAGAATCATACTTTTATATTTCTTATTATTTGCATAGAAATATTTAATAAATTCATTTCACATTTATTTGCTGAATGAACATGATCTAGCCTTTTCTTAAGTACACAGAAGTCATCACTGTGCTATCCATCATTATGCCACATAAAATGTTGTCAAAGGGCGTGGGGTGCGGTGGCTCATGCCCGTAATCCCAGCACTTTGGGAGGCTGAGGCAGGCGATCACTTGAGGTCAAGAGTTCGAGACCATCCTGGTCAACATGGCGAAACCCCGTCTCTGCTAAAAATACAAAAATTAGCCAGGCGTGGTGGCAGGCGCCTGTAATCCCAGCTACTTGGGAGGCTGAGACAGGAGAATTGCTTGAACCTGGGAGGCAGAGGTTGCAGTGAGCTGAGATTGTGCCACTGCACTCCAGCCTGGGTGACAGAGGAAGGCTCTGTCTCAAAAAACAAAACAAAAACAAACACAAAAAAAGGTACAAGTCTCTACTTTGAGTAGACCTACATGTTTATACATTTAAATTCTTGTTTTTTTTTTTTTTGTTGTTGTTGTTGCTGTTTCAGTTGACCCTATTTGCTATTATCAAAGTGCTTGTCCACCTTTTAACTTGTTACTCAAATCTGGAGTAGGCAGGGAAACATGTTTATTAAAATTGTCTCACATGAATTTATCACTCAACATTCTTTTGTACTATCTACATCTACCACCATGTACAAATGTTATTTTCACTAAAGAAGGGGGAGAGGCAAAGTTTTGTGTGTGTGTATACGTCTGTGCGTGTGTGTGCGTGTATGTGTGTAAAGAGTAAAAAGATATGGAGTGGGGACTTAGAGGCTACTTTCTACTTAAAGTGCTTAGGGTTTTAGAGCACAGGTTTAGTTATTTGCTGAGACTCAACTATCCTTTTATATAATTATTTATTTATTATTATTTTGCTTTTTTCTTGATTCTCAGCTATGCTTCCCATAACTTGAGATTGCCAAATAAGTAGCTGTTCTAACTAGTTACGTTCCTTAGACATTAAACAGACTTAAAAAAGCAAAAATAAAAAAAATCAGAGTACCAATCTTACTTTTTATAAGTTGAGGCAAAAAATGAGTGAATGTGAGTGAAAGGATTAATACAGGCAAAATACAACAATGACTGCATTTTTATAATATACTTAATATTTAAAAAATTTTATCTATAAACAAATCAATAAAGGCTTATTTCATACAAGTCTTTTCACTGGATATAAAATGGTGCTGCTATTTTCAATCTGACATTACTTGTTTTGCAGATCCCTACCTGCCTTCATAAGCACAGATGTCAAAGTGTAACTCACAACTAAGCAGTATTTAAAAATAATTTCTTTTCCTCTTTTTTTTTTAATCTTGGAGACAAGATCTCATTCTGTCACCCCAAGCTGGAGCGCAGTGGTGTGATCTCAGCTCACTGCAGCCTCGACCTCCCCCAGGTTCATGCAATCCTCCTGCCTCAGGTCTCCCCTGACCCCTAACCCTCAACCCCTCCGCCGCCGCCCAGTAGCTGGGACTACGGGTGTGAACCACCACCCTTGGCTAATTTATGTGGTTTTTTTTGTAGAGATGGGGTTTTGCCATGTTGCCCAAGCTGGTCTCTTCTAGACTCAAGCAATCCACCTGTCTTGGTCTACCAAAGTGCTGGAATTACAGGAATGAGCCACCGCACCTTGCCTTAAAATATTTTCATATTCCTGAATAGAAATTCTGGTACATTAAAAAACATCTGATTTCTCTTGAATATTATTTCATCTAGAATTCTTCACAAGTATTTTTTCTAATATAGTAAATTTTGAGTTTTTAAAAAAGCAGCA